>NC_000023.11:153566515-153869545 GCF_000001405.40 Homo sapiens
GGCCGAGTCTCAAGGGACCCAGCCTCAGGGCAACCCCACTCCCTGGGCCTCAGCCTCCTTTGCTTGCCTTGGCTCAGCTCAGCCCCTCCAACACCACCCTCTGCAGTGGGACTGGTGGAGCCTCTCTCCATTGTCCTAAGGATGAAGTCTACGCTCCTGACCATGGCCTTCAAGCCCCTGCCTCTTGGTGTCACCCCAACCTTCCTGCACACCTGCACCCCTGCACCCCCGGCTGCCTTTCCAATCATGCCCTCTGCCCGCCTGTGCCACTGCACCTCCCCAACTCCCGCTGCGTCCCCTGGGCCCTCATGCTTACAAAGCCCTCTTTGACTCCTCTCACTCTCACCACGGGCTCCTTGCAAAACTTTCCAGAGCTACAGAGTCCCCCAGAGACCACGATCACGCAGGGCTAGGTCAAGGGGCAACAAAGAACTCCACATTTCAAGAGCCCCCCAGGGGTCCAAGGGGCCTCTCCAGCTGAGAACCGGGAGGCGAGGCTGGCATCCTAGGCACCGAACACAGCGTAGCCTGGGAAGGATGTGTTAGGTCTGGACTCTGAACACTGTCACCTATGCCCTGGCCTGGCCAGAACACAGAGAGCCCCGGTGAGGAAGGGGAGCAGGCTTTGTCGCCAGATGGCCTGCGTCTCCCCTCCCACGTGCAGGGGCTACTGCCTCAAGCACAATGCTCGGACAGGCCAGGGGTGCAGCACAGATAGTCTGTTCTCGTTCCCTGCAATAAATATTTCTGCGCTAAATCTTAAACACATCGAATGTTAGAAGCAGCATTCACATCTCCCCCAGTGCCCTCCTAGCGGCCCAACTGTGCCTTCTACGAGACCATGCCTATGGGCCCCCCAGCTGCCCCCAGATGGGCTCTTATCTATCGTACCCCTGTTGTGCTACAGAGCCCAGAGCTGCCCAAGCCTGGGGTGGGGGGTGAGGACAGCAGGACCTTGCCCCTCGGCGGCCCACTTCACTCCTGCCGCCGCAGCCGAAGGCGACGTTAGGTTTTCCAGCAGCTGAGACAACAGCCCTGCCCTGACCTGAAGCATCAGTGGTGTCAGTGGTACCCCGGCCACCTGTGTGTCTCGTGTCCTCTGTATGTGGGGGCCGCTGCAGCCTGGCTAGTAGAAGCGAGTCCCATCGGTCAGAGTCTTAGAGTTCCAGGCTGTTCCAATTGTCGGTGCTCACAGAGACACGGGCAGCTGAGTCCCCTGTTTTGCGTATGAGGAAACAGGGTGCACTCTTTCCCCTTGGCACCAGCCGATCCGACTCTTCCACGGGCTCCTGACCCCCATGGCTTTTCGCTTTGACTTTGTCACATCCAACTCACCATGTTTCTCAGGAATGCTGAACCAGTCGGTTCTTTTAGCCAGCTATGTAAGAGCATCTGCTCTCTTTGATTCGAAACACCTGCTTGAAAAATGGAGCTAAAGCTTGGGAGAAGCCCGTCAGGTTGTACGTATGCCCCAAGCCAAGAAAAACATTTCCTAGGCAGCTGGCCCCAGGTTTCTGCTTTTTGGGAACCACAAAATCGCTCCCCAGATTTTGGAGGCCGGCACAAGCTTTTCTGTTGCTAAGTGAAGGCATTTTGTAACCTGCTCGCACCATGGTTCCATACTAACATATCAACGCACCAGATGGACAGGGTGTCATTCCAGAATAAAAGAGTCCTTCAAACCCAGAACATGTAGCTTTCTGAAGCGCTCATGACTCGGTCTGTCTTTTTTGCATCCCATTATAATGCAAAGAGAAGCTTCGTCAGCAACTGGGCCTTGCTCCCGGCTCAGCTCTTGGGCTTCCAGGTGTGGGGTGGTGGCGACTGTGGTATTGTCACTGATGTGGCTCTCCCACTGGGACACCATCTGTAGCCAGGCCAGACCAATGCAAATCTGAGGCAGGAAAGGCATCTTTCCTATCCCTCATCACTTTTGCCGCAGCGAGAGTCCTCTCCTGAATCTAGACAGGAGACCCCCCACCCCGCAAGCCACCGCGACGCCATCACATCAACCATCCTCCTTCCGTGCGCTGACACACTCAGTATGCATTCCTCACGGTCGCAGCAAGTGCCATGAGGTTCCCCTTGTGACAAGCAAGCGAGTGGGATGTGCTGGGCGGAAGGGGACTGGGCAGGCTGAGAAGAAGGAGGAGTCCTTTCCACAGCGCGTCAAAGGCTGAAGTGGCGTACATCCTCATTTTGGCCGGTGCAGGGGGAGTCTGAACACTCAAGCTGCCTTCTTCCACGAAGCCCTGGCCCGTTTCAAGACACCCAGGTGAACCTGGTGGCCACCACATAGCACTGCAGGGCTCGGGCTGGAGCAGGTAGCTTTGGGCTCCAGATGCGCACACTGGCTTTGCTGTTCACATCATCTCCAGTGAGACGGACATGAGTCCCCATCCCAGCCAAGGGCAGGTCAGGAAATCCAAAGACACTGGGTCAAGGCCCTCCTGCAGGCCTCAGTTTCCCCAGCCTTGCTTCCCCTTCAATTTGCAGGAAGCTGTAAGAGTGGGGACAAAGCGAAGCCACGGCTGCCAGTCGGTGGGAAAACCCCCTCCTCCGCTAGGTCCATTCTTCTGCTGAAGTTTCGAGGGGGCGCCCCCTGCCCAGTCACTCAGATGAGCCACAGAAGCTGGCGGAGACGGGCAGGCGGATGGAGCATGGGGCATAAGTCCTCCGGGTTTAGAGGAAGCAGGGCGGGTTCTAATAGGAGCGTGTCATGTCCCTCAGGTGTGTTGGAGAGGAAAAACAAGGTTGAGAACTATGAAGTACTTCCTGATAAGTGGCTTGCAAGGGGCATTTCTGACATGTTTGCAGTGTGCCCTGACTTGTGACCCCCTTCCCTTCCCAATCTCATGACCACTAACCATCTGCTCAGCAAACCCTCTCTCGGTGGGTGGCACAGAGGCTGGCCTCAGTCAGGGCCCTGTCCAAACATCGCCAGCTCCCAGTGAGCGGGGTGACCCGATGAGGCTTTGCTGTCACCCTATGTGCCCAGTGGTGGCCCCTATCCTCGCCCAGCCCTCCCCTCCGTGATAGCCTGGACAACAGTGCAAGCCAAACTTTATCTCATTTTCTCTCCCACAGATGGAGGTAGTGAGTACCTTCAAGAGAAGCGGTTCAGTTCAGGGTGCTGTGCGCCGGCGGTCTTCGGTCCTCAGCCAGCTTCATGACGTAACCAATCTTTCTACCCCTACTCACGCAATTCTCTCTGCTGCCAATCCTACCAGTGCTGCTGGGAGTGAGTCTTGACTTCCCTTTTCTCTCATAAATGGCATCTCTGGGGAAGAATAAGCCTCCCCAGCTCGGCCTTCTCTCTTTTGCAGTCTTGCATTCCGCTCACCGTGGCTTTTCTGTTCTTTCTTTACCGCCCTGTCCAGTCCTTCCCGCCCAGACGGTGTCTCTCGAAAGCCATATTCTTTTATGAAACGTATTCAACCCATGGCACTTCCGGACCTCCCGTTCTTTGCTTTGTTTGGTTTTTCGGTTTGTGTTTAGTGCTCCTTGTGCCATTGGTTCTCTTTTCTTGAACTTGTCTGCCTTTGCCGATGGTTCTTCATGAACTTGGGCCGCTTCTGGGGGTGTCTGGTGTCAGGCTAGGGCCTTGCTCAGTGTTCAGTGGTGCAGCATCAGGGCAGCACGCGGGCTCAGGGCCGCCTTCCCGGGGCTGGAGGGGTGGCGGGTGCCTTTCCCACACTGTTTGCCACAGAAGAATCTAGCCCACGTACCCAGGAACTGGAGCGGCGCTTCCAGCATCCTCCTTGAAGTGGTTTCCTAAGGATGCCGCTGTCACCTGTCCCCAGGTGGGCTCAGTGCTGACCAATCACTACTGCACAGGTGGTGCCTGCCCTGTAGGCCTTGCCCCAAGCCACCGGGTGTTAGAGGTTTCCCCAGAACTGGCACTCAGAGGCCTCTTCAAGACGTTGCCAGGAAAATTTCCCACCATGTTGGTCACAGTTTAAAGAGAACCCAGGGGCTGTCCTAAGGAGGTAGAAACTTCCAGAATTGCTCACATCTTTTTACAAAGACAAAGGGAAGGCCACTCCACCGCTGACCCCACTACCCTGATGGGAGAGAATGCAGGGAACCCAGTGGGCCCAGCCAGGCAGCCTGCTTTTTCCAGCAAACTCAAGAGAGTTTATACACCAAAGAGTAAACTTTCGCGCGTGGGCCCAGGGCCTTTGCCAGGATGGTTCTATGCTACCTCTTTCCTTTCCTTCTAGCAAGCCCCCGAAGCGCTCCCCTCTGCCAACACGAACACGCCACTCCCCTGCAGGTGGGAGTCCTTAACCACGCCTTTTTCCATCACAGACTCTTCCAGCTTGATTGCTTTTCTTTTCCTTTCTTTTTTTTTTTAGGAACTGGTGAGAGGTCCCTGGTGGGGGTCACCCCTCCTCTTGCATAAGCTGTCATTTTGGGCCACTCTGTCCTTTAAGGAAGGGAGGAGGCCCATCCTGTCCCCCTTGGGAACAGAGCACGTGCGCGCGTACACACACACACACACACACACACACACACACACACTCCTTCTCCAAACCACAGGCCACGTACACCTCCAGCTTGCTCCACACTCATCATGGGGCCACCTACCCTTGTCACAAATATTGGCTGACACCGTGGCAGTTGGG
This sequence comes from Homo sapiens, assembly GCF_000001405.40. Lineage (NCBI taxonomy): Eukaryota > Metazoa > Chordata > Mammalia > Primates > Hominidae > Homo > Homo sapiens. Next base: position 153,571,144 of record NC_000023.11, read on the forward strand.
CTGAAAAGCAGTCGGCGCCTCCAGTGCCCTAGACGTGGGCCCAAAGGGGCCTCGCCGCCACTCCACCCAGAGAGGCGGACAGGAGGCTCTGCCAAGTCAGTTAAAGCCAGAAATGGTTCGTGGCCTCCCAGCACCTTCCTTCCTGGGAGCTGAGGGCAGCAGGGGGCATGGCTGTGCCTCCGCCTCCCTCCCCCTTGACTTCCTCCGTATGTCTCTTTGCCATCTCTCTCTGTGCTTCCTGTCTGTCTGTCCATTTGCCCATTTGTTGAGTTAAGGGGAAGGCAGCCACCACGGCCCCACTCCACGCGTTCCTCGAGCCTTCTCCACAGCTCTGGCCTCATCCCACCCCAGGACCAGCTCCTTGTCCCTCTCCAGGTCCAGCCCAGCCTCTGTGGGGCCTGCTGTCTTTTCTCCCTCTGGATTCCTCCTGCTTCCTCCCTGGGGCAGCCTCTTGCTCCTCTCTTCCTTGGCTCCTAGCACTTCCTTCCTGCCTTCATTCCGTGGCCATCTGTCCCCCTCCTCCCCACCTCCGGAGCCTGGCAGTGCGGGGTAAGTAGAGTGGGAGAGACGCCACCCCTCCTGCTGTTCACAAGCTATTCCATGGGGGCCCTAAGTGGCGGATAGCCAGAAGGAGGGCAGCTGTCCCTTGCACACTGTGTGCTCCAGCAGAAGGTGGGTGGCAGGGCCCTCTGAAGAGGCCCATCCCAGCTGAACATCAGCATCCCAGAAAGGACTCTGCCGTGGAGGAAGATGCTGGCTGGGGACCTGGCAACACCAAGGACATGCCCACTTCTGGAAGCCACCTGCCAGAACCACCTCCTGCCATCATCACAGTGCAGCGGATTGGTTTAGAACTCAGAACCCAACCCCCACTCCACGCTTCAAGGACCCCAAGCAATCACCAAGCCCAGCACTCTCATCCTAGAGATCAGGGGAAGGAGGTTGTCCCCAAGGGCCAGGACCTGCACTGGGTCCCATAAGCAGCCAGGCCTGGCAGAGTGGGGACTAGCACCAGCGCCCACCCTCTACTTGGAACTTTCTGGTGGATGAGAGATGCTCTGAAGGCTGTGACGGAGCTCCCCTAGACAAGAGGGCTGCCCCAACTAGGCCTGCAGGGGCGTCGAGTCACGTGGTTTCCTAAGGCAAGCCCACAGTTTCCCATCCTCTTTGCCTGCTCCAGGCCAGGCTGCCTTTCAGCCCACCAGGAGTCTGGGGCCTTTCTGGGCACTGGAGCTGCCTCCGTCCCAAGCCTTTCCTACTAAGGACCTCAGGTCCTCCAGAGAGAAGGGCCGGTGGTTGGTAGCATGACATCCCCTCACCCTGTGCCCCTGGGGCCAATGCAGGAAGTAGCAAGGGGGTGGCTAGGAGGGGTCGAGAGATTTGGGATCGCTGGGGCTCAGTGCTCACACACTCGAGCCCTCCCCACCCTGTCTAACCTCCCACACCTTTGCTGCTTCTGGACTCAGGAGTCCCAACACAGGCCCCATATCCCTCCTCTGCATGCATTGTCAGACTGTGCCGGCCACAACTTCTGACCCCCAGCTCCAGGCAGCCTCCACTGCCCCTCCCCTGCCCAGCCTGGTGACTACCCCACACCATGCCCCAACCACACACTCACACACCGAGGCCACAGTATCACCCTCCCTGTTGGGTGTCCATATTCCGGAGAGCTGGTCAGGGACAGCTGGTTCAGTCACTCGGGTCTACCAAGGGCAGCAGGCACAGGGGGCTGCGCGTCTGCCACTAGGAGGCACGGGAGGGTGCGCGATCATTTGGAAAGCCCCATCAAAGCCACTTGAGAGGCCTTTTATGTCTGTTTTCCACTGGGACACACAGACAAACCCCAGCCACGCATCCAAAGTCTATCCTTCCAGCAGCGCCACACCAGGCCTGTGTGAGATGCTTACTGTTGGAGTCGTTCCTGAGATGCCTCCTGACCTGGCCCAGCAAAGGAGCAGGGGTTAGGCAGCAGGCCATGAGTCTGGTCCCATGTGGCCACCGGGGGTCCCTCCGGGCCGTTTAGTTCCAGTTAATCATGCTGGAAACAGATCACAGCAGTTGCTTGGTTTTATTGGCTTTGGCAACATGAAAACCGTGTGGCCAAAGGGGCCAAACCGGGCCACGTGAGTCCCAGGCTTTCCCTGGACACTCCTTTCCAGGGCCCAGGGCGACATGCTCACCACACTCCCAGCCCCGTGGTGGAAGGAGTCTTGTTTTCTGGAGTTTGCTCCATTCTCAGGAAGGTCATGTGCTTTGAGCCAAGCCTCCCTACCTGGTTTCTGGGAACGGTGTATTGGCATTTTTTCTCAGATCTTTGACAGTCTGCACCCTGCCTCCATGCTGGAAGCAGTAGCAACCCTCCCCCAAGAGCCCTGCCCTAGGCTTTCCTGGAACCCTGGGCCCTACCACAGGGGAATGCCCTTCCAGGCAAACCCTAAAGTAGGCACCAGAACGCAGCCTAGGGCAGACCCCAGGACCCCTGGTCCAAGGCCCTCCCCATCAGGCACTCCGAGTGTGGACTCCCAAGCTGGGAACCTGGGCAGAGACCTCTCAAGACTAATTGGAGGTCCCGCAGCTGGATTCAGCCAGTACGGAGGCAAGGGCTCAGCTGGGCCTTCCTCCTGGGTCCTCTTTAGTCCGACCACCCGACACTGACTCGCCGCGCCCAGGTCAGTTCAGCTTGCTGGTGTTGGGAGCACAGGTCTAGGCTCACACGGTCCTGGGCATGAGTGTGCACACAAGGTGGGAGGCAATTTTCATGAAACTTGCCAGCTGCAAGCAGTTCTGGCTTGCCAACACACACACAGCCATGTCTTGTCTTTTCCGTTCTTTGGTTCAATTCCTTGGGGAAAGAGCCAGCTGTGGAGTTTGCATTTTCATTGTTCCTAATTCAAGCATGTGACATCCCCATGGGGTAGAAAGGGGCCTTCCCCTTGCTCTTCCCCCACATAGAGAAGTGAGGCCGAAGCCATCTTCTCCTCAGTGTTCAGGCTATCTGAGCTTGGCTTCTCATTGCCCGAGTTGACTGATGGTTCCTATTGCCACAGGCTCTTGAGGACACCTTTGTCTCGCTTTCAAGTTGTGATTCACCTTCACGCCTACAGGGGTTGTTTTGAGCCTGGAAACCCTAAAGTTCTTGACAAGAAGTTCCCCATGGGTCTCCCTGGCTGCTGTGTTCAGAATCTGCTCTAAATTCAAAGCTCAGATGCCTGGGGAGCTGACAGGTCCCTGCCTCCAAAGGAAGGTTCTGGACCAGTGGTTGGTGCTGAGCAGTGGATAGGTAGGGAGGAAATCGACCAGAAGCATCCGAGTTCTGTGAACCTTAGCGGCTGAGACTGAGCAGAGAGCATGGAGCCCCTCGGGTCGGCTGGTGCCCAGCACAGAGGCAGCAGGATAGGGCTTGTTTCTGCTTGAGGAATTAGAAGGAAGAGTGAGAAGGTGTCAGGCACAGCTTCTGTCGTTTCGTTGTCACTGCGGTCAGGAGTCTTTGCTTTGATTGTTCTCTTTTCCTTTCCTTTTTCTACTCTTCTCGGTCCTTCGCTTGTCTCCCTGCTTCTGCGGCCCTTCTCCACCCTCATCCTCCTCCCCAGCCCTGCACTGCAAACTCCAGCACTTGAAGGCTAACCAGGGGCACGTCTCCCCATGCACATGGCGGGCACCTCCACTCCAGCTGGCCGGCAGTGGCATCGCACATGGCACTCCACACCTGCACCCCTTCCGCTTTGGCTCAGTGTGGCCAGGGATGGGCCTTGTCAGTCTGCAGCGTCACCCGCCCTGTGTAAGGCTCAGAACTGCTCATCCACGCAAGTCGGGAGCCCGGGCCAAGCCCACAGCACTCAGCATGTCTCCTCTGGGCAGCTGGTAACAAACTGCCCGGGACAGCCTCTCTAAGGATGCGTACTTGAGCTAAGTTCAGAGGAAGGAGAAAGGCCAGCCAGGCAGCAGAAAGGGCAGGGGTCATGGCTCCGGGGAGCCCCTGCGTGGGGTGTTCAGAAACAGCTCCAGCCGGCTGGGCATTGCAAAGTGGGCAAAGAGCTATGGGGAGGGCCGAAGCCAGCACAGGAGGCTGGTGCAAAGCCGTGTGGGCCCCAGACATTCAGCCCCGTCCACTGAGCCCCTGCTGGGTGCAGCGAGCCAGACAGACAGACCCCTGCCCCAGGGGGATTACCTTCCAGTGAAAGGTGGATGGATGTAGGGGGCACTTGAAGGAAGGAGCAGAAGTGGGCACCATGCTGCTGGGGAAGACAAGAGTGAGGGGAGCCTTCCTGGTGTGGGGTGCAGCCACAGCAAAGGTCCCCAGGTGGGATGTGCCGGAGGCTGAGGGGTAAAAGAGGGCAGAGTGAGAAAGACTGGGGCCGGCTCCGAGGGCCACAGCCAGTGGAGGGCTTGTAGCGGGGGAGACCAAGACACGCTCTGGTTTTCGGGCCGCCGTGCTAAGGGCATGGAGGGGTGGGGGCGAAGTGCAGGTTCTGGATGGCGTTTGAAGGGAGCCACGGGGCTGGGGCCGGGGGGGTTGGGCCTGCTAAGTTTGAGACCCAGCTTAGATGCCCAAGTCTGGAGCCGGAGCCGAGAGGCTGTTAGCCGACAGGTGGAATGGAAGGCCGAGAGCCAGAAGAGAGTACCTAGACCCAGAGGAGGGGCCCTCGGGTGTCAGGGATGGGAGAGGAGGAGGGGCTGGAGCAGTGTCGGACAGCGCTGGGGGACTGTGAGGAGTAAAGGACTGTGGCCTCTCAGGGCCATCAGCCATGATGGGGAACGGAGAAGTGTGGCAGAGGGAGACAGCAGGAGGACACAAGGAGGTGGGGACACACAGTGGGGAGCCACCTCGCCTCACCCGGATGAGATGGGGAGTCCTCCAGCCCAACCTGACCCTCCTAGGGGCATCTCTCCCGGAAGAGTGCTTTCATTTCCTTTCTTTTTAAATTGTCACAGTAAAACGGGCTTTTGGGGGTACAGTTCAATGAATTTCCACACAGTCAGGACACGGGCCAGTTCCATCGCCTACTGGAAGGTTTAGAGCCAGATGGGGGACCAAGAGTCTGACTTGGCAGCCAGAGAGAGCTCGGAAACTCCACCTAGAGAAGGGACAGGAAGGATGGAGGGCTTTGCTGGTGGGGGTTGGGGTCCCAATGTGACCCCAGGGCCCCAGGCAGGACATAGCAGCAGCAATGGAGGTGAGGAGAGGCTCAGATGTGGAAGATGCTTTTGAGTTAGGGTAGGGCCCACAGGACACGTGGATGTCTGGTACATAGGGTCAGGGGGTCAAAGTGCCTCTGAGGTTTGGCCAGAGCCCTGCACTGGGATGGGAAGGCTGCTGGTGGGCAGAGTTCAGCTGGAGCACTGATAAGAGTCCTCCTCGGGCCTCCTGCAATTTGAGAGGTCCCTTAGGCATCCGAGGGGGAACACCCGGGAGGCAGCCAGGGCAGAAGTCTGGCAGTCCAGGAAAAGGTGGACATGGTGCAGCTGGTATCTGCAGTATTTACGGTGGCCTGATGGTCTATAGACAGCATTGACAGCCCTGGGGGCCATGAGATTCCTTTGGGAGCAGTAGGGGGCGTGGCGCGTCCTGGGCTGAGAGCAGAGCAGGAGGCGGTGCAGGAGCCTGAGATGAGGACAGAGTGAACCCAGGCTGGTGGAAGGAGGGCATCCTTGAGCACCCAGGTAGGAGTGCAGCCCTCTGGGATGGGCCTCTCTTAGAAACGTTTGTTGCTTTCCATTGAACCAATCTCCCAGGAATCGACTGCATCCTTCAGTGTTGGGTGGGCTGAAAACACCCCACCTTAACACCAACACCAAAACATTGTTTAATGGCCCAGGATTAGGATGCAGGGAAAATAGAGCCTGGAGAAAGCTGACTCACTGTCAGCTGTAACAGACTCACCAGGACTCCAGCCAAGCTTAGCACCCCCAAACAGCAGAATGTTGGGGGGCAGCCCTTCCATCCTGCAGCGGTTCACTCAGTCACTTGTGCATTCCCCAAGTGTCTGCTGAGCAGCTGCTCTGGGCCAGGCTCTGTTGTTAAGCCACAAACAAGGCAGATGCCATCCGGGAGGGGCACGCTGGAGTAGCCGGTGAGACCGGAGGAGCAGTAGCAGCAGAAGCCCAGCCTGGAAGGAAGGGCTGGCTCCGTGGCCTGGCTGTCCTTTATGGAGGTCTTTGGAGTTGAGCCAGGTGCAGTGAGACCTGTGCATAGGTTTGAGCAGGGGCCTGGCCTGATCACATGCCCCCAGGTCTGAATGAGGCCACCAGCTCAGCGAGATCTCACCCCACACAGCCCTGGGGTCAAGGCCTGCAGCACTTTGTCCTTTTTGTGACTTGATGGGCAACAGCTTTAGCAGGCGATGTCCCAGGCGGCTTCCACACCACAATCCTGTACCAGAAAAGGCCTAAATAATGAGGCAACATCTGCATTGGCTACGAAAACTGAATTCTGTTTCTTTTCATTAAAAACGTCAAATTATTCTCAATTTCTGTGTTACCCCTAATTCAGAAACCAGTCTGGGGATAAAGGCCTGAGTGAGAATAGCTGACCATCTGCCGTCTGGCAGATGTGGCTTTCCCGAATGCAGAGAAAATCCGAACCAGATTTCAGATGGGGTGCTAGAAAATTCCAATGTGGAGCTTTTTGGCTTACTTTTTTTTATTATTATTTTAAATAGGAACGGGGAGTATCACTCTGTTGCCCAGGTTGGTCTCGAACACCTGAGCTCAAGCGATCAGCCCGCCTCGGCCTCCCAAAGTGCTGGAATTACAGCCGTGGACCACCAAACCTGGCCCTGGCTCACTTTTTGCACTGGAGAGGTGATGAGGTTGGCATCATTTCAGCTGATTCCGAAGCACTGTGCTTTGCCTAGCTGAGCCCCTGGAGGGCTGAAAGAAAGTCACCGAAAAAAGGTGATTAATTGTCTAAACGACAGAGCCAGAGAGGAAATATTTTTAGCTTTCCAGGCCTGGTCTCTGCTGCCGTGACACAACTGTGCCCTTACAGCATGAAACTTAAACCAGTAAAATTTTATTAACCAAAACTAGCAGAGAGCTGGGGTTAGCCCCTCAGCAAGCCCTGACACCTTGTCTAAACCCAGAAAACCAAATCCTAGGTCGAACCTTGGCCCCAGAAATGCTTCAGAACTCCTAATGTGTCCACCTGCTCACATAGGCAGGGGTGGACAGGTGTTGGATGAACCCCAGGGTCTGCCTGGCAGCTCAGCGCTCCGTCTGCTGCCCCCTATAGGGATGGCAGTACAAGGTGGGCCAGCTACCATTGGCGGCTGTGCTGACACTGGCCTGTGCGAGGCCAGGCAGAGGCCTCCCCATCAACTCCTGGCTTCTAGAAGCAGGAGGGGGCCCAGGCTGAGGGGCCAGGGAGCAAAGAGAGGCAGCAAGGACTTGAGTGCGTGAGGCAAGGTGGAGAAGCCAGAGGAGGGAAGGGCTCGCTCCTGGAGCAGTGCCCTGCCGGAGGGTCAGGGGGCTTAAGGGCTGCCGTGCGCTCAGCTGGGGGCAGAGGGCCACTGTGCCGGGGGAGTCTGGGGCACAGCGGGAGCTCTTTCATGCGGGAAGTTCCGCTGATCTGAGGTCTGCAAACTCCTGTGGGGAGGGATGGCCAGGGAACAACACAGAGCGGAGCCCGGGAGGCAGCAGAGACGCAAGTTTTGGAATGTCTGACTGGAAGATGGAGGAGGAGACGGGAGAGAGGACAGGCGGAGTGAGGTCAGAAGAGCAGGGGCACCAGATTGAACCAGACCCAGTCAGACACGGGGGCTGTGAGGAGGCCACAGGGGCATCTGAGCAGAGACAGGCTTTAGTGGGTGCAAATCAAAAGTGTGGCCATTTTCGGTCTCAGATACCTCCAGCTGGGGACTGCTGGGCTCTCTGGCCTGGAGCTCTGAGTACAGGCCTGGGCCACAGTTTCTGGTTATAGCCAGATGGGCCCCAGCACTGTGGCCAGGGTGGAGAGGTATGGACAGAGAGGAGGAGGGACAGAGCCAGGCCAGAGCTCTGGGGCACCCAGGGACAGAAGAGAGGGCAGTGGAGGAGATGGGGCCAGGGCAGCTGGTGAGGTGGAAGAGGGCCAGGCAGGGGCAATGTCAGGAAGCCATGAGAAGCTTCCAGAAAGAGGGATGATCTTCTGTGTTGAGTGCCCTGAGGGATCAAATCAGACGAAGATGCAGAAGTGGCCAGTGGAGTTAGCCGCAGGGAGACCCTCGACATGGCAGGTCCCGGCTCCAGCCATGGGAGCTGGGGGATGGAGGGAGACCCATGCGAGAAAGGCCGGCAGTGCCCATAGGCTGGGAACTTGCTCATACCAGCAGGTACTTCGGACTTTCTGGTAAGATCGAGAAGACATCCCACTCACCAGCATTCTCTCCTTTTCAAATCATCTTTCTTTTCTACCAAATTGGAATTCAGATTGGGCAGAGACCCCAGAGGTCACCAAAGCCACTCGTCTCCCCAGGACAGGGAACTGCGGGGTCACAGCCAAGAGCCTAGTGCAGCACTCTCAAGTTCCAGAATACCTGCCCAGCTCAGCCTAGAGAAAGACACTGCCATCTTTTCCTGCATGCGGATCGGTTGACGAGACCAAGGCCCACACCTGAAAACTCTTTCCAAAGGCAGGCAGAGCCATCCCATTCCGTAGCAGCCCTCCAACAAATGGGTGGACATTTCTCATGCCATGACCCCCAGCCATTGACGTGGGTGGAATTTACCAGCACCAGCCGGCCACTGACTGTCTCCTTCCTTCCTTCCTACCTTCCTTCCACGTTTCCTTTCCTTTCCCTTCCTTTCCTCCCTCCCTGCTCCCACCTCGCGCCCTGTCCCTCCACCTCCCACTCCAGATCCGGGTGGTGAAAGCGTTCCGTAGCTCGCTCTATGAAGGCCTGGAGAAACCAGAATCCAAGACCTCCATTCACAACTTCATGGCCACGCCCGAGTTTCTGATCAATGACTACACCCACAACATCCCGCTCATTGACGACACGGACGTGGACGAGAACGAGGAGCGCCTCCGGGCCCCCCCGCCCCCGTCCCCCAACCAGAACAACAACGCCATAGACAGCGGCATCTACCTGACCACGCATGTCACCAAGTCAGCTACCTCTTCAGTGTTTTCCTCCAGTCCCGGGAGCCCGCTCCACAGCGTGGAGACGTCCCTCTAACAAGAACTTGTCTCAGCACATGCGCACACGCACACTCGGACTCACACGAAGTCACACGCACACATGCACGCACACACACATATGGGGACCTGCACACCTGCAAAACGAGGGAACAACTAAGGTGGCTGAAGACCTTTCTGGCAGGGCATTTGCAAGGACCCAAATCCATTCAACAAGGGTGCAGCCTGCCACAGGCTCCTCATCCGGACTGAGGAAGACGAGGACAGGGAGGAGGAAAAGGAGGAAGAGGAGGACAAAAAGGGGGAGGAGAAGGTTCTTCGTCCAAAGGAGGAAGGAGAAGAAGTAGAAAGTGCGAAGAGCTGAGTTCCCCACCTTTTTTTCTATTGATGCTTCTTTTTTAACAAACTACAGTTTTACCGTGTGTTTGCCATTTGAGCTGTGTGGTGGGCAGGGGGCTGGTTTGGGTTTATGGGGAGCTTTTGTTGCACCCATGCAGGGGCAATCAGATCAGCATCTTCATGCAAAAAAAAAAAAAAAGTTGAGTGCTCTGCAGGCCTGTGAAGGGTGCCACCTGAGGGAGCCGCCTGCAAGCGGCCCTGCAGCCACAAAGCAACCCGCCCTCTGCAAAAACTAGGCACATCCGCAGTGCGCATGTGTGTGCGTGCATGCACATATGTGTATGTGTGTGGATCTGTACACACACACGTATATATGGCCAGATGCGTATTTCAATAAGGAACTATTTACTGGCATGATATTTGCATTCCTCTTATCAGGCATTTTCATTTGGAAATTTCATTATTGAATGTAGCAAGGTTGTAGTTGTTTTTTTTTTTTTTTCAGGGAACTAGACTGCAAGAATATCTTTCTGGTCAACCCATTTTTGTCCCTCATCACCCCGCCCCCACCTTTCGCTCCTGCCCTCTGCCCGGCCCTACTGAGATTCCCAAGGAGAAGGCCGAGAGGGGGCGCTCCAGGTCTGGAGCAGGTATAATTGGAGCATTTGCACTGAGACCCCTGCCAGAGAGGAGAAAACCCTTTCAAGGGAAATTTTAATCTAAAAGGAAAAAACCAAAATATTGATGAGAAGGAGTCCTCCAGTTAGTGAAAGGGGAGTTTCGTTTTCAGCTTTCTTTGGTTCCTACTCCAATTCCACATCCTTCATCCTGGCCATGCCCCCACCTTCAAGAGCATGAAGCACTCTTGGAGTTGTGGGTCCTGCCCAGAGTCCAGAGAGCAGCCTCAGCTGAGCACAGGTCCGAGGGGGCGGGGGCAGGGCCAAGAGTTCAAAAGAAGCCAATGGAGGGAGAGGGAGCGTCAGAAGCCCGGAGGAGCTGGTGGTGGGAGAATGACGGCAGGGACGCAGCCACAGTTCAGACCCTGTCCCCTCAGCACCTGGATGGACTCCCACTGTTTGCTTTGGCAAATGCCGAGGAGTCCTCGGTAGACCACCTTGATGTCTGCTGTGACATCAGAGGTGCCACCACCAAAGCACTCTTCCCACCCTAGTCTTTGTGTCCAGCGGCCAAGCTTAAGCCATGAAGTCATGGATTTGTGGCTCAGCACCAGGTCCTGAGGGGAGCGTATCCTGGCAGTGTGGGCACCTGGTGGCCAAGCCTCAGTTTCCCCCAAATGAGCAAAGGGGATAAAGAGGGGCCCGACTTTTGCCACCCTCCTGAGGAAGCCCCTAGGTCCACACAGTGATGCCATGGGGGACCCTTGCCTTCCACACTTGCAGGTGTCACGTTTTGCAGGGAGGTGTTTGGGCCTTGGGCTCAGCCACTGGGAGACAGTTGGGACCTGAGGGACAGAGGATCGGAATGGAAACCACCAACGTGCACTGGCACCCTCAGAAGGCTTGTCTCACCTCCACCGGCATCCACACAAAACCAAACAGGAGCAGGCGTCATCCCCACTATTCCCATGAATGCCATGTCACCCCTGAGCAGAAGCAGTCAAATCTTGGGCAAAAGAATTTCGGTTAGAAAAGAAAATCCCACTTTAAAATGCCAGCTGCAGATAACTCAAAGCCATCCCTTTTTTCTAAAGGGCACATTGAGAATGTCACCCATTTGTAAACTGTTCCCTGATGTCCTTGTTTAAACGATAATAAGAAAAAGGGCAACTCCATTTGTTGAGGGTCTTTGTGTTCTTCAATGAGAAATCAAATTTGAGACGTTGAAATTGGAGCTGCGTGCTGCTGCACTCACCGGCTTCTTCTCACTCTCTGTCGTAGACACACCGATAGGACCAATGGCCAATAGATATTAAAAGCAAACCCTCACTGCTGCTGTATAAAGTTGCCTAATGTAAATGTCTATTGTTTAGTCCCTAGGTCACCTTTGTGCTGTGCTGTGGAGTTCAGAAACGGGGTACCATGACCTGGAATCTTTTGCTCTTGTTTTTGCAGTCTTCAAGGCTGGGGGCCCTGTCTCATTGGGAAGCCCCTCTTTATAAAGCATTATATTACTTGGAATGGCTTGGTCAACTGTGTTCAGTTCATAAATATGTTTTACATTTTTATCTGCCTGTTATAAAGATGAACAAAAAAACTTAATGAGAAAGATCACAGATACGTAATAATTTAAAGTCTGTAGTTGAATTTCCTAACTTAAAGAATAGACCAAAATTTCTGTGTATAAAAAAAAATGAAAGGCTCCTTACATCCTGGTCTGGGTAACGTGTGTGATTTATTATTTGGTGAATTATTGTGCAGAACAAAACAAAGGTGCCTTCATGCCTCTTTAACAGAGCTGGAGAAGCCCCGGGCAGGAGGGGCTTTCCCCTGGGTGTGCAGCAGCCTGGCCGGATGTGTATGCAGAAGAGGAACTTATGCTGGGATGTTAGGCCCCCAGTGGGAGGGGCTCCAGCTGCTGCAGGAGCCGCGGCTGTCTTGACTTGAAAGGGCCTCTAGTACACGGCGCGGTGGCTCAGTCCTGTAATCCCAGCGCTTTGGGAAGCCGAGGCGGGAGGATCCCTTGGGCCCAGGAATTTGAGGCTCCCCGACACACATGCACGCTCCCCACTTCTTTTATTGTGGTAGAACACAGATCACATAAAATGTACCACGTTCACCATTTGTAAGTGTGCGGCCCAGGGGCAGAAGCACATTCACGGTGCTGTGCAGCCATCACCACCGTCCAGCCGCAGAACTTGTTCATCTTCCCAAACTGAAGCTCTGGCCCCGTTCAACCCCAACTCCCCACCCCCCAGCCCCTGGCACCCAATCTTCTACTTTCTGTCTCTATGGATTTGACCACTCTAGGCCCCTCATAGAAGTGGAATCCTACAGTATTTGCCCTTCTGTGACTAGCATGATGTCCTCAAGGATCATCCATGTGGAAGCATGTGTCAGAATTTCCTTTTTAAGGTGAATCATACTCCATTGTCTGGATATGCCACATTTTGCTTATGCAATCAGCCATCCATGGACATTTAGGTTGCTTCCACATTTCAGCTATTGTGGACCATGCTGCAGTGAACATGGGTATGCAAACCGCCCTTCCAGACCTTGCCTTCCATTCCTTTGGGCCTATACCCAGCAGTGGAAATACTGGATCCTATGGGAACTGTAGGTTGAACCTTTTGAGAAAGCGCCATTTTCCATTCTCATCAGCAGTGCAGGAGGGTTCCAATCATAGACGCCTTTGCTAATCGAAAGCCACAGGAAGAAAGCCCACCATTTCACTCATTCCCTTAATCCACATGCTGCATCCCTCAACACCTGTGCCTGTGCACGCCCATGCTCCATGGTCCCATCCCTGCTTGAGCCCAGAAGAGCCAGGAAGGCAATCCTGTGGCCAAGACTTGCCAATGACCACCCTGGCGATGGCACTAAGACCACACTCCCCTCATTTCATTGGACTTCTCTTCCCCTTTTCGACTTGGCAGCACCGGAAGACGCATTTTCCAGGAAGGCTGCCAAGAGAGGAGAAAAATGGCTTCAAAGTCATTCAAAGCATCAGAGTCCATGCTTCTAAAACTGGCAAAAAGACCAATCAGGCCGGGCACGGTGGGTCACACCTGTAATCCCAGCACTTTGGGAGGCCGAGGTGGGGGATCACTTGAGGTCAGGAGTTCGAGACCAGCCTGGCCAAAATGATGAAACCCTCTACTAAAAATAAAAAAATTAGCCGGGCTTGGTGGTGCATGCCTGTAATCCCAGCTACTTGGGAGGCTGAGGCAGGAGAATCGCTTGAACCCAGGAGGCGGAGGTTGCAGTGAGCCGAGATCGCGCCACTGCACTCCAGCCTGAGTGACAGAGTAAGATTCTGTCAGGAAAGAAAAGAAAGGAAGGAAGGAAGGAAGGAAGGAAGGAAGGAAGGGAGGGAGGGAAGAGGAGAGGAGAGGAGAGAAGACAAGAGAAGAGAAGAATAAGAGGAGAAGGAAAAGAAAAGAAAAAAGAGAAAAGAGAAGAGAAAAGACAAATCAAAAACAGCAGGCAGAAGAATCGCAGCATGTCCTTGCTGCATTGGTGTCCAAGTGCATCCTGAACCATAAGGATGAGTAAGTCCAGATTGAGCCAAAGTCCATACCAAGACAGCTGGCCCTTCATGGAGAGACATCATGCTACCCCAAAAGAATCGCAAATTTGTGTCTGTGAATCCCTTGTCCACAAGCTTCTGCTTCAAACATGACACAGGTTCCACAGGGGAAAATCGGAACTCAGTGAAACAGCTGAGTCCTGGGAGTAAAGGCTTGCGCAGGGGTCTGGGGGAGGCCCGTGTGTGAGTGGCCCGTGGCTGCTCACAACAGAAACTTCTCTCCCAGTTCTGAAGGCCAGAAGTCCAAAATCAAGGCATGGGCAGGCCATGCTCCCTCTGAAGGCTCCAGGGCAGAATCTGCTCCAGGACCTCCTCTTAGCTTTGGGCATTGCCAGCCGTCCTCGGAATTCCTTGGCTTGTAGATGCTTCACTCCAACCTCTGCCTCTGTTGTCGTGTGGTTTTTCTCCCATGTCTGTCTCTCCCTGTGCGTGTGTCTGTCTGTGTCTCTCCTCCTTTTTCTTATACCTGAATCAAGCAGCTTTATTCTCACCCACAGCACAGTTCCATGCACGTGGGAGGCTCTGTTAGGTTCCAGAAGAAATATAGGCACGGAGGCTGTTTCTGGCTTGCAATTCTGTCACCTCAGAGTCCTTTCTTTCTGGAAGTTCACATGAGAAAATAGATGTTTACACCTTTGCTCTTAAGTGCTTACAGTGACATCTATAGTGTCCCCTGGACTTCCAGAGATGAACATGAAGCACATGATCCTATCTAGAATTGGCGGGCACTAATTTTCCCCACCACAATGATTGCCTGTTATTTCAAGCAACTACTATGTTCCTTATTGGTTTTACATTTTAACATACCGGGCCAGGCATGGTGGCTCACGCCTGTAATCCCAGCACTTTAGGAGGCCAAGGTTAGAGGATCGCTTGAGTCCAGGAGTTTGAGACCAGCCTGGGCAACATAGCAAGGCTTCATCTCTACCAAACATAAAAATAAAAAATTAGCCAGGCACGGTGGTGCACACCTGTAGTCCAAGCTACTCAGAAGGCTGAGGTGGGAGGATCGAATGAGCCCAGGAGGCCAAGGCTGTGGTGAGCCATGATTGCAAAAGAGAGAAAAGAAAAGAGAAAAGAGAAAAGAAGTGGGGAGGGAGGGAGGGAGGGAGGGAAGGAGAAAAGAAGAAAGGGAGGGAGGGAGGGAAGGAAGGAAGGGGAAAAGAAAAAAGAAAAGAAAAAGGGGTGGATGAATTAGCCCAAGATACACGGGTGATAGAACCAGCCTTCACAGCCAAGTGGTCTAACTCCAGAACCCACTCTTCGTTTCTTGGAATGTTAAAATGTATTTGAATGCTAAAATGTGTCTTGTCTTGTCTTTCCTGTGTCTTGTCTTTTGTCTTGTCTTGTCTTTCCTGTGTCTTGTCTTTTGTCTTGTCTTGTCTCGAACTGCTGAGCTCAAGCCATCCTCCTGCCTCGGCCTCCCAAAGTGCTGGGAATACAGGCATAAGCCACAGTGCCTGGCCTAATTTTTTTTTTTTTAATAGACAAGAGGTCTTCATATGTTGCCCAAGCTGGTCTTGAACTCTTGGGCTCAAATGATCCTCCCACTTCCGCTTCCCAAAGAGCTGGGATGACAGGCCTGAGCCACCATCCCCTGCCTATTTTTAAAATGTTTGAGGAATATCCATACTGTTTTCCATAGTGGCTATAGTATATCCCACCAGTAGTGTGTGAATGTTCCCTTTTCTCCACATCCTCACCAAAGCTTGTTTTCTTTTGTTTGATAGTAGCCATTCTAATTGAAGTGAGGTGATATCCTCGATGTGGTTTTGATTTGCATTTCCCTGATTCCTGACGTTGAGCAATTTTTTCACATACCTGTTGGCGACTTGTACGTCTTCTTTGGAGAAATGTCTGTTTAGGTCTATTGCCCATTTTTAAATTAGGTTGTTATTCTGTTGTCTAAATTCCTTATATATTCTGGATATTAACCCCTTGTCAGACGTAGAGTTTGTGAATATTTTCTTTTTTTAAAAAAAAAAAAAAGATAAGAGTCTCCGTCTGTCGCCCAGGCTGGAGTATGGTGGCGCAATCTCGGCTCACTGCAACCTCCGCCTCCCAGGTTCAAGCGATTCTCCTGCCTCAGCCTCCCAAGTAGCTGAGATTACAGGCATCCACCACCATGTCCGGCTAATTTTTGTATTTTTAGTAAAGACGGGGTTTTGCCATGTTGGCCAGGCTGGTCTACAAACTCCTGAACTCAGATGATCCACCCACTTCGGCCTCCCAAAGTGCTGGGATTACAGGTGTGAGCTACCACACCTGGCCATGAGGGCCATTTTTACCATATTAATTCTTCTGAGCCCTGGCCACCTTCTCTTCCTTCCTCTTTTCACTACCACGCTACACATTCTCATTCTGTTTCCCATCTCTCCCTCCACATAAGCAAGGAGTTTCACCTGGTTGCCAGAGCGCAGGCAAGGACTGGGCACACAGTAGCTGCTCAATAAATGTGGTTCTTTGACTGATTAGTCTTAAAAGGCTTACAACAGGTAAAGCAGGAGCCCACATTTAGGAGAAGTTAATCATCAAAACCCACAGGGGAGTTCTACGAAATGAAGGGCAGGTCAGCCAGGGCAAGCCTGCCCACCAGGGAAGCCTGTGACATCTGCTCAGATACTTCATTCTGAAGACACTGAACATAGTCGCTCTGTAAAGTCAAGCAAGACTCTGCCCTGACCTGCATCACCCCTGCCCCCACACCTGCAGGAGCCGGAGCCCACCCTCCTGTGTAAACCTACCAGTCCCCCGGCCCTACGCCACGTGCTGAACGTACGTCTAGCCTGAAAGGGGACCTAGAGAGCGCCTCCTGGACTGGTCTATTTCTTACCCACTGGCTTTTGAGCAAGGAGTCAGAGGGGTGCTGGGGGCCACAGCTCTGAGTTTCTCCAGCCTCCCCATCCAGACTGGCTACCTTGACATTTAAAAACGCATTACTTTTAGTTACGTTCGATCAGGACTCACTTTTCTGAATGCAAGTGATCCTCCCTAACCCCAGGCCTGCCGCCTGATGGCTGGGACACACTCTACCTGAGAGCACTCTGAGGGAACCAGTCTCTGAGGGCCCCTCACACCCCCATGTGCAGCATGCGCTGCAGAGCAAAGCCAAGGGTCCCTATTGACTTGTATCACCTTTTATTACACAAAATAGATTTCAGCCACGTTGCACATTCATTCTCCCTACAAATCTGGCTTTTAAGAAATCCGTAGGGATTCAGTCTCATCGATTTCATGACTTTCCTTTCATTGATGTCATGCCTGTATTGTAGTCAAAGTCCTCTCAAAGGACAAACGCAGATGTGGCTGCCTTGGGTCAGCTGCACACAGTACACTCCCGGCCTGCCCGCTGGAGGCGCGGCTCCCACCATCACCTGCACCGCGACTTCTAGGGACTGGCAAAGCGGCAGCATGCCATTGCCTTCTCCAGCCCTTCTCCAGCAGCACAACCAGTCCTCCCAGCTGGTCCTGTGGGGACCAGCCGTCATGGCGACGTGGTGACAATGTCCCCAGGCAGCCGACCATCCTGGGCTTCTCTTTGGGCAGGCCTGGGCCAGGACCTTAGGGGATCTCTGTGTCCATGGTATAAATCTGAATGAGATCAGACACAATATTATCAATGATTGGCTTGGTAAGGTCGTCATTAAACACCTAGAAAGAAGAAGGAAAACAGGTTCCAGTTAGACTCCCTCTATGTTAAACAAGGCACCTGTCACTAAGCAGAGAATCACATTTCATGGGCAGGGGAGGGGCACAGGGACTTGGCTATGTAGGAAGACAGTAGCTCTCCTGCAAAGCCAGTTTAATTCCAGCCCGTTGAGGCCAAACACTTTACAAGGCCGAGAACATTCCAGATGGAACAGGCCTTGGTGATCTTCTGACTCAGAGAGGAGGGGACCTGTCCAACGTCATACAGGGAATTGGTAACACAGCTGGGTCCAGAGCACAGGCTCCTGCCTCCTGCCCGGGACTCCCTCAGGTCCAGGGTCTCTGCGGACACTGGCAAGAGGAGAGGGTGGCAGTCCCTGTGCAGCCACAGGCAGGCTAAGTACCCGGACCCCACGCCTACCCTAACCCAGCCCCTGGGGAGCATGTGGACCCACTCCACAGTCCGGACCGCCACGTGCAGGAGCACTCGCAAGACGGCGAAGGACATCCTCGGGGCCCATGGCAGGAGGGTTGCAGCCCAGGGCCACGCCACAGGCTGGGGTCCACACCCTGTACCTTCCAAAGGCAGGTCTGGCCTCTGCCTGGCTCCTGGAGGATAACCTCTAGGCCCCTAGAAAATCCTGCCCCGTGTGAGCGTCTTGGTTTACTGGACTGCCAGGCGGTCTGTGCTAACCACATCATTTATGGTGAGGGCCTTGGGCCACAGAGTCCCAGCCAGATCTCTGGTGGCTGCAGCCCAAGTGACCAGGGTTGGCCACGCAGGCGCTCCATGCCCATGCAGCCCACCACCTCCCACGGAAACCCTGGCCGCCATGGCTGGGATGAGCTTCCCGGTTGTGACTCCGTGCTCGCTGTCCCACACTGTTGCCGAAAGAAACAGGTGCCGTCTGCACAACTCCCCTGGGCGAGGAGCCGCTGAAGCTCACGCCTGGTCTCTCCTGGAGCCCGCCCTGTGCGCCCTGAGCCTTCGCTCACGGTAACCTGTGTCCTTTCCTTGTAATAAACCGGAACTGGGAGTGTGACAGCTTTTCTGAGTTCCGAGCCCTCCCGGCACAGCACTGAGCCCCAGGGTGCTCTTCGGGATCCCCAATGATAAGGGAAATAGTAAGTAAAGCAGCAAGACCTTGGTCAGATGCTGCGTCTGTAGCCACCCTGTGCCAGAGCTTGCTGCCTGGGGAACCAATGTACCAATCAGATCAAGGCCTTGGGCCAAGTCAAGGCAAGAACTGGACCTACGTCCACCCCTGCTGAATGCTCCCAAAGAACCCTAGGTTCCTCTGTGGCCTACAACCTCAGGTAGGAGATGGTGACCTGGACGCCCTCCAAGTCCTGACTCAGGAAGCATAGCTGTCTTACCCTGGGCTCTGGGTGAAAAACAAATACTTCAGAAATGCACACTTGCTTGCTGGGGTCCATGACCTGTGTGCTCCTGGAGACCCCAAGCTCAGAAGCAATCATTAAAAAACATTCAGGGGCTGGGCATAGTGGCTCACGCTTGTAATCCCAGCACTTTGGGAGGCCGAGGCGGGTGGATCACTGGAGGTCACGAGTTCAAGATCAGCCTGGCCAACATGGTGAAACCCCGTCTCTACTAAAAATACAAAAATTAGCCAGGTGTGGTGGCAGGCACTTGTAATCCCAGTTACTTAGGAGACTGAGGCAGGACAATCACTTGAACCAAGGAGGTGGAGGCTGTAGTAAGCTGAGATTGCGCCACTGTACTCCAGCCTGGGCAATAGAGTGAGACTCTGTCTCTATTAAAAAAAAAAAAAAAAAAAAAAAAAAGCAAGGCCAAAACGTGGAAGCAGCCTGCATCCATCGATGGATGAATATGTTAATATCATATGGTCCATGCAGGCCATGAAATATGATTCAGCCATCAAAAGAAAGGACATTCTGAGACGGGGGCTCCAACATTGTGCTCAGCAAAAGAAGCCAGTCACAGAAAGGCCCGCACTGTAGGATTCCACTCCTGTGAGGGGCCTCAAAGGAGAGCCGTGAACTCTGTAGAGGACAGTGGAAGGTTGGGTGCCAGGAGCTTGGGGGTGGGGAGTTGGGGTTGAACGGGGCCAGAGCTTCAGTTTGGGAAGATGAACAATTTCTGCGGCTGGATGGTGGTGATGGCTGCACAGCACCGTGAATGTGCTTCCGTCCCTGGGCCGCACACTTAAAAATGGTGAACGTGGTACAATTTAGGTGATGTCTATGTCACCACAATTAAATGTAACAGTCCAGAACAGGTGGCAACCCTGGGGCACCTGACAGCAGAAGAGACACAGACCCAAGTCCTAGGAGGAGACACTGCTGGCCTCTGGGGACTCTGCCTTTTTGAGGGCAGTCCATCTGCTTATAAGACAAAAAGCAGCAGTGGCTGGAAAGAGGCAGGTTCTCCTTCTGCTCAGGAACAAGGGGATGGAGGGCACTCGGTGTGGCTCTGGACGTGGAAGTTTCAGCAGCATTGCGTGACGACCTGCATCATTTCTGACCCCGCTACTGTCCCTGCTCATCTGGCAAGTCAGAGTGCAGGCAGGCTTCTCCAGGGAAGCACATCAAGCTGCCATGCTGAGCCCGTGGCAGATAAGTGACAGGAGTCACCGTAAGAAGTGGCAGCCGAGAGCACACAAGGAAGAAAGGGTTTCAAAAGCCAGGCCGTGAGCTCTGCAGCACCCGGGTGGGTGAGGCCTCCCAGGATCTCACTCATCATGGGGGATCAGGCCCTCGCACCCCGCCAGCCCACAGGAGGCACCTGGATTCCGGAAGCTTCTGGTGCACAGCCCCGAGCTGGGAGGCAAAGGTCAGGTCAAGTTTAGCAGAGCCTTTAAGAAGAGCTGGCTGAACAGAAGTTCCACACCCCACAAAGGGTAACTTCTTCCCAGTCTGAACGATGACTGGGTGAGTCTGGGCCGCCAGCAAACAACTTGCTGGTAGAGCTGCTTCCTGGCTGTGCAGGGTTACCTGGGCTCGCACTCCTCTGGGAGGGGCTGAGCATGGGACGCAGGTGGTACTGCCACACCAGGTGAGGTTTACGAGCAAGCGCAGAAGACAGAGCAGAAAGGAAGACAGATGCAGCATAGCCAGGCAGCCCAGGGCCAGGGCCACACCCACCAGATGTCCCCAGAGGGTGTTTGCCCCCCCCAGAGTCCAACCCTGAGCACGAGGCAGCCACATTATGTGAAAGTCCCTGAGCAGCCCGAGCGTGGGGCAACACTGTCTACACAGATGGCCCTGCACCACCTGCACACTGCCTTGGGGACAGGGTGCTTCCGGCTTGAGACTGGGAACATGGGTGCATGGGTTCAAAGACACATGAGCACCCGCTTTGGTGCCAGGGAGGCGCGGGAGACTGGGGAAGAGATGCCCAGCCTCAGGCACTCACAGCTGACTGGGGATACGAGATTACACAATAAACACGCAAAAATCAGCAAATGCTGTGGTCTTCCACAAGGCACACGGGCCAGGGAAGAGAGGCAGGGCTACCTCTATGCAGAACAGCACCAGCCACCTGGAAAGCTGTCCTATGCACAGGCCTACAGAGTTCCACCATCTACCCTCCATGATCTACCTATTAATACCTATCAATCACCCGCCACCCTGCCCATCAGCTCTCTCCCCTATCCATCCAGGTGTCTGTCAACTAGCCAGCTAGCTGTCACCTACCTAGCCATCCAGCCCTCTCCATAAAGCACCCCAGATGTTTCTGATGGGAAGCCAGGTTTAGTAACCTGTGATCACAGTCAAGTTCCCACTCAATTCAGTAAAAGCGGTTCTCCGCTGGGGCAACCCTCCTCCCGGGACACCGGCGACGTCGGTGGAGGCCAGCACTCCTGTTCGACATCCGGGACCCCTAAATGGCAACTGTGCCGAGGGGGAGAGCCTGTCCCAGGCCATCGCAACAGGGTACTTTCGAGCTTCCATGTTCCCCAGCAGCCCGTATCTTTCTTCATGGATAATTAATAGAATTTGGTGAGCACTGCAATACAGAGACTTCCAGAGGGAAAGGGGGCACGTCCAGTGTGCCAAGCAGCCACCTCACCTGCCACCACGGCTTCTCAGCCTCGACCTCGGCGGGCACCTCAACTCCGTAGACCTGCAGGGCCAGGTAGAGCACCGCCACGGCGATGTGCTGGGCCTGGAAGCGGAGGCACAGCGCCCCATGGTAGCTGTCCCGCAGCAGGGCCCAGGCGGTGACGGCAACAGGGGTCCGCTGCCAGCTGTGGCGGTTCAGCCAGTTCTGGAGGGAAACCAGGTAGTGGAGCAGGTACTGCAAAGACACGTGTGTCAGCCTTTAGGCCCACCAGCTGCTCTCCTCATGCTGACATAATCATATCAGCACCTGCTCCAACCCTCCAGCAGCTTCCATGTCCCTCAGGAAGAAGCCCCAAGGCCTTCTGCTGGCCCCATCTCCTGCCGATCCCACCCTGCCTTCCAGCAAACCCCATCTAGGGCCTTCGCACTTGCTGAGCCCTCTGCCTGAAACCAGCTCACCGTATGCACCTGCCCACTCTCACCCTCCAGACCCAGCTCTAGGGAAACCTACGAGGGCCACCCCCACCACAGTCCCTCTCCACCACAGGGCCCGCTCTGGCCACCATGAAATTCCTCGGGGCCTGGTGCTCCGGAAAGCACCCTCTTCATGGGCAGAACAGAAGGTGCTGCTCCCCATGCATCTGGCCTGCTGCCAAGGGCACATGCTGTCCTCGGCCACAACATCCAAATGACCTCCCAGCCCAGCTGCCAGCTCCTGCTCTCAGAACACTGACATTTTGCCAGAACCTCACACAATAAGACAGATGCTGCGAGCTCTCTGGACAGTCTGGAACACACATGCGTGTGACCCCAGCACACCATGCAGGAGGGATACATAGGTTACTTTCCACCCCAGCCCTGACTGGAAGGAGGGGAAGGGGCTGGCAGGCTCCCAGCCACACCAAGCTATCAGTTCCCCATCTGGGCACAGATCACACACCCCTTGAGGTCTGAGTGCTGCTCTTTCCTAAGCCCTGTCGCCTTGACAACTCCACCCTGCAGCCACCAGGGCATCTCCCACCTTCCCCCAGGATGCTCAGCAAGCATTCTGCCCACTAAGACACTACTGCGCAGAAATCCCAGACCAGGGCTTTCCAGGTACTGAGGTGGGAGTGTGGAAGGCTGGAGGCAAGATTATAAAGGCAACACGAAGGGCCCATGCGGGTGGAACCGTCTCTCACCTTGGCTGTGGTGGTAGGTCCGTGAACGGAGTCGTGATAAAATGGAACAGAAAAATATACACACAGGAATACAAGTGGAAGTGAGGATGCCAGTGGACTGTGTTGGTTTTGGCATCCTGGCTGTGTTACCCCTGGGGGAGACTGGGCTAAGGGTACATGTCACAACTGCATGGGAATCTACAATGATCTCAGGAAGAGTTCCGATGAAAAAGAATGAAACTCCTAGCCCAGAGCCCCAAACCACAACTCCTCCATCTCTGTCTCCGGCCAGCCTTCTGAGCTGCCCGTGCATGGAGCTGCGGTGCCCAGAGCATCGTGTGCCAGTCGCCTAAGCGTTCCACTTTTCCCTTTTACTGCTGTTTGAAATGGTTCTTCTGTTGAGACTCACACATTCCTAGAAGTTAAAGCATGCTGCTTGACTCAAGCGATTTGGCTTTCCCCATGGCTTCCTAAGCACAGCTGAGCTGGAGGCGTGCTCCGAGGCATCACAGCATCCCCTGGGGACGGGGACTCTGGCCGGTCACAAAACCAGCCTGCTTCCCCGAGGCCCAGCGTGCACACCATCTATATGGACCACAGGAGCTGCCACAGCTTCAGCGGGCAGCACGGACCCCGCCCACAGGTGAGCAGGCAGAAAGGCAGAAGCTGAAATGAGAATTGGCTGAGAAAACCCACAGGGGTGGGACGGGAGAGGCCGGGCGGCCAACCCAGCCACAAACACAGAGCCAGGAGACCCAGTTCCCAGCCGCAGCCCTGCTCTCCTTCTGTGCTGTGCTCTCGAGTATGAGATGGGATGCACTTTTGGGATAAAGAACAGAGACCATGGCTTGAGCCTCTCCAAACAGGCACCAGTTCCCCAGTATGTACCTTGTGTGGATGCTGGAAGGAGACCTGGAAGCGCAGAACTCTCAGCATGAGAAGCTCACACTGCACGATGCTGTCCCGGAGTTCCCAGAAGCGGGAGTCCAATTCCAGGGGCTCACCGCTTGGGTTAAAGTACCTGCGCAGAGAAATGGCAATGCTTCAGCAGCCAGGGCAGTCTCCTGAGCACTGGATGGCTCAAATTGCTTAAGTCACACAATGTCCAGATGCAAACTACATCGTCCATCTGCAGATTCATGGAGGGTCATTTTATTTGGGTTTTTATACAAAAATTCTTCATCTCCACATCTAGTGTAGAGAATGAAAACAGTAACCAACAGAGGAAAGAAGCCAGCTCCTAGTTTTAGCCAGATGGGCTGTCCGCTATCATTCAGCAAAATGTCAAGTGCAAAGACTGGCTGTTGGCGATGGCTCCAGAGGAACCGGAAGCTTGAGCATGCCAAGTCGGTTGTGCTTCCTGTTATACTCAGCCCGGCATTAGGGAGTCTTCATCACCTGAGGTGGCAATGCCCGGGGCTCTCACTCTGGGCCCAAGGAACGTATTTTTTTAACTTATTTTTACTTTTTACTTTTTGAGACAGGGTCTTGCTCTGCCTTTCAGGCTGGAGTACAGTGGTGCAGCCACAGCTCACTGCAGCCTTGACCTCCTGGGCTCAAGCGATCCTCCCGCCTCAGCTACCCGAGCAGCTGGAACCACAGGCATGCGCCACCACGCCCGGCTAATTTTTGTATTTTTGGTAGAGACGAGGTTTCACCATGTTGACCAGGCTGGTCTTGAACTCCTGGGCTCAAGCGATCCACCCGCCTCGGCCTCCCAAAGTGCTGGGATCACAGGCGTGAGCCACCACGTCCAGCCATCCAAGGAACATGTTTAAGCCTCTCATGGGAATGATATACTCCAAAAAGTGAACATTTCTCAGTTTTGTATTTCCCAGACCGTCTTTCCCTCGCCTTGGCGAAGACCCTGCATTCTGCCCCAGCAGGAACACACCTGCTTGGGCCGGCTGTGCCATGCCCACGCCACACCCACAGCAGGGCGAGGCTCCTAAGCAA
This sequence comes from Homo sapiens, assembly GCF_000001405.40. NCBI lineage: Eukaryota > Metazoa > Chordata > Mammalia > Primates > Hominidae > Homo > Homo sapiens. Next base: position 153,595,615 of record NC_000023.11, read on the forward strand.
CTGGGACCTACCACCTGGCTGGGTCTGCACCCTCCCGCTGCAGGCAAGCTCTTCTGCCTGCAGCCATCCCTGTCTAAGACTTCCACAGAATCTTCTTTGACATGCCTCTCCAAGCTCCCTCTGCTGAAGCCCCGCCTCTGCCCTCCATCCAGCTTTCGAGGCTCCCCATAATCTGGCCCAGCGTTTCTCTCACAGACCCCACTGGCCTCTGACATCAGGCTCCTTCTCACGTTTGCTGCTACTGTTTCTGGCCCTGCCTGGTTCAAGGCCATCCAGGTACTTCCTTCCAAGCTCCATTGCTGGCACCTGGTGGGCAGGGCCCCATAGGAGCCTTCCCTGCCCGTCCCCCCCACCGGGTGGAGATCAGGAGCCCAGCCAAATGCCATTACCTGTTGGACACATTGATGATGTCACGAGTCCGCAGGTGCTGCTCTTCCACTTTGCCGGCCAAGTAAATTGAAGACATGGCAATCAGGTAAGGGTCATAGGCGTCCAGGTTGGTCTCGCAAAAGAACTTATGGTAAATGGTGCAAGCAGTGGCAATGGGAATGGACCGCATCCCTAGCTTGACACCTGCGGAGAGAAAGCAGGCAAGAGAGGACTTCAATCCAGCGCTGGCTCACTGCTCCAGTGAGGGGAGCCATTGGAATGGGCCCTAGCAGGTACAACCCTACTTGGACAAGGCTAAGAACTTCCAGCAGAGCCAGTGGCTCCTGCTGGGTCTCTTACTGGGCTCTCAGACTCTAGTGGGTGACCCAAGCCCCTGGGGATGGTGTTCAAATGCAGACTTCCCCTTTTGTAGGTCTGCGGCTCTGAGATTCTCCACTTCTGACAAGCCCCAGGTCATGCCCATGTCAGGGGTCTATAGACCACGCTCTGGGAAACAAGGGTTCCGAGGACCGCTCAGTTAGCAACTGGCATAGCAGCTTCTGCAAAACCCTGGAAAAGGACTATATGCTGTTGTGTGTCTGGGTTCACCTTAGCAAACAGCTAGCTAGAAGTCGCCCACCCCACAGCTACGACGACAGAAAAGAAACGGCCTCGTGGGTGCCACAAGTCCTGAAGTCACAGTGAAAGATTACACTGAGCACTGGTTTCGTAGTCCACAGGTTAGAAGAGGTGAGCAAAGCAAGCAGCGTGACTGCCAAGAGTAACCACTTGCATTGCAGAGAAAAGGCAATGTTTATGGCCACAGCCAGGCACCAGGGAAGGACACCAGCACATTGAAAAGTGGGCTGGGCATGCTGGTTTACGCCTGTAATCCCAGCACTTTGGGAGGCTGAGGCAGAAGGATTGCTTGAGCCCAGGAATTCGAGACCAGCCTAGGCAACAGAGTGAGACCCTGTCTCTACAAAAAAGAGAAAGAAAAAAATTTTTAAGGTGAACAAAACTCAAAACACCAGAGCAGGATTCAGTGGATTCTACTTAGGGGTTAAAGCCCATCCCCAGCCCATCCCTGAATGGCTCCTAAGAAAATCACTGCCCTGGTGCACAGAACCAAAACAAATTCACAACCACCAGGGTTCACAAGACAAGGTTAAATGACATCCACTAGGCCAAAACAGAAAGGCGAAGAACAACCGACAATCAACCATGAAATGACAGTCAGCATCCTCTGCCTAAGAAGGTAGATCAGTTCCCTAGGGCTACTGCAACAAATCACCACAAATTCAGCCACTTAAACAACACACATTTATACTCCTCCGATCCTGGAAGTCAGAAGTCCAAAACTAGCCTAGAAAGCTAAGATCAACGTCTAAGCAGGGCTGGCTCCTTCTGGAGGCTCCATGGGAGAATGTTTCCTTGCCTTTTCCAGCTTCTAGAGGAGGGCTGCATTCCTTGGTTGCTGGCCCCTTCCTCCATCTTCAAAGCTTCTAACTCTGCTTCTGTCCTCACGTGGCCTTCTCTGACGGTGACTCCTCCTGCCTTTGCCTTATAAGGATGGGTGTGGTTACACCCAGATAATCTAGGATGATCTCCCATCTTAAGGTCTCTAATCACATCTTCAAAATCTCTTTTGCTATATAAGATGACATTCACAGGTTCCAGGGATTAGGATAGGGACATCTTTGGGAAATCAATATTTAGCCTCCTACAAAGGACAAAGGATTGTGTAATACATTTTATAAAGAAGTCCCTCAGAAGGTCTAAACTTGTTATATAAAGACAATTCCTACCTGGGACCCCTCATTCCAGGAGATGCCAGATAAGGTGCTGTTACTGACATGACCTTCCAAGCTTTGTTTTACAGAGCAAACCCCAATTTACACGGACCCTCCGAGCAGACGGTAGCAGATGAGGTGTCACTGCCATCCTTCCCTAATAATAACTTTGCAACTCTTCTTGCAAATTACAGTAAATTTACATATCACTGGGATGAACAGTCCTGCAGCAGTCCTCAGACTCTCCGCCCACCTTGGGTAGAAAGCACATCTGCCCAACCCTTCTCCCCCAAGCAGTAAAGGTAGGAAATAACTACCCGCCAACTAACAGTATCTCCTATCAAGATACTGTTGATGGGCCGGACGAGGTAGCTCACGCCTGTAATCCCAGCACTTTGGGAGGGCGAGGCAACTGGATCACCTGAGGCCAGGAGTTCAAGACCAGCCTGGCCAACATGGTGAAACCCCGTCTCTACTAAAAATACAAACATTAGCCGGGTACGGTGGCACACACCTGTAATTCCAGCTACTCGGAAGCGTGAGGAAGGATAATTGCTTTAGTCCGGGAGACGGAGGTTGCAGTGAGCCGAGATCACGCCACTGCACTCCAGCCTGGCCAACAGAGCGAGACTCCGTCTCGAAAAAAAAAAAAATACTGTTGATGGCTGGATGGAAACGATGTTTCTACAGAGATCTTAGCTTAATCACCTCGCCTGGGAAGCGCGGAGCCCAACACTACTGTGGATGTCCTGGCAGGGTTCGGAACAGGAGCTGCAAGCAGCCTAGGTCCCCGGAGTGACAGGAACCCTCGGACAGCGTTCTCCAAAAGGCTCCGCGCGACTAAGCGCCATAAAGTCTACCGGAGTGCAGGGCCGCGGGTGCCGGCAGAAGGCGTGGCGCACTGCGCAGAGCTGCGGGCGCCCGGGCCGGTCTCCGCCTCGCTGGAGGCCCAACCCGGCCACGTCCTCTCCTAGGGCCTGCACACCGGTCCACGCCATGGGGATACCTCGCGGCTCACTGCTCAGCACACCGGGCGCGGCGCAAAGGCGGAGGTCCTCAGCCCCGAGCAGGGCTTCCCGGCCTCTGCTACGGTGAGCACTCCAGAAGGCCGGCCTGGCCAGCCGGGCCCGCTCCGCGAAGCGGGCCGCGGCGCCGCCTGTCCTGGCCTCCCCCGGCCGCGGTTACCTGCCTCCATGATGAACCTCGCCACTCGGAAGTGCACCCTGGCTTCGGGCGCCGGCTGCCCCTCCGGGCCCCGCGCTGCAGGCCCCCCTCCGCCGCCCTCCGGGGCTTCCATGAGGCGCCGCGGCACCGGCGGAAGGAGAGGCGGCCCCGGCGCGCAGAAGCCGGCAGAACTGGAGGTGCTCGCGGCGGGCGCTGCCGCCCCACCCGGCCGCGTCCGGCCCCGCCCCGCCCCGCCCCTCGCCGCCCCGCCCCGCCCCTCGCCGCCCCGCCCCGCCCCTCGCCGCCCCGCCGCTCCTCCGCCCCGCCCCGCCCCTCAGGGCCCTCGCCCAAGGGTGAGCGCGCGCTTGCGCCACAGACGCTGCCTGGCCGCGCGCGCAGGCGCAGGCGCAGGCGCAGAGGCCGACACCACGGGGCGGCTGGTATGTGTCCACCGGCCCCTAGGCGCCTCGAGCCCCGCCCCTGGGAGACGCAGGCTCCTCCCCGCGGAGCGAGAGCCCGCGGAGCTGCTCCGAGACCCGCGGGAGGGCACCTCCGGTCACCCGAGCCGCAAATCCCCGCCGTCCGAAGGGGGTGTCGCCCCGGGCTGTCGGCCCAGCGTGGCTTAGGCCAGGTACAACCGGCAGCGCCCGCCAAGCCCTGGGCTAGGGACGCCTGCGGGAGTTCACGGGGAGGCGCCGGTGTCTGAGGTCTGAGAAGACAGCGGCCACCGGAAAAGGTGCTAATGTTTGCAGACCCCGATCCATCGACACCCCAAGGAAATGCTGTGCACAAAATTCCAAGAGGGCCTTTTCGAATAGACGCATGAACGGTGTTTGTGTCTGGATCGTCCAGCCTCCCGGGATCGATTGGGAATCTAGCTTCTGCTTGCCTTTCCAGCGCGACGCACAGTAGGAGCCTAATAAATGTTTGCTGAATGAATGCTGAATATCGAACTCAGGTATTTACCATCTCATTTTTCATTCGCGTCTTCCACAAGCAGGAAATGGTGCATCAGGCTTTAGGGACATAGAACCCCAAAGGTACTCACTCCCAAGTTAGTGACAGTCACTGGAGTCATTCTGATACATTCAGATCATTGCTACAATTTCAGACAGCTGGCAATATGGAGAGGAAAAAGCTACTGCTCCCTAAACCCTTCTGCCCAGGCGCCTTGATCTCCTGATGGTGTGGAAGTCTCCACCTCTTACCCCCACCCCACACACCCAGTCCGGCCTCATTCTCCTTCCTCAGCACTTCCTGCCTCCACCAGCCTCCCCAAGTCCTCTCTCCATCCCAGCTGGGTTAGTTTCCTGGGGCTGCTGTAACAAATGACCACAAATTGGGTTGCTAAAAACAGCAGAAGTATATCCTCTCTCAATTCTGGAGGCCAGACACCTGAAATGGAGGTGACACTAGGGCTTTGCTCCCTCAAAGGCTCTGGCAGAGGATCAGTTCTTCCTTGCTCTTCCAGCTTCTGCAGCCTGAGTTCTTCCTGGGCTTGTGGCCCCATCACTCCAATCTGTGCCTCCGTCTCTACATGGCCTTCTCCCTGTCTTCTCGTCTGTCTCTTATAAGCACACCTGTCACTGGATTAGGGCCTACCTAGATAATCCAGGAGGAGCTCATCTTGACATCCTTATTTTCATTACATCTTGCAAAGGCCCTTCTGCTAAATAAGGTCACAGTAACAGGGATTAGGACACGGACACACCTTTTGGGGGCTGGCATTCACCCCACAATACCAGCCGCCAGAGCGAGCTTTCTAAAAGGCGAGGCTGAACAGGTCCTGCCCTGCCTAACACCCTCCGGAGTCCCTTCACCTTCAGGAGAAAATGTGAGGCCTTGACCTCACATGCTGGTCCTTGTGGAGTCACCCTATCAACTGACCAGCCTCGGATCTCACCACTTTGCCTCATGGCAGAGACCTTCGGCAGGTCCCCCAAAGGTTATGGTCTCCTGGCTGAACGTCTCTGCACGTATTCTGCCTGGTGAAGGAATTACCACTCCACTTCCATCACCCAGCTTGCTCTTGTCTGTATGTGCGCGGGTGTGCACGTGTGTGTGCATATGTGTGCGTGTGTGGACTGACTCAGGGTCCCCAGCTCCCTGTGCTGCTGACACCTGCCACGCCTTGAGCACCGTGTCTGTCTGCAAGCTGTGAGCAGCCCCACCCTCTTCCCCAGCCCAAGGCTGAAACCTAGGCAATGCCCAGAGGGCCCACCTCCCCTCAGCCCCGTTGGTGGAGGCCAGGTCCTGTGTTCCCCCAGACAGTGCCCTGGGCTGGACCAGCCACAGCTAGATCTGGAAGGCTCAAGCCCATGTTCCCTAAAGCAGCTATGGGCCTTGGGGGATCAGGCTGCTGCCTCTCAGCTTCCCCCACCACCACATCTGTGCACACTAACACACACCCCCATGCACACGCACACACATGCATCACACATCCCCCCCCCACATACACACATGCACACGTGCACATATGTGAACACCCCAATTCAAACAGTGCTTCCCTCTGGCCCCTGGTGGCCCGCCCATCCTCTAGGCACAACTCCTCCTTCTCCTCTGGGCCTTATGTGCTGAAAAGAGTCCGGGCTCAGCAAGTAAAAGGTGCCTGGGAATGTGAGCCGAGAGAATGACTCAATGAACACATGAATTTTAAAGCCCTGGGTCACCTCGGCGCAGTGGTTGATGAATGAATAATTCACTAGCCACCAACTGGAGCCAGCAAACCTTTAGGCAGCACCTCCTCTCCCACTGGCAAGCCTGTCCCCAGTGTCCCAAAGGTGGCATCCCCCGTCTCATCACCCCGGCTCAGATGGTGAGTTCCTTGAGGGCTGAAGCCTGGTTCTCAACCCCAGGCTCGACCCTGAGGTTGACAGTCACCATCAGAAGCGCGATTCTGTAATATTTGCCAACGCTTCCTTAGCTAATCCTCACCATGTGCCCATACATTGATTAAATCACAGCCTACCCCTCACAATAGCACTATTATGGAAAAGAGTGAGTGACTCATTTCAAGGAATAGGACTCGGGCTGAAGCTCAAAGGATGAGGCAGAGAAAGAGGGAAGAGGCATTTGGGGTCCAGAAGAGAGGCTGTGCACGGGCAGGGTCACTTGAAAGCCTGTGTGGTCTTCAAAAAGCATGGGCAATTTCCAAAGCACCCACCCTGCTCTGGTCTTCATCCTGGCAGCCTCATCAAAGTCCAGGCCTGCCACTTGTCCTTAGAAACTCCTCGCTGCCTGGGAACCTCCTGCCACAGTCACCTCTCCACTGTACCTTCCGAGCCAGCTCCCTGTCACCATCGGCAAGATCCACAGCCTCCATCTCTGTTCTCCCTCCCCGCTCCCCACTGCCTACCCACCCTTCATCTTTCTATTCAATTATTTATTTATTTATTTATTTATTTATTTATTGAGACAGATTCTCACTCTGCCGCCCAGGCTGGAGTGCAGTAGCATGATCTTGGCTCACTGTAACCTCCACCTCCCGGGTTCAGGTGATACTCCTGCCTCAGCCTCCTGAGTAGCTGGCATTACAGGCCAGGCGTGTGCCACCACACCCAGCTAATTTTTTGTATTTTTAGTAGAGACGGGGTTTCACCATGTTGGCCAGGCTGGTCTCAAACTCCTGACCTCAGGTGATTTGGCCACCTCGGCCTCCCAAAGTGCTGGAATTACAGGTGTGAGCCACAAAACCTGGTCAGATTGTAACTTTTTGGTGAATCTTCTGCCTGGTATTATTTTCTTTTTCAGCGATTTGAGTAACCAGGAGCTCAGTAGAGTAATTGAGCAAGCTCTGAGCATGCACGGGATCTTGGGTGTGACCAAGTTGGACCTAAGGAGAAGTGGTGCCAGTTGGGCATGAGGGCCGGAAAATCCACCCCAGCAATAGATGTGTGGGAGACTGAAACCAGATGAGTGGGTGCCAGGGCCAGGGAGGGAGCACAGGGAGTGACTGCTGATGGAGACAGGGGTGACAAGGATGTTCTGGAATTAGATAGTGGCAATGGTGGCACAACTCTGTGAATGCTTTAAGTGGGTGAATTTTATGGTATGTGAATGATATCTGAGTAAATCCATTATTTTTTAAAACTACCACATGCAATCGGGCCACTGAGGACAAAATCTTCTTATGGGGAGAAGGGGTTTCACAAGGAAGAGCTGGGAGACTGGCCAGCAAAGAAAGTCGGAGGGCAGAGCAGCTGGAAGAAGCGGGCAATGTTACGGAGCCAGGAAGCTCTCAGAAGGGCCAAGTGAATGCAAGGAGCTGAGAAACCCAGGGCGTCAGCAGGACAGCCACAGCAAGGGTGGCCGGGCTGTCCTGGGCCTCCGATAGCCCAGGGACGACTCCTGATAGCAAGGAGGCGGTGCGGGAGGGGACCAGAGTGGGGTGTACCCTCAAAGTCCTGCAACGAGGTCAGCGAGGTCACCTCTGAAACAAGGCTCCGCTGCGATGGTTGGAGATGGGGGATCCTCATTGTGGGGGCGCACAGCAGCCAGAGTGGGAGCTGATGGAAACACCTTTGCCCGAAATCTGTCTCCTAGGCAGCCCCTGAGCCCCTCCTGTGATGAGCAGCTGGCTCCCCGTCTCGGGTGGGTGAAGGCTCCTGCAGCAGGAGGCACCTTGTGGAAGCTCCTGTCCTGCAACCCCATGGGGACTCCACTCACAGCCACTGGTCCCACTGTGACCCTCTCGCTGGAGCAAAGCAGGAAAGCCACTGGCAAATGATTTGCAGTTCCATTCTCATACACGAGAACTCTAGAAGTTTCCACTTGCCCCAAAGAGCAACATTATGCTTTTACTATCCTTCCCGCTAAGATGCTTTAGCTCTCCGGCTCCATGCCACAGTCTGTCTCCAGGGACCTTGATCTCGCCATCCCTCGCATGTCACACAGGTCCACTCTATCCATGACAACATGCTGACAGGATCTGGGGATCAGGAGCAAGTGGCTAAGGAAGGGAGGGAGGGTAGAGGTCAAGGTATCAGGGAGAGAAGAAGGAGGCCCGTCTATAGCATGAGTTACTCAATTGTCATGCATTAGTGGGGCCCTAAATGTGTTATTTTCCTATGGCGTATTTGTACAAAAGTATCAAAGTGAGGATGTATTTGTTTCCTTTCATGGTCCCCCCACCCTTTCCTGTGGCTGCCATAACAAAGTAATACAACAGAAATGCACTCTCTTGCAGCTCTGGAGGCCAGAAGCCTAAGATCCAGGTGTCTGCAGGACCCTGTTCCCTCCTCTGCAGGCTCTGGGGGAGGCTCCTTCTTGCCTCTTCCAGTTCCCGGGGGATCTGGGTGTCCCCTGGCTTGTGGCGGCACCACTGTATTCTCTGTGAATCCACGTGGCCTTCTCCTCTGTGTTTGTGACTTCTTTCCTTCTTATAAGGACACCTGTCATTGGATTTAGGGCCCTAATCCAAGAGGATCTCATCTCGAGATCCTTAACTTAATTACATCTGCACAGATGCTTTTTCCAAATAAGGTTCCATTCACTGAGTTCAGAGGGTTTGTTTGTTTGTTTGTTTGTTTGTTTTTGAGATGGAGTCTCGCTCTGTCACTGCATGGTAACCCCTCTGGTGCTGTCCTCAATCTGCTGAGACCAGTACTGTCCAGCTCCTCTCTTTTCTTCCAAGCCAGCTCGTCATATTGGGCCCGGATGTCTGCCATGATTTTGGCAAGGTCCTGAGATTTGGGGCCTCTACCTCCACGGTCAACTCAGAGCTGGCAATCTGGGCTTGTAGGCCTTTTACTTCCTCTTCGTGGTTCTTCTTCATGAAGAGCAGCTCCTCCTTGAGGGCCTCGATCTCTGTCTCCAGCTGCAGCCGAGTGACATTGGTGTCATCAATGACCTTGCAAAGCCCATGGATGTTGTTCTCCACAGACTGGCACATGGCCAGCTCTGTCTCATACTTGACTCTAAAGTCATCAGCAGCAAGACAGGCACTGTCGATCTGCAGAACGGTGCGGGCATTGTCCACAGTATTTGCAGAGATCTGAGCCCTCAGGTCCTCGATGGTCTTGAAGTAATGGCTCCAGTCTCTGACCTGGGATCCCTTCTTCTCCAGATGCTCCCGGATTTTGCTCTCCAGCTTCTGGTTCTCAGTCTCCAGGCTCCTCACTCTGCCCAGGTAGGAGGCCAGGCGGTCGTTCAGGCTTTGCATGGTCTCCTTCTTGTTCTGGATGCCTCCCATTCCTGCCAGACCCCCGGCCATCCCCGTGGCCAGGCCCCAGACCCCATGCCACCCTGGAAGCTGGTGGAGCAGGACACGGAGATCCAGGAACCAGAACCCCCAGCACCTGCATAGACGCTTGCCTCACTGCTGAACAGCCAGGGGCCGTAGCTGGGCGCCTGGACAGAGCCTAGGGACTGATAGTTGGTGGAAAAGGTGGAGCCAGTGGTGAAGCTCATGCTCTCCGGCGGGAGAGTGAGAGGACAGGACTCGGGCTTTGCCAACGACCAAGATGACAATACTCTCTCAATTGATCTACAAGTTAAATGGAATCCTTATTAAAATCCCAGCTGGCTTAAATTAAGAAAGAAAGAAAGAAAAATAAAGAAGAAAGAAAGAAAGAGAGAGAGAGAGAAAGAAAGGAAAGGAAAGAAAGAAAAGAAGGAAAGAAAGGAAAGAAAGAAAGAAAGGAAAGAAAGAAAGAAAGAAGGAAAGAAAGAAAGAAAGAAAGAAAGAAAGAAAGAAAGAAAGAAAGAAAGAAAGAAAAAAGAAAGAAAGAAAAGAAAAGAAAAGAAAAGAAAAGAAAGAAAAGAAAATCCTAGCTGGCTTTTGTGCAGACATTGACAAGCTGATCCTAAAATGCATATGAAAATGCAAGAAACTCAGAATAGCCAAAACAATCTTGAAAAAGAACAAAGTTATTTTTCCTAATTTTCCAAGACTCACATTTCCTAATTTCAAAGCTTACCACAAAGCTACAGGACTCAAGTCTGTGTGGTACTAGCACAAAGATACTTATACATCAATTGAACAGAATTAAGAATTCAGAAATAAACCCTTACATCTATGATCAATTGATTTTTGCCAAGAGTGCCAAGACCATTCAATGGCAGAAAGAATAGTCTGTTTAACAAACGGTGTTGGGACAATTAGATATCCACATGCAAAAGAATGAACTTGGACCCCTAGCTCAGACCATATACAAAAATTAACTCAAAATGGATCATAGATCTAAATGTAAGAGCTAAAACTATAAAACTCTTGGAAGAAAACACAGGAGTCAATCTTGATGACCTTGGCTTAGGCAATGGTTTCTTAGAAAGGATGTCCAAAGTGTCCAACAAGCAAAGAAAAAACTAAATTGGAAAATGAAAAACTGTTGTGCTTCAAAGGGCACCATCGAGAAAGTGACAAGGCGACCCCCAAAGTAACAGAGCCTGTTTGCAAATTACACAGTAGCTGATAATTGACTTGTATCTAGATCATATAAAGAACCAATGCAACTCAATAACAAAAAGAAATAGCCCGATTAAAATTAGGTAAAGGGATTTTGTTCACCAGTAAAGGGATTTTGTTCACCGCTGCTCTGCTCATGTTGCTACTGCAGTTCCGAGGCAGCAGGAAGAGATGCGGCCCCTGGATGTCGCCGAGCTGTCAGAACCGGAGGAAGTGGAGGTGCTGGAGCTGGAGGGGGGTTTTGAGCAGTTTCTGCTCCCGGTCATCCATGAGATGCCAGAGGACATCGCGTCGCTGACAAGCACTGGCGGGCGTACCTGTGGAAGCGGAGCACGCTGTGGGAGATGGACAATATGCTCTTCCAGATCAAAACCCAGGTGGAGGCTTCGGAGGAGCATCCTCAACCGCCTCCACAACCCGGGCGACGCAGTGGAGGGCAGGGTGACCAAGAGGTGCCAGAAGGCCGAGGAGAAGGCCAAGGAAATGGTGAAGATGGCAGAGATGCTGGTGGAGCTGGCCCAGAGGATAGAGACGAACGAGTCGAGAGCACGGTCGGTGGTTTACAGCCAATGGATTCTGGTAAACTGGTGGAGATTGGCTGACACCCAGAAGAAGCTGAAACCAGAGAGCCTTTGGTTTTCTCTATTTTACTCTGTCCACGCTCTGTCCTCACTCACACTCAGTTCTCTGCTATGGTCTGTGGTTGATGAACTCAATATGAGTTTTGATTGTTTGTGTTTTTGTCTGGGGAAGTAAGTTTATTTGGAAAATGCTCTCTCATACAGGAATGAGGGCCTAGACCACGCTCTTGCAGCAGTCACATTTGTTCCTGGGCTTTGGTTGTTATTTCTAAATGTTTGAGGTGCTTTGCTCTTTCTTGTGTGATCTGATAGCTCCCTGGAACTTTGGATCTGTGTGTGACACATGAGCCTCATTGTTGGAGTTCTCCAGCTCTGGAGGGGCTGAAGGAGCCGCAATGATTCTAGAAGATGACTCCATACAGCAACTACTGAAGAAAGGACCAGACTTCAGCTGGGAATGTGGATGGGCCGACCTGGCTGGGACCCATGAATCTGGAGAAGAGCTGGAGAATGGAGAGTATTATCTGTATTTGAGGACTTTAATTTCTGTGTAAGACCAAAGGAGGAGAGACACATTTTGTTCAAAATTTAAATTTTATGTGGTACACTATCTGATATAACCTGTCTAGTGAGTTTGTTTGGACAACCTAATTCAGCTTTATCTGACATGGAACCTGAACTAGAGGATGAGATCTTGATATTCTGTACAAGTTGATGTAATACCCTGATGCATTTCGGGGACTCGGCATAAAATGAAAGAGATTTGCAAAGACTCTTGAGGGGCTGGGGGATGAGAGTGTGGAACTGTACATTGGACCCTAAACTGGAGTGGAAGAGGCATCTTCAATGTTCATACATTGTCCAGCTATAAGTTCATTTAAGTAGCAGACCTGATAAATATTTGAGGTCAAAACCCTACCATGTTTTTTTTAAAACTTACCATGTTAATCAAAGTATTCATTTGCTTGAAAAGAAAAAAAAGTTGGGTAAAGAATCTAAATGGACATTTCTCAAAAGACTATATACAATGTGCCATGAGGACATGAAAAAATGGTCAACATCACTAGTCATTAGTGATGCAGATCACTAGAAAATGCAAATCAAAACTAGAATGAGGCTGGGCACAGTGGCTCATGCCTGTAATCCGAGCACTTTGGGAGGCTGAGGCAGGTGGATCACCTTAGGTCAGGAGTTCAACACCAGCCTGGCCAACATGGTGAAACCCCGTGTCTCCCAAAAATACAAAAATTAGCCGGACGTGGTGGTGGGTGCCTGTAATCCTAGCTATTCAGGAGGCTGAAGCAGGAGAATCACTTGAACCCGGGAGGCAGAGGTTGCAGTGAGCTGAGATTGTGCCACTGCACTCCAGCCTGGGCGACAGAGTGAGGCTCTGTCTCAAAAAAGAAAAAAAAAAACTTGAATAAGATAAAATTCACACGTGTTAGGATGACTATAATAAAATTAAAATGGAAAATAACAAGTGTCTGTTTGGAGAGGATGTGGAGAAATCAGAACCCTCATACATTGCTAGTAAGATGTTCAATGGTTATAGCCATTTGGGAAAACAGTCTGGCAGTTCCTCCAAAGGTTAAACATAGAGTAACCATGTGACCTAGCAATTTCACTCCTAGCTATACAGCCAAGAGAACTGAAAGCATATGCCCACACCAGATCATGTGCACGAATGTTCATAGCAGATTTATTCATAATAGCCAAAAAGCAGAAACAACTCAAATGTCCATCAATAGATGAATAAACAAAATGTGGCATATCCAGGCAACGGAACATTATTCAGCCCCCAAAAGCAATGAAACACTGGTCCATGCTGCAGTGTTGGTGAACCTTGGAAACATTATGCCAAGCCAAAGAAGCCAGATACAAAAGGCCACAAAATTATATGAGTCCATTTCTATGACAGATTGGAACAGGCAAATCCATAGAAAGGAAGACGAATGGTTGCCAGGACTTAGGGGGAGAGGAGAATGAGGAGTTAGTGCTTAGTTGATACAGGGTTCCTGGTGGGGATGATGAAAACGTTCTGGAATGAGATCGTGGTGATGGTGACATAACTCTATGAATATTTTTTAAAGTATTGCATTGTACACTTTAAAATTTTTTTTGTAAAGGCAGTTTGCCAGGTCTCGAACTCCTGGACTCAAGTGACCCACCCATCATGGCCTCTCAAAGTGCTGGGATTACAGGCATGAGGCACCATGCCTGGCATGTATACTTTAAATGGGGAAACTGGGTGAAGGGTACATGGGACCTCCCTGCACTGTCTTTAGAACTTCCTGTGAATCTATCACAACTCAAAATAAAGACAAACCAACAAAAGAAGGTGTCAGGTGGACTGGGCTCATTCAGGTGTTGGCAGAATTCAGTTCCTTGGAGCTATAGGCCCTAGTTTCACCTTCCCGCCATCAATGATGCCAAGAGCTCTTCCCATCATCTCTGCATCTTTCTGACTTCGGCTTCTGGCCTTGGCCAGTGAAGCTCTGCTTGTATGAGCTCCTCTCCCTATGTTAAGGTCAACTGATGAGTAGCCCAAATCACATCGGCAAAGTCCCTTTGGCCATGTAATGTAACATACTCACGGGCGTGACACGGGGATGAAGGTCATGGGGGCCGAAATTCTGCCTACCAGAAGTGGATTATTTCAAAGCTATTTGGGATGGAGAATCCCCAGGATCAGTGAGGAGGTGGATGTTGGGGAGGAGGAAGAGGAGATATCAAGGAGCTCTCCCAAGTCTGGGCCAACCAGGTGGGTGAAGGTGCCAGTCTCCGAGATGAGGAACGGGTGTGGGAAGCAGAAGCGCTCCATTGTGACATGTGGAGTTTGAGGGGCCTATGTCTTCCTGGGGGTTGTCCCCTAAGGGAAAGGTCTGGACAGGCATAAGAGGGACTGAGGTCACCCAGGACGAGGGTGGCGGGTGAAAAGGAGCTGCCGGGGCAGCGGGCCGCCGCGAGCCCCTCCTGGGATCTTCCGCCCCAAGCCCAGCCTGCGATTCCCTCCCTGGACCCCTTCTCCTTCCTCTCCGAAGCCCTCCCTGGAAGGAGCCCCGCATGCTGACCGCAGCTGCCGCTAGGGGGCAGAGCCGTCTACACCAAAAGCCACACCGCTCCAGCGTGCGCGTGCGGGGAGGTGCGCGAGCGCGTGTGCACGCACGGCGGGGGCTCGCTTGACGCTGAGTCCGGCGAACTAAGCTCGCCACCCCCACCCCATCCCCCTGCTGCTGGGAGCCCCAGGCAGTCCCCGGCCAAGGCGCTCCAAAAGGTCCCCTCTGTTGAGGACTGGGAAGCAGACCCCGCCCCAGTGCCCCCCAAAGCGCCCGCCCTCCCCTGGTGTGGCTGGAGAGGGGTCTGATCCGGCGGGGCTGAGCTCGGAGCTGGGTCTCCTCCGGGCCCGGGGTTGCGGCGGGGGGCGGTCACTCCCCCTCCCTGCCTCAGCCCCGCACCCTCCACGCCGTGTCTCCAGCATCGAAATTCACAGCAAAATACACAACTAGTGAAGAACTGGGCTCGGGTCCCAGAAATAGGCTGCCCTTTCCAGAGGGTGACGGGAATATCCTCCCTGCTTCCCGTTGCCATGGTTTCCGCTCAGCCACCAGGCAGCCTGTTGCGCGGCAGCCATTTGCCGCGACGGGATGCTGCTGCCGCTGGTGTGCAGCAGGCCGCCACGCGAGGAAGGGGACAGACTGCCCTGGAGACCCGCCCACCACGGAGAAAAGGCCACGGATCTAAAGACACCGGAGGGCGGCTACGCGGGCCAGATGGACAAATGCTAGAGTCAGCACCTGTCTGTGGGGGCGCCCTTGGCCTGGGCGCTGGACCTAGGCCATCAGGACTGGAGAGCCTTCTTCTCTTCTGGCCAGAGAAAGAGCAAAGGGTGGCTTCCTGACAGGTCCGGAGCTGGCACAGCACAACAGAGCCTAGAAAATCACTAGCAGGGCTGAGCTCGGGGTTCCACCGCTGCAGCCTTCCTGTTGGACCCAGTCTGCTCAAGGACTCCCTCACAGCCCAGTGCTTTCTGTTCACCCCGGGGCGCTCCCAGCCCAGCCTCCTAGCCTCAGTGAGTGGGAAATGTCTGTACTGCCCACTTGTCCTCAAACGCATGTCCTTGCTCGGCTGCTCCCTGCTCTGCCCCATCTGGAGGGGACAGGGTGAGGAGGCGCCCTGGAGGCCTGGCCCCAGCTTGGGCAACACAGCCTAGCGGGGTGATCACACCTGGGTCTGCAGCCCCTCCAGCACTTCCTGGGGCTGTGCCGGCCATTCCAGACCATTCCTGTTGGTGGAACTCATGACAGGGCTTGTTTACGCCAGTCACTGTGTTCTGACACCTCCCCCACCCCGATCATTAACTTTTCTGGTCCTTTTCAGTTATTAAAATTCAGCCCAGACTCACATCCCATGGGCCTCCCCTCCCCATCCTTGGGGCTGGAATGGACTGGAATGGAGAGGAGGTGACCTGACCTCCCTTCCCTCCCTTCCCACCCCCCACCCCCCCGGGCCGGGGCAGGCAGAACTTGTGCCAGGGTGAGGGGGTGAGAGGGGCCCCATCTTTGCCTGGGCTTTTTGATGCCTGCCAATGGGGTCGCCCTTTTCTGAGGGCAGGCTCAGCCCCTTCCTTGCTGAGGCTAAAGACCCTCTGGGATTGGGAAGCGCTGTCCTCTCTGGGCCCCACCAGCGTCTACCGGACCCCCTCAGACCTCTGGCCCCCACACCTTGTGCCCCCAGGGCAGAAGGCAGCTGGGGTAAGAGTGCCTTCAGTCCTGCCAGGCTCAGCAAATGTCCTGCCTTCAGAAACCTCAGCAGGCAGACAGGCAGGTGCCTCCTCAGGAATACAGCGTGCCCCCCATCCCCAGGGGGACGTACCCAGCTCTCCCCACAGCCTCCGGGGACTGCGGGCTGTGTCCACAGCTCTGGCAGGGCCTTATTTTCTCCCAGCTTTTTGGCATTTTATGGATTAAAAACACAGCATTCCCCTAAGGGCAGCCTGCTTCCGTCCGGGCTTCTGTGGGAGTGAGTAAGGCTGGTCTCCTGAGGGAAGTGTGTGATTCTTGCCGGGGCCAGAGGCCAAGACGAGCCAGGAGGGCACTTACCCCTTTGGGGCATCTTGCCCTTGTCCTTTCTGTTTTCTCTACTCAGGCCTCTCCCCTGAGCTGAGGAAACCAAGAGAATTCTTGTCCTTTTGGATAAAGACCTTTTCCTAAGATCGTTTTCTCCTAGAAATAAGCATACTTTATTAAGATATTTTGGACTGGCCGTGCACAGTGGCTCATGCCTGTAATCCCAGCACTTTGGGAGGCCAAGGCGGCGGGGATCACGAGGTCAGGAGTTTGAAAGCAGCCTGGCCAACATGGTGAAACCCCGTCTCTACTAAAAATACAAAAAATTAGCCGGGCGTGGTTGCACACGCCTGTAATCCTAGCTACTCTAGGAGGCTGAGGCAGGAGAATTGCTTGAACCCGGGAGGCGGAGGTTGCAGTGAGCTGAGATCACACCACTGCACTCCAGCCTGGGGGACAGAGTGAGACTTCGTCTAAGGAAAAAAAAAAAAAAAAAAGATATTTTGGACTGATTTTGTGTGTCCTGATGCAGTTTTTCTTTGTGCATTAAACATAGTGAAACACACAGTGCAGCCAAGTGTGGGGCCACACTGCCTCGCTTCCCTCTTCCCCTCACAGAGCCGGGCACGACAGCTGCGGGCACAGGGAGCAATCGCCTGGAGCCAGAGGGGGCAACGCCAGCCCAAGGGCAAATGGGCAACCCTGTGCAAAAGGCTCTGGCAACCAGATCATCTACTTTAGAAGAAAGGAGAAGAAAAAGAGCCCCCAGGAGAGGAAGTAGCCCCTAACCCGACTGACAAGCAATCCGTTCGCAAAGACAGAAGGGCCTTCAGTGAATTGGTTTCAAAGTGCTTGATTTCTTAAAACCAGAACAATTGATCATTAGAGAACTGATTAAGCTACAGCCGCTGTTGAATAAAAGGTAAAAATAAACTCCTTCATTTGAATTCCAAATTCAGGCTTGGAGGTGACCTAGCCATGAGGCAAACTGGCTGTGGGTGGACAGGGCTGCACACGGAGCTGGTGGGTGGACGTCACCTGAAGTCTTCTCTCCTCCCAAAGTGTGGGTGCTGGGACCCCAAGGGCACAGTGTGAATGTCCCCAGCACTTAACACCAGGGTAGCCCAGGTACAGAGGCTGCTGAGGGGCTGGTGCAGGTTCTCCAAGGGCCACTGCTATGCCCAGAATGAGCCACTAGTTCTGGATCAGGAGGAGCAGGGGGTGAGGAGGGGGGGGGGTCCCAAAGGAGAGACTGGTTCGGGGGCAGCTGCAATTTACCAACGGGTACAGAAGTACTTTGACATCTTAGCCGCAGGCACAGCCCTACCAGTGGGTACCAGCTGTTGTGACCAGAGATGGCAGCAGTCAGAGCCAGTCCTGGGACCCAATTTTTCCCCTCATCTGTTACCTGGGGGGGTCACCAGGGCCTAATGAAGACTTTTGAGGTTTCTCAGCCACAAAAGGATCACGGTGCCTCTCCATATGGAATTCAGCAGAACTCTCACCTTTTAAAACGGTCTAGTAGATACTGAGTAGACACAAAAGGACATTTACAAAATATGTGTAAGTGTAAAGAACAATACAACAAACCTCTGTGTACTCACCACCAGCTTAGAAGAAAGGTAACGTTCCCTTTGAAGGACCTTGGGTGACCCTTCTCATTGCCCCATGTCCCCTACCCCCACTTCAGAGGTGACCTTCTGGAATTTTGCATATACCACTCCTGTGTATTTCTTTATAGTTTCACCACCTTTGCATCCCCAAACAATATATTTTTTAGTTTTGCCTGTTTTGAATTTTATACAAATGGAATCATACTGTCTGTATTATTCTGTAACCTGCCTTTCCGCTGAATGTGGTATTCCCGAGACGAAGAGCTGTAATCCATTCTTCCCGCAAGCATTCTGTTCTGTTGTGGGATTAAACTACAACTGATCTCTGCATCATCTGCTTGGTGGAAGGGGGAATTGTTTCCACTTTTTGGGCTGTTACCAGAGTCCTGATGCCCAGCACAAGTTTCACTAGTGGGCATATCCAGAGGAAAATCCCTGGGCCACCAGAAATGTACACTTGCAACTTTGCTGGGCAATGAAAAATTGTTTTCTCAAGTGGTTGTACCAATCCATATGCCCCCCCCTGTAGTATACAAGCTTTCTAGCGGTTTCACAGCCTTGCCAACACTTGATGTCGTCAGACCTTATTTTCCATATGGATAACCAATTGTCCAGCATTATTTATTGAACATCTCCTTCCCCCACTGGCCAGCAATGCCAGCTTTGTCATACATCAAGGTTTTTGTTGTTGTTGTTGTTTGTTTGTTTGTTTTGAGACAGGGTATCACTCTGTCACCCAAGCTAGAGTGCAGTGGCGCGATCTCAGCTCACCACAGCCTCGACCTCCCGGGCTCAGGTGGTCCTCCCACCTTAGCCCCCTGAGTAGCTGGGACTACAGATGCCCGCCACCATGCCTGGCCAATTTTTTGTACGTTTTGTAGAGACAGGGTCTCACCATGTGTTGCCCAGGCTGGTCTCAAACTCCTGGGCTCAAGTGATCCTCCTCTTCAGCCTCGCAAAGTGCTGGGATTCCAGGCATGAGCCACTGTGCCCAGCCCGCACTATCTTAAATATGGCACCTTTATAATAATTCTTAGAATCTGCCGAGGCAACTCCACCCACCTCCTCCTTCTCTCTGTCTTAGCTGTGCCATTTGTTCTTCCATATAGATTTAAGAACCACCTTGTCAAGCTCCGTTTACAAATGGCATTTAGATTACAATTACGTTCAATCTAAAACTTAAATTGGAAAGAACTGGCATGCTCAAAACATTGATTTTTCAGAAAATCCTGGATATCCAAGGTAATGGCAGCCCCTTAAATCTGGAACTCTCAACAGAGCTTCCAAACCAAAATCACTTTTAAAAAGCAAGCACAAATAAACCCACCCAAAACCCATGTCCTCGTCATAATCAGAAGACAGAGAGCATTTGAACTTCAAAGTACCTAAAACAGATCAAGTCACAAGGGTGGGGAAATAGATCCTCACAGGAAATACAAACGGAAACAAGTGAAGCAAACCATATATCGAACAATAACACAACCACCTTGAAAGAGAAAAAAACTCGGCAAGCAACCTGAACACGGTATGGGACTATATGTCCTCGAGTGAAAAACAAAAATAACTCTAGACAAACCTGGAAATCTGCAGAGTAGTTTTCTCCTTTCCAGAGACATGAGTTGATGATTCTGAAACTACTTTCCAAGTATTCTAGGACTGAGCAAATACATAAATATATTTCAGGTAATGGGAGCCAACTTTCTCAGCAAGAGGGAAAGAAGTTACCAACCAGCAAGTAGGAGGAAGACTAGAAGGGACGTGGTGCTGTTGGGTTGAAATTGGATGGGTCAGTATGAACTCATGGTAGATAGATAGATGGATATATATAGAGAGAGAGACAGAGAGAGAGATAGATAGATATGGGACTGTATATACATATATACACATATATGTATGTATTCTCTATGTGTGTGCAATTTCCCAGTAAGCTTCTAAGTGTCATTATCCACTCAAAATGAATTAGGGATCCTAGGAGAAATGGCTGATTCCAGAAAAGGAGACCAGGGAAAGTCAAGATGAGCCTAGAACACCCTGTTCTTCCAGAAAGTAAGAAACCCCCGAGTCCACAGTGATAAAAAGAAATAAGTAGAGTTGTACACTGAATAATGACACTTTGGTCAAAAACAAACTGCACATATGACAGTGTTCCCACGAGATTATAATACTGCACTTTTTTTTTCTTTTTGAGATGGGGTCTCACTCTGTTGCCCAGACTGGAGTGCAGTGGCGTGACCTCAGCTCACTGCAGCCTAGACCTCCCAGGCTCAACCAATCCTCCCATGTCAGCCTCCCTAGTAGCTGGCACCTGCCACCACACCTGGCTATTTTTAAACTTTTTTGTAGAGATTGGGTCTCACTATGTTGGTCAGGATGTTCTTGAATTTCTAGGATCAAGTGATCCTCCCGCCTCAGCCTCCCAAAGTGCTGAGACTACAGGTGTGAGCCACCGTGCCCAGCCTATAATACTGCATTTTGACTGGACCTTTTCTAGGTTTAGACACACAAATACTTACCACTGTGTTAACAGCTGCCTACATTATCATAGTGTACAGGTTTGTAGCCCAGGAGCAATAGGCCATACCATATAGCCTGGGAGTGCAGTAAGCTACACCATCTAGGTTTGCGTATGTGCGCTCTAGGATGTTCGCACAATGATGTAATCACCTAACAACACTCTTCTCATAACATAGCCCCATCATTAAGCAACACACGATTGTAAAGGGGGAGAAGAGAAGCTCTTTCTCACAGAAGAAAGCCAAATAATAAATGAAGAAGGAATGATGGAAATAGGAAATCGCCATTTGGCAACTATTGTAGTAATGAGTTTCAAGCAAAAAATAATCAATGGATGAAAAAACTCATGGGAACTGGACAGTAGAGACATCTGGAAGATGCCACCTTAACCACATGATCAAAGTGATCATCATCAGCAATGGGACAAGGGGACTGGTGTCGTGGCCTCCTGATGCCATACACAGAGAGGGAAGCAGCACTTCTGAGCTATTCCCATGGAAAGTGCAAAACCTGGATGGAATCATGAGGAAACATCAGCCAAGCCCCAACACACAGAAATGCTGCAAAATCACTGGCCCATATGCTCCTGAAAACTGTCGAAAACCACGAAGAACAAAGAGCTGGTCCAGACTTAAGGAGACTAAAGAGCTAGGTCAACTGCATAGAACGTGTGATCAGAGGTGCTCCTTTTCTGGAAAGAACATTATAGAAAAGATATTATTGGCACAATCAATAAACTCTAAGGTCTGTAGATTATAGTATTTTTTTTTTTTGAGACAGTGTCTTGCTCTGTCACCCAGGCTGGAGTACAGTGGCATGATCATAGCTCACTGCAGTGTCAACCTCCCAGGCTCAAGCAACCCTCCCACCTCAGCCTCCCCAGTAGCTGGGACCACAGGTGCACAACTACATGCCTGGCTAAATTTTTTTTAACTTTTTGTAGAGATGGTGTCTCACTGTGTTACCCAGGCTGGAGTGCAGTGGCACGATCATGGCTCACTGCAGCCTCCACCTCCTGGGCTCATGATCCTCCCACCTCAGCCTCCACAGTAGCTGGGACCACAGGCGTGCACCACCACACCTGGCTAAATTTTCTTGTATTTTTTGTAGAAATGGGGTTTCACCATTTGCCCAGGCTGGTCTTGAGCTCGTGGGCTCAGGGATGGGCCCACCTTGGCCTCCCAAAGTCTAGGATTGCAGGTATGAGCCACCACGCCTGGGAAACACTTGTCGGTGTCCGTCCTTTTGAACAGAGCCATCTTAGTGTGAAGTGGTATCTCATGTGGCTTTGATTTGCATTTCTCTGATGACTGGTGATGTCGAGCATCTTTTCCTGTGCTCATTCGCCTCTCGCACATCTTATTTGGAGAAATATCTATTCAAATCCTCCACTCACTTTAAAAATTGGGTCATTTGTCTTTTTATTGTGGGTTTTTGTGAGGTTCTTGATATATTCTAGATACAAGTCCCTTATCTGATATATAATTTGCAAATCTTCTATTTCATTCTGCGAGTTGTCTTTTCACTTTCTTGATAGTAACATTTGCAGCACAGAACTGTTCAATTTTGATGAAGTCCAATGTATCTATTTTATCTTTTGTCACTTGGGCTTTGTGTATCACGTTTAAGAAACTATTGCCTGATCTAAGGTCATGAAGACTTACACCTACGTTTTCTTCTAAGAGTTTCATAGTTTTGGGGCTTGCATGTGAGTCTTTAATCCATTTTGAGTGACTTTTTCTGTATGGTGTGAAGCTGGAGTTCAGCTTCATTCTTTGGCATGTGGATGTTTAGTTACCCCAGCACCGTTTGTTAAAGAGATGATTCTTTCTCCCATTGAATGGTCTTGGTGCACTTGGCAAAAATCAATTGACCATTGATGTGTGGGTTTATTTCTGGCTTCTCAATTCTATTCCATGGATCTATGAGCCTTTTCTTATGTCAATACCATGCAGTCTTGATTCCCGTAGGTTATCCTAAAGTTTGTATTTGATAATTCCACTATGGGTCTATTTCTGCTGCTTTCATTCATATTGCCTTCACTCTTCATATGCCTAGTTATTTTTATTGTTTGCTGAACATTTCAATTGCAAACATTTTTATAGTGATAACTTAAGGACGAGGGCAATGTCACCTTCCTCCAGAGAAGATGCCACTTGGCTGTCCCAGCTTCTGAGGATGCCAGCAATCTAAGATTAGTTGCCCTAATCCAGTTTTGGGTATTGAGAGGCTAAAAAGCTAGCTGAAGTACTAGGAGACTTTCCATTGCTGGATCACCTTTACTCCTAGAGAACAGCCCTACAGGGTCCCCACCGAAATGAGAGAGATGCACCAGGGTGCTCCATGAGCAGGGTCCTGGTTCCCGTGCCTGTCCTGATAGCCCCAGGAGCTGTCAAAAGCCCTGGACAGTTTGTACTCCCCTTGTTCTCAATCTCCAATCACCCTCAGGGCGTGAGCAGCTGCAAACACTGGCCTCGCCTCCCTAGCATCCTGCCCTGGAAGTTCTTCATCCTCTTTTTGCTCTATGATGCCTTCAAGCAGGTGACTTTTATATTTTTCCAGCTTTTCTAATTGCCCTCAGTAGGACGGAGGCATGAATTCACTAATTTATCATGATCACAAGAGGAAGTCCTTCACTGAATTCTTAAATTCAACTACCTTATTTTCCACTTTTAAAAGTATAATTTGGTTCATTTTCATATATCCTTGGTTGTTTCATAGAATGCTGCCTTTTTGATATTTTCAACCCCCTCTTCGATTTCTCCCAATGTATTAAACACACTGACGTTATGCTCTGTAGCTGATAATCCCAGCGTTGGCTGTGGGAGCTGTGCTCTGCTGGCACTCACCCATGGAGCGCTTTCCTGTTTCACTCGTGTGTTTGGATTTTTTTACTGGATGTTTTTCCTTCTCAGGTCTTCAGAGTGGGAATGCCTTGAGACCTGGTTGAAGGTGGGTCCCTCCAGAGAGGATTTGCATTGCCTTCTGACAGTTTTCCGGGGCACTTTAACCCAGAACCTTTTTTTTTTTTTTTTTTTTTTTTTTGAGACAGGGTCTCACTCTGTCACCCAGGCTGGAGTGCAATGGCGCAATCATGGCTCATTGCAGCCTCCAACTCCTGAGCTCAAGTGATCCTCCTGCCTCAACCTCCTGAGTAGCTGGAACCACAGATGCCACCACACCCAGCTTTTTTTTTTTTTTTTGTACAGATTGGGGGGGGGGGGTCTCTCTATATTGTCCAGGCTAGTCTTGAACCCCTGAGCTCTAGTGATCCTCCCATCTTGGCCTCCTAAAGTGGAGGGATTACAGGTATGAGCCACCACACCTGGCCCAGAAGTATTTTAAACTAAATTCTCAGTTTGAGGAGTTAATGGCCTATCTGGGTGTTGTAAATCCCAGCTGCAAAGCCATGTGCTGCTGGTTTGTGAGTACAAATACTCAAGAGGAGGTATTTTCCCCTCCCCCTCATGCCAGGCTTAGAAATGAGCAATTCTCCTTGAGGCCTGGTGATGAAGAGGTAGTGGTCGACATTTGCAGTTCATCCTGACGATGATGACAACACCTTTTATGGTCCCACCTTCCGAGTAGCTGAGACTACAGGTGCCACCATGCCTGGCTAATTTTTTATAGAGACGGGGGGTCTCACTCTGTTGCCTAGGCTGGTCTCGAACTCCTGGGCTCAAGTGATCCTCCTGCCTCGGCCTCCCAAAGTGCTGGCATTATAGGCATTAGCCACTGTGCCTGGCCTTAAAATCATTTTTCTAAATGCACCAATGATATGGCAGAGAAGTAAGGAATTCCCAGAGTCCAAAAATTAAGTCAAAGCAGGAACTCCGAGAGGTAACCAGAACAGTGAGGCTAACTGTCACCCTCGGGCATTTGCAGACCCTGGTGACTTTGGGCTTCAGTTTTCATGGCCTCATGGATTGTGGGGACAGAAGACAAGGCCCAACACTTGCAGAATGAGAAGTCTAAAAGGAACCACCCCCCCACCACCATCTGCATGGTTCTCTCTTCTATCAGTTAGGATGAGATTCAGCTACACAGATGACCAAATATATATATATATACCCATACACACACACACACACATACATATGTATATATGTATATATATATGTGTATATATGTATATATGTATATATGTGTATATATGTATATATATGTGTATATATGTATATATGTGTGTATATATGTATATATGTATATATATGTGTATATATGTATATATGTATATATGTGTATATATGTATATATGTGTATATATGTATATATGTGTGAATATATGTATATATGTATATATGTGTGTATATATGTATATATGTATATATGTGTATATATGTATATATGTGTATATATGTATATGTGTATATATGTATATATGTATATATGTGTGTATATATGTATATATGTATATATGTGTGTATATATGTATATATGTATATATGTGTGTGTATATATGTATATATGTGTGTGTATATATGTATATATGTGTGTGTATATATATGTATATACATATGTGTATATATATATGCAAACGAATGGGGGAGAGGGAGGGAGGGAAGGAGTCCTACAGACCTAACAAGAATGGGTGATTATTTGTAATAGCAAAGTACTGGAAACGACGCCACCATCCATCAGCTGGGCCTGTTTGAACAAGCTGGGGCTGACCTGCGTGTTGGAATACTATGCAACTAGAGTCAGCATGCTGCCCTGGGCACCCCAGCATACCAAGATACACCCAACAGTGAGGCACACGACAATATGCCATTTTTTGTATAAAAATGTGGGGATATGAATACACATATATTGTTTAATGAAAAAAGTTTTCCATAATATAAAAAATCAAAAAGAAAGATCACTGCCATCCCTAAGAATCAAACAAACAGAAACAGATGAACCAAACCATATAAAAGTTGGCGGCATAATCATATATAGAAGTATTTCAAGTGTCTTGAAACACAGTATTTTGGTTGACCGGACGTGGTGGCTCACACCTGTAATCCCATTTACTCAGGAGGCTGAGGCAGGAAAATCGCCTGAACCTGGGAGGCAGAGGTTGTGGTGAGCCAAGATTGCACCACTGCACTCCAGCCTAGGCGACAGAGCAAGACTCCGTCTCAGAAAAAAAAAAAAAAGAAAAGAAAAGGAAAGAAAAGAAAGGAAAGGAAAAGAAAAGAAAGGAAAGGAAAGGAAAGGAAAAGAAAGAAAAGAAAAGAAAAAGACAAGACAGGAAAAGCAGTATTTTTATTGTACACACCTGGTGGGATATATGTGTTTTTTTTGAAACACAGTCTTGCTCTGTCACCCAGGCTGGAGTGCAGCGGCGTTGATCTCCGCTCACTGCAACCTCCACCTCCCAGGTTCAAGCGATTCTCCTGCCTCAGCCTCCCAAGTAGCTGGGACTACAGGCGTGCACCACCATGCCTGGCTAATTTTTTTCTATTTTTAGTAGGGACAGGGTTTCACCACGTTGGTCAGGCTGGTCTCGAACTCCTGACCTCAAATGATCTGCCCACCTCGGCCTCCCAAAGTGCTGGGATTATAGATGTGAGCCACCATGCCCAGCCCAGAGTCAGAATATTCTTAATTGTGGGTCACTTGCAGAAGTTGTTGGGGACTGGCTTGTGACTCTGAAGGGTGATGTATAGAAAGAAGACTCACATGGCTATCTGGCTATTCCTGCCCCACCTGTTTTTTATGGTGACCAAACAGTCGATGAGGGAAAGCTCTTCTGTTACCGAATTCCAACTAGGAAATGCAGGAAGAATTATAGAATCGAATCGAAAAATCACCATTTTTAACCCTAAATAATGGATCTAGGTGATAAAAACACTGGGCAAAAGGATACTAGAGAATTCTATAAAGGCCAGATCAGGCCGACACCATCTGAATCTGCTGATCAGTCTTACCGTCGTCAAGAGGTACACGAAAAGGGGCTCAGCATCACCAGCTGTTAGGGAGACACAAATCAAAACCGCAGTGCGGTGCATCACACACCTATCCCATGGCTGAACTAAACCACAGCAGATGCCGGAGTGGGTGTGTGGAGAAACCAGCGCTCACCCATCGCTAGTGGATATGTCAAACCGGGCAGCCACTCGGGAAAGCAGTTGGCAGTTTCTTACAAAAACACACATCTATAAAGGGGTAGCACGGGGTAGCAGAGTGGTGAGGAAACCGCTCTGTAATTTGATTGCACTGGCAGTTCCATGAATGTACACAGTGATGAAGTTGCATAGAGACGCACATACACGAGTGTGCGCACACAGGAGACACCCGAGCATCGATGTCGCGTCCAGGTTCCGGTTGTGCCTCGGGCGTTCAAGTAGCCAATGTCAGAGGGACCTGTGGGGAGGGGCCACAGCCTCCCAGGCACTTCTTACCAACGTCCTCGTGAATCTAACAGTTTAAAAAGAACAAGTTAAAAAATATTCCGGCAGAAAAAAGAAAAGTATAAATGAAAAATGTGGGCGAACTGTTGATGCCAGCTGATGGATCCACAGGGTTTCATGAACTCTGTCTTTGTTTATGTTTGAACTTTTCCATGATAAACCATTTCTTAAGAGTCACCACGAAATGAGTGTCTGGTGAATAAGTGAAGCATTCATGAATGACTGCAGTCCAACTCTGTCCTTCCAGAGATAATGCGAGCGAGATCCCGCAAGGGGAGATGATTGCTCAAGGTCACGCGGAACAGTCAAGGCTACTGAGATTCCGTCTAGCTCTTTCTCAATGTGTGTTTTTAACTTTACACAAGCAGGACATTACTTTTAAAGGAAAAGTGACCATAAACTGAGGGCTGCAACATAGGAGGGGGGAAGGGCAGAGGGAGACCCAGGATGCCAGCTTCGCCTAGGGGCAGGGGCGAGGCAGACAGCCTGGGGAGGTTAGAGGCTCTGCTGTGAGAGGGTTTCTGCAAGATGAAATCACTCAAATGCCGGCTGTGTTTGGACATCTTGAGAGAACATTTCCACACACGGATGGGGTCTAGGGTTGAGTTCGTGATACGAGCAAACAGCTACCCAAAGGACAATGATTAACTCCTGGGAAAACAAAATGCAGCTCGCATGGCCCCACCGTGAGCAGCATTTATGTGGCCGCATAATTTCCAAGCATGGGGATAGGAAGGGGTAGAACAGCAAAGGTTTGGGGGATGGGACTGATGGAAGCCTTCGAGGAGGCCCCCAAGACGTGGGCGGACCCTTGTCTTGGCACACTCCTGCCCCTACATCCTTCGGGCCCCAGAGCTCCCTGACACCACTGGACCCACCGCCCCCCACCACTCTGCTTCCTGCCAGCCCTCCAGATGGCCTGTCCTTGCCCCCTGTGTTTGCTCCCTCCTGAGGTCAGCCCCTCTGCAAGGACACCGGCCCTTCCCCTCTGGCTAGGTTAGGTCAAGGACTTGGCCTCTCCAACGCCCACTCCTCTCAGTCACAAACAGGGACACCTCAGGCACCAACCTGTACCCGAGCTCAGCCACGGACACATCTGGGCCCCCAGAAGGGCCCTCAGCTCTCCAGAGCCAGAGCAGGCAAGGGCGACAGAGCGTGTGGCTTTGGCGGCTGGGCCAGGAGGAGGGAGGGGTCCCTACTGCAGGGTTTAGCCCTTTCACACTTCAGCAGAGAGCAGCCGCCCCGTCAGCACCCACCTGCTGCTGTCCTCAGAAATGGGGTGCCTGTCGGGGTGTGCTGGTCCCCAAAAGATGTGTCCACATTCTGGAGCCTGTGAGTGGGACCCTTTTAGGAAAGAGGGTATCTGCAGATGTGATGACAGTAAGCCTACATGACGGGGGGCAGGGGGTGCCAAATCTAATGACAGGCATCCTTCTGAGACACAGGAGAGACAGAGAGGAGAAGGCCGTGTGGAGATGGAGGCAGAAATTGAGGAAGCCTGGAGCCCCCAGGAGCTGGAAGAAGCAGGAAGGATCCCCCCTAGAGACTCGGCCCTGCGCACACCTGGATCTCAGACTTCTGGCTTCCAGAGCTGTGAGGGAAGAGATTGCTGCTGTTTGAAGCCTCAGGGTCCATAGTCATTTCTTATGGCAACCATGGGACACTCATTTGGTGAGAAAAAGCCCCTTGAAACACACAAGTGGTGGGTGCCGTGGATCAAGGGCCGCCAACCACAGTCAAGCCCCAGGGCCGCTGGCTGGGCAGACTGGACCCCACAGAACCAAGCCACATGGAACACCCCCTGACCTGGAGGACAGGTCCCTGTCAGAACTGGCTCAGGAGGAACTCACTGACTGCGAGGGCCGGGCTGGGCTGGGCCACCGGGAGGAAGGCTGGGGACACAGCCAAGGTGGGGGAGGGACAGGCAGACTGGAGCCCCCTCCAGCTACACCCTCTTGCTCACAGGACCGTGCCTCCTAGCCAGACTTCTGGAAAGTCTTCTTGACAGTCACCTGCCCCAACCAGGTGTCCCCCCCTTCTCCTTCACCCCCTTTGGACAGTTCCCTTCTCTCTCCCATGACCCTCCTCCATGGCCTGGTGCTTCAGCTCCATGACCTCTGGCTTCAAGTAAGGGGGAGGGGCAGGAGGGACTGGGACGGCCCAGCAGCCTGTTCTCAGAGGCTGGCACCGTGAGCAGGAGAAATGAAGGGCAAAGCCAGGAGACACCAAATGTAGGTTAACTGCAAGGAAGGAGGGAAGGGAAGGCCATGGCAGAGGCTCCATTGTGCAGACCCACCCCACTGAAGGCTACAGGCTGGCCAGAGCCCCAGCGCCTCACAGGCCTAGGAGCCCGGGCTTACCATGAAGCCCAGTAGCCACAGTTTCTGGACCCCAGGGAGGTCTCACGGCTGTACAGGCACTGCCACCCAGGGTCCTCCAGGTGCCAGAGGACAAGAGGTTGGCGAGTCAGGAACCTGCCACAGCCATGCTCGTGCTAAGGGGCTCAGAGGATGCCTGGGCCCAGGTGCACCCTGGCTTGGAATAACCTGACCTTCATTCAGGTAACCTTCCGACTCCCCAGCTAGGATATCAAAGTCATGGCGACAGACACTTGGTCGAGTCCACTCTTCTATCACCAGCACAGGTGCTTCAATATGTGTTGAATGAATGAATGAATGAATGAAGAGGTTCAGTATTTCCTGCAGGGAGCAGAGGGTGGTCTGGGCAGCCTCTGAAATGGACGACTGTTGTTGAGGCATGGCTGGCGTACCCTCCCCCTCTTTGAAGGGTAGACGGGGTACCCGGGGGAAAGAGCCTTCCACTCACTGCCCTGGAGCCAAATCTCTTCCTCTTGGTCAGTCTTCTCGCGCCACCCCTCCGGGCATTGGCCCAGAAGCCACTTGCAAAGCGGCCACTGCCCGGCAGGTCAGCAGTCCAGGGGGTGAGACAGCCCCTGGCAGAGCCAAGGGAGGAGAAAGAGCTGGAGTGTGAAGGTGGGTGAGGAGGGGCTGGGGAGGAAGAGTCGGGGGGTCTGGGAGCGGGGAGTTCCCCTCTCCTCCCTGGGTCCCGGCCACCCCCTCCCAGTCTGGCTGGCCTGGCTGCCCCCCAGCTCCAGTCTCCCGTTCTCCTCTTGTCCCAGGCTGGCCCACGATGGGCAGGCGAGGTAGCCGGGGCACAGGGGAGCAAGCGCCGTCCCACAGCTGTGGTCCTGCCCGCTGTGCTGGGGGCACCTGCCAGGCCAGAGGCAGCTCCCTCCTGGGGACAGGTCAGCAGCAGGCCCCCAGAGGCCCAGCAGGGAAGTCCAGGGTGAAGCCAAGCTGTCCATGGGAAGTGAGCGAGTCCCCCAAAGGACTGAGCCAGTGGGAAAAGACCAGGCCAAAGGGGGCTGTGAGCCACCTTCACGGCAGGGCGGGAGCCAAGGCAGCACCTCCCCCCAGGGCCAACTGTGGAGCCACATGGTCTGAAGGAGGTGGAAGGAGAGTTGGGGGACCCTCCTCTGCCTTAGGCTGGCTCAGCTGGCCAGGCTGGCTGCGGGATCCTGGGGGCAGAGGCCTTTCCCACACTGGCATCTAGTTGAAAAAGGAGGTTCAATGAGTTTAAGCGTCCTGATCTGGAGGACAGGGACGTTAGGGCTTTGCATTCACCAGGCACCGGTGTCCCCTTAATATACCGAGGGTTCAGCGCTCCCATGTCCCAGCCTTGCCCACCCAGCCCTGGCTGCTGGGAGCTGAGCATGAGTTAGGTGCCCCCTTGGCCCCTGAGAAACCAGAGCTCAGGGGTTTCTTTTCTTCAGAGACCCTGGGCCCTGGCCAGGAGCACTTGGCCCACAGCAAGGAGCCCTCAGCAGGCCTGTGCTCCCAGGACGAAAGCCGTCCACCCAGGGCTTAGGGGAAGGGCGGGGATGCCGCTCAGGGAACCTCCGGCTGCAGGGAGCAGGGCCCCCAGGGGGCCCAGTGCAGGGACAGCTTCGGAGCCCCTTTCCTCAAGCAGAGGCAGGGAGGTGCCCAGTGGCCTTCGGCTGTGTGTCCTGGTGCCCAAGCTTGCCCCTTCACCGGGGCGCTGTGGCTGGGGCCTGGGCTGTTGAGACGTTGTGGGGTGACTGGTTTGTGCCCCCACTGAAAGATACATCCATATCTTAACACCCAGGCCCTGTGATCAGGGCCTTATATGCAAATAAAGGGTGTCTGCAGATGTCATTAAATTGAGGATGTGGAGATGAGAGCAACCCAGATGATCCAGGGGGCCCCAAATCCAAGGACAGTTTCCTTAGAAGGGACAAGAGAGAGAGACACAGAGAAGGCCATGTGGAGGCGAAGGTGGGGAGTGCCCAGGGCCCCCAGAAGCTGGAAGAGGTGGGTGGATCCGCCCCCAGAGCCACCGGAGGAAGCACTCGATTCTGGACTCCGGCCTCCAGAACTGGGAGAGTCAATTCCTGTTGGCTGAAGCCAAGCGGTTTGTGGTCATTTGCTGCGGCAGCCCAGGCCACTCCGACACGAGGGAATGAGCTGAGCCCAGAGTCCTCCTGGGCCGTGGAGGCGGGGGGCGGGGGGACCTTTGCACCCGCATCGTCCAGTAACCTGGTGGGGGCTGGGGCGACCTTGGGAAGGCAGCTCCCGTTGTCCTTGGCTCATTTCCAGAGAGCATGAGCGGCCAACCTGAATGGAGGCTGGGGAGTGAGCCCCTTAGGCCGGGGGCCCCTGGGAGTGCACCCCACTTCCACCGCAGGAGGAAGGGCCGTGTGCAGTGGGCTGCGGGTCCCACACAAGCCTAGAAATGGGGGAGCAGGGGCCACCGTGTGCACCATTGTTGGCACCGCGTGTGTGGACACATTGGTGGTGGAGGCAGCAGCGCGGTCAGCTGAAGAGCGCGACGCCTAGAGCAAGTGAAGACGACCTTGACAAGCCCATGATCCTGTCAGGAGATCAATCTCCCTTCCAGCATGTTTTCAGTTTTTTACTGTAAAGAATTGCAAACACATGCCCAACCTAGAGAGGATGACAGGGCACACCGGCCCCGCCGGCGGTCCTCACACAGCCCTCTCTCCTCTCCACTCCCCTTAATGTGGCCCCGAGGCCTGGGGCCTCCTGAGAGAGGCACCTCCATCTGCCTTAAGCAGGGACAGGGCCTTCCAGGCAGCAAACCCGGGTTCAGAACCTGGACCCTTGTCTACACCAGCCAGGGCTGGAGGTTGGCCCTCTCAGCCTGGGGACTCATAGGGGTGCCCGAAACTCCAGGAATCAGCCCCCTGGGCCCCCACTGGGCCAGGTCAAAGTCAGTGTGGGTGGGAGGTATTTGCAAGATCGCCATGCAGGAAGTAGGGTCCCAGGGAGAGGACAGGCCCAGACAGCCATCGCCGCAGGCATCTGCCCACATGGAAAGCAAGGCGGTAAGCAGAGGCGATGGAATGTGTGTCAACACCGTGCAAAGGGCCAGTGTGGCCGGGGCTGGGGCAGCGAGGGCGGCAGCCAGGGGCCTCAAGGGGCGGGCAAGAGGCCCGGGAGGCTGGGACTGCCAGGAAGGAAGCCAGCTGCTCAGCCTGGGGCGCCCTCCCCGAGGCCTGCCCGCTCCCTACCAGCCAGACTTCTAGCCAAGCTCCAGAGCTGGGAGCCCAGCTGCCCACCTAGCATCTCACAGGGATGGCCTTGCACACTACACACCTCCACCCAAGTGGAGCAATTCTGTACATTCAAGTACAATTCAGTTGTACAATTCTGTACAATTCAAGTACATTCTCAAGTGTACTTGAGCAATTTCTGATGCCGAGCTCCCCTGCCGCGCCACATCTATAGTGGCTCCAGGTGCGGTTGCCTCTTCTCTCCACACCCCTCCCGGGAGCACACACGCAGGCATGTAGGCTGCTCCAAGGGGTTCTGGAAGGCTCTGGCCCTTTCTTCTTCAGCAACCTCCTAAGGGGCTGGGTGAGGAGTGAGCGGCCAACACACATACATGCATACACACACACGTACACTAGCCTCTGCATTTCATATACATGTGAAAATCATTTGCTCCCCAATGCAGGTAACATGAGAGGCTGGGCCCTGCAGCTCTGAGGCTGTCTGCACAAACAGATCCTGAGAGAGAATAGCCTCAAGGGGTCTGTCAGCCTGTGGCCAAGTCAGATGGTCACGTCCTGTTTGCCCTGGGTGACTGGTCCAGAGGTGGGCCTCCCCGTGAGGACTCGACTGCTAGGGCCAGCAACCAGCACTGAATGCCCGTGGCCCAGGTATGGGGCAGAGTGCCTCCCTCCCTCCCCCAGCAGGCCTGCCTCACCAGGACCCTCTCACCCACACTCTGGAGGGTACACAGGGCCAAGAGCCGGGGGAGGGGGCAAGGGAAGGGATTAGCCCCAGGCAGCCAGCTAAAACGGGGTCCAGGAGCAAGGCGGCACTGAGGGGCCTCAAAGGCCAGCAGCATCAGGCTGGCAAGGACGCATACATGAGCACACACTCGGAACACGCGGGAGTGCCTGCCTGTGTGCCTGCAGGCAGGAGTGTGCAGGAGGCCGTGTGAGAGCCTGGGGAGGGCTGCGCCAGTGAACAAGGCAGGCCCATGTGTGTGTGTGTGTGTGTGTGTGTGTGTGTGTGTCTGTCTGTCTGTCTGTCTGCCTGTGCATGTCTGTGTCTGTGTACACACATAAGTGCATTTGTGCATGACCCAGGGGAGCAAGTGCGCCCTGCCTCAGGGACTCCAGGAGCCGAGCTGGCATTCAGGAAGCATCTTTAGGCTCTTGAACAAAAGGGCAGCCTCTGCTGTCTCCCTCCCCACAGCTCCCTCCTCTGAGGTGGCAGCCGTGTGGCACATCCCGGCTCTTCAACCTTCAGCCTCATTTTTATCCTGAATATCTACACACTTGCGTGCACACGCACATGAGCACACGCACAAACGCCCTGTGGTACAGTACACTCCAGGAATACTATGGACCATCTTTCTTTCTTTTCTTTCTTTTTTTTTTTTTTGAGATGGAGTCTTGCTCTTGTCACCCAGGCTGGAATGCAGTGACACTATCTCGGCTCACTGAAACCTCCGCCTCCCAGGTTCAATCAATTCTCCTGACTCAGCCTCCTGAGTAGCTGGGATCACAGGCGTGCACCACCACACCCGGTTAATTTTTGTATTTTTAGTAGAGACGGGGTTTTACCATGTTGGCCAGGCTTCTCTCGAACTCCTGACCTCAACTGATCCACCTGCCTCGGCCTCCCAAAGTGCTGGGATTACAGGCGAGAGCCACTGCGCCCGGCCTACAGACCCTCTTTCTAGGTCCCTGAGCAGGGGAAGTATTTCTGTGCCTCCGTGCTCTTGCCCATGCTGTGCCCCCAGCCTGCTACGACTTGCTTTCCAGAGCCACCTGGTGAACTCCTACTTTGAGCGGCAGCTCAGTGGCCTGCCGTCTTCCTCTGCAGAGCCAGTGGCTTTCCCTGGTCCTGTCCTACCTGTGGGTCTTGTGAGCTACTTGTTAAAAGTGAGTCACTTGCTCCTGAGACCTCAGCCACCATCCCAGTAACTATCACAGACCTAGATTGTCCCCAGAACCCAACTGAATTGGTTCATCCATTCACTCCACAGGCACGGATTGGGAGCTTACTGCATCATGCTTCTCCCTAAAGATAAGCTCTTAGTTAACATCACCAGCCATGAATTACTATACTGGAATACACACTCAGGAAAAGCCATAATGTAGACCAGGATTTAAAGAAATGCCATTTAACTAAGAAAAAACTAAGGACCTTGTTTCAATATCAGCCATGAGCTGCCACTGCTTGTTAAATATGAGTCTATGTCAGAGGCAGAATAAACAATTCATCAAACACCTCTTTAAGGAGTTACAAGTTTCTTATCAAAACCTCCAGCCCCATTTGTGCTTCTGTTATATCGGCATCTCCAAGTGGATGAGAATGTTCACTGGTAGCTTTGTCCCTTTTCCATGGTGAGGGGCAGAGGGAGGTGCAGGCTGTCCTTCCTCTTCCTCAGTCTCGGTCTGGAATAGCTAAAGAAAGCAAAACTACCTCCTCTGAGTTGAGTCTCTTTTCACGGAGACCCTCTTCTGTTGCCAGGCGCCAAATATCATGAAAACTGTAACTGGTTAAAAAAAAATCACCTGCATAAAAATCTTTAAAATTCATTTCAACAACAAAACTGTGTATGATAAAGGGTCATTCCACCAAGAAAACATAGCAATCTTAAATGCGTATACACCAAACCACAGAACTGCAAAATATGTGAAGCAAAAACTCATAAAACTGGAGGGCTAGGTGCAGTGACTCATGCCTGTTACCCCAGCACTTTGGAAGACTGAGGCCGGCAGATTGCTTTGGCTCATGAGTTCAAGACCAGCCTGGGCAACATGGCAAAACCCCATATCTACAAAAAAATATAAAAATCAGCCGGGTGTGGTGGTGTGTGCCTGTGGTCCCAGCTACTTGGGAGGCTGAAGTGGGAGGATCACCGGAGCCTGGGAGGTTGAGACTGCAGTGAGCTGTGATTATCCTACTGCACTCCAGCCTGGGCAACAGAACCAGATCCTGTCTCAATAACAAACAACTCTAATAAAACTGGAAGGGGAAATAGACAAATCCACAATTATGGTTGGAGATTTTAACACACTTCTCTCAAAAATTGACAAAACAACTAGACAGAAAATCAGCAAATTATAAAAGAACTCAACATTACCATCTATAAACAGGATCTGATAGACATTTACAGAACACTCTGCCCAACAACAGCAGAATACCCATGGGGCACATCCCAATATAGACGATATCCCAGGCAAACCTCAACGAATTTAACAGAGCTAAAATCATACAGTGTGTTCACTGACCACAATAGAATCAAATTCCAAATGAATCACAGCAAAATCTCCAAACACCAGGAAAGTAAACAACATGCTTCTAAATAGCCCATGGGTCCAAGAGGAAGTCTAAAGGAAAAACTTTTTAAATACACCAAAATAGTCAAAAACAAAACTACAAAACAGGAAAATTTGTGGGATGCAGCTAAAGCAGTGCCCTGGGGGACATTTATAGCACAAAAAGAAAGGCAATTTTTTCTCTCCCTAAAAAGGAATCAGTTTCTCAGAGGCAGGTTGGTGCATGGGAGAGGGTTGACTTGAACAATATCTGGAGAGCTCAAAGCTTTCAAAAAACATTAAACCCTGAATATATCGGGAAGCTGGAAGATGTTAGAGCACTTACATTTACTTTCCTGGATCCAGACTTCACATCGAAGAGTTTAATTGAACTCTGGGTCTACCTCCAGCTGGCTGAATTAGTCTGAACAAGAACAAGTCATTCAGATGTTCAGAGTCTTCATTTCCTCATCTGTGAAATGCTAAGACCCTCAACTTCACAGGGATCTTTTTGAGTTAAACGATAGAGCACTTAAGAAAGCTTCCCGAAACTCCCGAAGCACTGCATTCATTTGCTAGAGCTGCTGTCAAAAAATGCTGCACACGGGATGTGTGAAAACAGCACACATTTATTCTCTCCCAGCTCTGGAGGCCAGAAGTTCAAGATCAGGGTGTCGGCAGGGCTGTGGTCCCTCTGAAGGCTGGAGGGAAAGGTCCGTCCCAGGCCTCTCCCCTGGCTTCTGTCGGGTTGTGGCTGATCTTTGGTGTTCTCTGGCTTGTGGATCTCTGCCTCCACAGCAAGCTCTATACTAAGGCTGTACTAGAAAGTGTTAGCCTTGTCTCTATTGTATCCTTTGATATATATATACATATATATATAGCTCAACCTTGGCTGCCTCCTTGCCAGTTGGCCTACGTGGCTGAGAGGCGTTCTGCTGTCCCCGTCCTTGTGAAGGTATATGCACAGCTATGTGTGGACATAGTGTGGCTGCTCTGGCTCCGGACAGGGCCAGCTTCCTCACTGCTTCCAGCCCCATCTCACCCAGGGCCTCTGCAGCCCTGGGAGCAGCCAGGCTCTCGGCGCACATCTCTGAGCCTGCCCAGGAGGATTCGGGCAGTCACCCGAGCACCTGGTCCCTCACGGAGGCGCACTCTGCCTGAATCCCTCCTCCCAGATGACGAGCGCTCACACGAGGCTTCGGTTTCCTCAGTAACCAAGGCCTGCAGCTGACTGGTCACAGAATTCCAGGGAGAGGTGTCCCAGGGACCACCATTGTGATGACATGGCAGCTGGCCCTCCTCCTGCCCCTGTCCCCCCTTATTCCTCTAGCGCACGCCTAGCCAGCCCCTGGGGGGTGGCCAGCCCGCCTCAGGCCAGGCCAGCTGAGGGAGACTGGGAGGCCTGTGGCCAGCCTGGCCCTGGCAGCCACACTCTGTGCTCTCTGAGACGGCGCACAGCCACCTGGAGCATCATGAAACCATGAAGGGTGCCCAGGTGCCAGGAGAAGGGAGCAGGGCTAGGCCGGGGCTGGGCTGGGAAGGCCGGAGGGGCCTCCAACAGAGGTCAGGGTGCATTTAGAGAAAGGGAATGGCAGAAACAAGGGACTGACAGCAGCAACAGGGACCCAGCGGGCTCCCTGGAGCAGAAGTGGGGACAGGTGGGCAGGTGAGAGGCAGGGGGAGAAAAGGCTCAGTGCCCTCGGGCTCTGGGGCACGCCAGTGCACGGGAGAAAGGGATTCCACAGCAGGCCCATGGGCCTCACCCAGGAATTCCCAGTCTTTTCAAGACAGGACAAGGCCACAGAAAGAACGAGGCCGCATGGTACACACCAAGATGAGGGTAGGGGGAGGACCTGGGTAGGGGGAGGACCTGGGCAGGGAAGGGACTGCGGGGTGTGCCTCGAGTGCCACCTGCGGGCATGGGCCTCTCTGGGCCCCAATAGCGTAGCCAGGCAGAAAGCCGCCCCAGTTCGCCATGCTCCACTCAGAACTCGGTACCCAGTGCAGTGGCTCGCACCTGCAATCCCAGCGCTTTGGGAGGCCCAGGCAGGAGGATCACTTGAGCCCAGGAGTTCCAGACCAGTCTGGACAACATAGGGAGACCCTGTCTCAACAAAAAAAAAAAAAAAATTGATTAGCCAAGTGGGTGGTGCGTGCCTGTTGTCCCAACTACTTGGAGGGCTGAGGTGGAGGATCGCTTGAGCCTGGGGGTTGAGGCTGCAGTGAACTGTGATTGATCCACTGCCCTCCAGCCTGGGTGACAGAGTGAGACCCTGTCTCAAAAAATAAATAAATAAATAAACAACCCACCAGAAATCTGTGCCCAGGCCCGATGCCAGGCACCCTGGAGCACAGAGGCATCTGCAGTGCCCATGCCCTCACCAGCTGGCCGATGCCACGCGGGAGGGAAGCAGGGCACCTGAGGGGCATGCCCAGCACTGTG
This sequence comes from Homo sapiens, assembly GCF_000001405.40. Classification (NCBI taxonomy): domain Eukaryota; kingdom Metazoa; phylum Chordata; class Mammalia; order Primates; family Hominidae; genus Homo; species Homo sapiens. The sequence goes on from NC_000023.11 coordinate 153,633,800, forward strand.
GGGCCAACAGGGAGGAGGGGAGGACACTGCAGGCGGGGAACACGGTGCCAGGACACCGAGCCAAGAAGCAACCTGCTGAGGGGGGTAAGGACCATGCCCACTGCAGGCCAAGGGGTGCCTGGAGGGAGTGGGGCATCTTGCAAAGGCTGGAGGGCCCCTCTCAGGCCAGGACATGACACGAATGTGGGGTTCCGCATCTCTCTGTCAGTGCGCCCCACAGCCCATCAGAGGCCGTGTCCAGCTGCTCCTCCAGGCCCCAAGCCTCTCATCGTCATCTGTCATCAGCGGCATCCCCCTCGCACAACCCTGTGCTCATGGACAGATGCCCACTCTCTCCACCGAGAAAGCATTGGGAGAGCACTGCTGGGCTGGGGACAGGACCTCAAGGGGTTGATTTCTGCTCTGCATGCTCACCCCCTCCCCTCCTCCTTTGGGGGACACCCCAACCCTGCCCATCTCCATCTCAGGCACCCCCTCCCACAATTGTGCTATAGCCCGGCTTCCTCCTTCAGTGAAGGGTGGAGGGAGCGCAGGGGGCCAGGCAGTGGCCCAGGAGCCCTGACCCACTCCCCACCCACTGCCCCATCCTACCTACAGACACAGCCGCACAGGGCCACCAGAGCAGGGATCTCAGGCTCTTTAATTCCTTCCCTCCTGGGGTCTACACACATTGCTACGGCCCCATCCCAGAGCCAGGCCGGGTGCAAAGCCCTGGAGACAGATGCCGCTCCTCCAAACGTCCCGTCTGCTCCTCAGCCAAGGACAGCAGTGGTCCGGGGCAAGCAGGACACAGGCATTCTGTGTTGGGTGGTCCTAGCAAAGGAAAGAAAGGACTCTCGTGCCAGCACCAGCATTGAGGGGAGGCTGGAAAGATGAGTGCCCTGCCAGGCAGATGTGGGGCAGCGTGTACAGCAGGAGGGTGCAGGCACATAGGCAAAGATGTGGGTGAATGTACTTTGCACATGTGATGGACATGAAGTGAGGGAACAGAGAGAGGACTGCAGCACGCTAAACAGTGCCCCCCCAAAATATCTGTCCACCTGGAGCCTCAGCATGTGACCTTCTTTAGAATAAGGCAAGGGAACACGCGATATCCTGCTTCGTTCTGGCAACTGCAAGGCGCGAGTTGGGGCTGGAATGTGGGCCTGGAGGAAGTCGGGGAGAGGACTCCGGGGAAGCGAGCAGGAGCCAGATGGCTCAGGGCCGTGGAGCTGGACTTTGTCCTTGAGGCCACGAGGGGCCACTGAAGGGGGCTGAGAGGAGAAGTGGCCAGGCATCTGGGCAAGGACACTTCCTCTGGCCTTGATGTGGAGGATGGGTGCGAGGCTGGGGCCGTCGTCCAAGCGAGAGGGGACAGGGCCTGGGTGAAGAGAAAATCCAGCAATGTGAGGGGTGATTATGGAGAGAGAGGAATCAAGGGCACCCCCGAGTTTGGGGTGTGGAGGGAAGAACTTTGGGACATCCAGGCAGCAATGGAGCTACAGGCATGGAACCCAGGAGACACTGATGTCACAGTCGTCCCCCAGAAGAGGGACATAAGAAAGAGACTTGGGACAAGTGGCCAGAGTGAGGGAAAGAAAACCAGGAGGGGGTGGGCATGAGGAGGGAGGCCTTAGGAGGGGACCCAAGCAAGCAGGGGCAGGTGGAGGAAGAGCCTTGCAGGCCTTGGAGTTTGGCAGGAGGCAGATGAGTCCCGTCTGGAAGCCGCCACTTCTCAAGGAAGGCGATGCCAGCTGGCCTGGGCTCTGGGGAGGCGGGTGGGAGAACACACAGCACCCACCGGCAGCAGCTCAGGAGAAACCAGGCCAAAGGGGGCTCTCAACTTGGAAGCTGTGGGGTGGCACAGAACAATTTTGAGATGCTCAGGCCTTTTAGGGAGGTCAGGATGGGCAGGCTCAAGGCTGGTGGCCAGGGGATGAGGGCCAGAGGATGGAGGACACGGGGATGGGAGGAGCCCTGGGGGATAGGTGGGCTTGGCTGAGGAGAGGACGTTCTGGGCACTACACGTCCCCTTTTCCTGAAGACAGCCTCTGGACACTTCTCTCCCTTGCGGCCTACAGAGCCTACCCAGGCAGACCCGATGTGGCTGTCACTGAGATAAGAGCCCTGGGCTTGTGTCTGGGACACGTGAGTTTGAGAAGCCTGGAGGTCACCCAAGGGAACCCACCTGGGGGCAGCTGGGCCCAGGAGCCTGGGGCAGAGACCTGGTGTCACAGGCCAGTGTATGAGCACTGGAGTGAAGTCAGCCAGGCGGTGGGCTAGGAGGTCCCGACACTCATCCCTCCCCCAAAACAACAATCAATAAGCGACATGCTCAGAGAAACAGGATGGCAGTCTGCTGAGGATCACCAGCTCCTGGTCCTACAGGTCTTCGGGCAACATGAGAAGTGACAAGCGACAGGTAGCACCGACCCAAACTATGAGGACACAAAAGACCCTTCAGAGGCCGAGCAAGGGCCTTCACTGTGGCTCCCTTGGGGCCCTTGAGGTTCTGGCTGAGCTGGGCCGAGAAGAGGGAAGTGAGCATGCACCAGAGACGCCGCCTGCCAGGAGACCCGGCCCAAGAGCTTCCAGGCAGATCTCCCTGCCTTGCCTGTGCTGAGCTCCAAAGAACCACCCACCATCCACCATAGGGCAATTCTGACCACAGCCAGCCAGGGGGCAGTGCTGGGAGCAGGCCAATCCTCAGATGCCAAGGAGCCAGCCTCAGCACCAGCCATCTGTGACACCTCCCTCTGGCTGGGCTCACCACTGCAGCGGGTAGCACAAGAAAGGCAGCAGCCCTGCGGCTTCTGCTTGGACCCTCTAGAGACGGGACGCACACCCCTCCAGGAAGCCAGTCTCAAGCTGGCTGCCCTGCCGACTGGGAAGTCCACCTAGGCTCATGGTCCTGGGGATCCCATCCTCAGCCTCCCCTGCTTTCCCCTTTAGGGCTGAGAAGAACAGGCAGCCATGGTCCTCATGGCTCTGGCCAGCTCTCCAACCACGCATCCTGAGAGCTGAGCCTTACAGGCTGACAGACTGGACCCTGGGTCACCCTCATGGTCCCAGCCCATGTCAGCCACAGCCGTCCTTCTTGGAGCTCAAAAGGCAGTGAAGAACGAGTCTCAGGCCCTGCTCCAGGTGGTGACAGCAGTGGCCAGGACTGATGACTAACTCCCAGAGCCGCCTGTGTGCACCCTCCTTTTCTCTGTATAACACTGACATGGCAGTGGGCATGCAGTGTGCAGTGGTGGAAGGGAGATGGCTGTGGAGATGGTTACCCTGTCGTTGCAGGCAGGGCAGTAAGAAGCCCTGGAAGGGGCTCAGTGACCTGCCACAGCCTCCCACCGGGAAAGGCCAGGCTGCATGCCTGACCCCACACAAGGAGCCTTGGCTGTCCCCTTCCCATCCATGGCATCTCTCAGGCAGAGGCCCACTGGCCCTCTCCGCGTGGATGCGGTTGATCCCTGGGACGTGGCTGCCACCTTTCTCACCTTCCCCCTCCTCTCCACCTTCTCTCTGCCCAGGAGCCGGCCCCGAGGTGTGGGCAGGTCACGTGGCACCGCATCTGCACTGCTCTCCTCTCTGGGGCCCTCGGGACCCAAATCAGCCACCGATGTGGGAAGCAGGTACTGAGGGGTAATAGCCGCTCTCTAAATTTAGACGGGAGAACTCCCCAGAGAGCTGGCAGAAATATCCCGAGCCTTCCTGTGGCGAGGCTCTCAGGCAGGAGAATGAAGAGGGGGCAGCGAGAACCCGGGGATGGGGGGCAGCAGGGCTAAGAGAAGGTGACAGAGGAGAAGGCCCACACCTGGGCTGGGGTGCACATGCTCTGGACCACAGCCTTGAACTCCACCCTGGTGGGGGCGGCCCACATTCAAGGACAGGCCAGCTCTTCTCTGCAATTCCGGTCGCACCCATGGCTCTCCAGCACCCTTCTGCAACCAGGAGGGAGCTGCCTCCTTCCTTGCTCTGGCCGGGTGGGTGGCTTGCCAGGTGACTGAGGCCTGAGCCAGCAGCTCCCCTCCTGCCTGTCCCCCAGCCTATAAGAAAGAGCCACTCAAGGGCAGAGGCAGTTCCCTGCGGAGGGGCGCCCTGGCCATGGGGCCCTGGCTGCTAGTCTGTGGAACTGAGCACATAGCCCGGTCACCGCCCCCACATTCCATACTTCAGCATCCTCATCCAGAAGCAAACAAGAAGTGCAGCAAACAGCATGGCTTGTCCTCACGGTCACGGCACCAGTGGTGGGAGGGAGGAGACCCTCATCTGTCCCTGGAGCTGCTGTCACCATTACCCAAGGGGCCTGCACACAAGGTGGAAGCTTCAGGACAGCTGTGCTTCCAAGGGTGGCCCACGCGGCGCCCCTGTCCTGGAGGCCACAAGTCTCCATCAGCTGGGACTCCTTGCCTGGAAGGTGACTCGTGGCACCCACAGCTGTGATTCTGTCTCCAGCTGTGCCCCTGATCGCTGCAGGGCCTTGGGCAAGTGGCAGCGGTGGGCAGGAGAGGTGCTGGGTGCTCCCAGATGCCAGAGCAGCAAGGGGCTCAGCAGCCTGAGGGTGGGGATGGGTCTGGGTGCAGGAAGCCAATGGGGCCCACCAGGCTGGGCCTTTCGGTGCTGGGAGGAGATGGGGAGTGGTGGAGGGAGGCAGCCAGACAAGCCAACAGGTGCTGTGACCGAGCGCGCAGGGGCAGAGGCCCCCGAGGAGTGAGATGAGAAAAACCCACAGCCTCCAGGAGCCGCTCTCCACCCCCACAGACATCTGAGCCAGGGCAAGCGCTCGCCACAAGCCCCTGCCTGGGCCTGGCCATGGCTGCCTGTCTCGTGTCTTATCTTGTTACCTGTGGTGAGACACCCTGACTGGAGAAGCATGTTCCTGGAAGGGGGACGGGGTGGGGGATGCTGAAATGCGGCCAGAAAGGCAGGTGGGCCTTTCCTCCTGGGCCAGGCGGGGCAAAGGTTGGGGGGATCTGCAGCAGGGGAGCCAGGTGGACTGGGAACATCCTTGGCACCCCCAATCTCCCCAGACCCATCGTTTCACCCTTGGTGGCTCCCCTCTCTCCTGGTTCCCTTAGCCCTGGACGTCCCTGGGCCACGCGGGAAAGTCACCTGCTGCCCTCTCTCCTCCTCTTCCCCTGCATGGGGTCTGGACAGAGGCTCCTTGTCTCCCCTCACTTCCCTTCCCCTGTCTAGCCCAGGGCTGTGGGTGGCTGGCTGTCCCGGTAAAAGGATTATATCATCTGTAATGTATATCCAGACGCACATGCACTGCTGCTCGGGAGGACAAGACAAGGAGAGGGAGCCAGTGCAGCTGGCCAGAGGGGAATTGTATTGAACCTGAACCTGAGCCCTCCCCAAATGGGGGTGCTAATGGCTCACCAGGTCCCGGCCCGCAGAAATCAATCGCTGCACAGGCTGGCGCTCTGTGCTCTACCCCCCTCCCTTCCCTCTCACCTACCTCCTGTCCCTCCCTGGTGCTCACACCCCTGGGCACTCAGCTGCCCGGCTGGCCTGCCTTTGACCTCGTCTGCAAGTGACATTTCAGAGCCATTTTGTTTCAAATGTCTGGGCAGGGCTCCTTTGGGAGCGGCTGCAGACAGGTAGGGTGCTTCTGAAGACATGGTAACTGGTAGCGGGGTACATCTAGAAGATGCCGGCTGAAGCGCTTCAGATATGGGAGGGTGCAGAGGGAGGAGTTGGAGGGTTGGCGCAGGGGGGTGGGGGGATTGTCATGTGAACAGAAGGCTTCAGCTGCAGAAGCCATCTCTGTGGGACCCAATGGTTACCCAGAAATGAAGTCTCGGATGTGTGTGCACCCTGGCTCCGGAGCCCGCAGATGTGATCCAGGTTCCATGCAGGGACACAGGCAGGGAGGACCCAGCACTCGGAGGCAGCAGCAGCAGGCGCCGTGGTGTGCTGAGACAAGCCAACAGCAGGGCAGCGTGGGGACCATGGGCGGGGCCCTGAGGAGGGCGCTTGGCTTATGGCAGGAACGTGCCTGCCCCTGTGCCAGCTGTGAGGCTTTGACGGCCATCACCTTTCCCACGGTCTCTCCCCAAAACCTCATTTGCCTGGAGAGTGGCCCGGAATCGGGCCCTGAACAAACTGTCCCTTAACAGATATGGATGCCTTCAGCCAAAGCCCTCCATGTCAGAGGGTGTGAGTTGGGCCGGCCGCCAGAGGCACTGCTAGGCTAAAGACCTCTCTACCCCCAGCAAAGTGCAGCTCCCGTGCCCCTCCACCTTGCCCGGGGCTGGCGGTTCCTGTGTCTGATTTCAAGGTCTCTGGGGAGCACCTTTGGGATTCGGGAGGGCGTGGGGTCTGACAGGAAACAAGATGGCCACTTCCCAATGGCCATCCCCAAGGAAGGGACAGGAAGGACGGCAGTGGCCTTGGGGTTCCGGGTGGAATGGAGGGCGAGGGCTGGGGCGGCCCCGTCGCCTCACCCTGAGACTCCCGTCAGCAGCAGATGGACCCAGCTGCTTCGGAGTCAGAGACCCAGCTGTGCCCTCGGTTCTGCCAAGCAAACTTGCACTCACTCAAGTCCCCCTTGGGAGTGTTCTGCATTTTCTTCCCCAGCCCTGGGGATGAAGAGGGAACCGCTATTTCCTGAGGCCGAGCAGGCCTGTGCCTCACGAGCTCCCCGGGCATCTCCGGGCAGGCCTGGCCTTTGCATGCTCCTCTTCCGGCAACGGATGGGTCTTGTTGCCTGGAGAGCAGAGACACCAGGAGGGCTGGGAGTGGGAGCTGTGCAGGGGCGAGGGTGGCATTCTTCAATCCAAATGTTTCTCCGCCAGCCTCTCAGCCCTGAGTCACTAAAGCACAGGATGGTGGCGGAGGGGAGGATGTTAACAAACCTTGCTAGAAGCTCCTCCGAGTCAGCTCACCCACCAAGCCTTTGCCGGGGGTCAGCTGGGCACCCAGGCCATGGGCACAGCTGTCGTACGTCCTTCCCAAACAGGAGGTGCCCTCAGTGGAGGGGGAGTGTGAAAGGCAGTCCCCTGTTTGTAGGGCACAGCTTCTATGGAATATTGATTTCTTAGGAAAGGTTCCGTAACTTCAGCACGTCTAGCAGTACGGGCACCAGTGGCAGCTGCATGTGCTCGCCTGCGTGGCATAGCCTTGGGTAGGTGCAAGCTCAAGTCCTGGGCAGCCTGACTCCCCAAGGCTGTAGGGGAGAGCCCCAGTGCAGTCCCATGAGGCCCAGCGTCCAGAGCAGGAAGACAGTTGCAGGGCCAGAGGCCTGCTCCCAGGAGGGGCTGTGCTGCCGCCAAGGCTGAAAAGGTGCAGAGGAGCAGTCGGGGCCCAGAGCAGGGTGGGCAGGCCTGGCTGGCGACAGCAGGACCCTCCCAGCTCACGCACCATGGCTTGAAACTGCAGCACAGCTAGGAGGGTCCTTGGAGATCACATGGTCCCACCTCTCTCCCCAAACGTACATACCAGGAAATGGAGACCCAGATGGGACAGGGACCTGGGCTCCAGAGGCAAAGCTGCTGCCCTCGCCTCTTCCAGGGGTAATGACTCAGGGGAATTCAGCGCTGCGGCAGACACAGCCAAGCGGCCAGCGGAGCTGCTGGCATCCCAGCCCTGCCTGGCCGCACCTTATCCTGCGCTCCCTGGGCGGAGAAGACGGCCCTTGATGCTCACAGCCTCCTGCCGGGTCTCAGGCAATCCCCCACTGCAGGCACGAGGCCGGGCTCATACACTGCTGGTCTGGGAGCCCCAGAAAGGCCAGGTGCACATCTCCACGGGCTGTCCTCTGCCTCCCCTCCCCACGCAATCTTCCGCACTCACACTCGCTCAGGCTCTAGGCTTCTGAACTCAGCCAGCCCAAGCCACATCCTACTCTGCCACTACACTATTGTGCCACCACCAGGGAGCCACGGACTCAGTTTCCCTGGCTGTAGCATGGGGACAATCCCCTCAGACTTCCGGAACTGCTGTAAGGATAAAATGAGGTCCTTGATGGCAATGCGTGTGACCTTTGGCACAAAGGAGAAAGCTAACGGGACCTAGTGACAACAGCCGCTCCCTACTCGCTTCCAGCCCCTCCCCCACCCAAACGTCCTGGCTCCACCCCTTCCAGGCACTGAGGCTCAAATGCTATTACTATTAGCCAGAATCTGACACATGAGAATGAGAGGAGACACTGCAGGGGGACCTGGGGTGGGGGATGGAATTGGCAGCGCTGTCAGCCAGACTTTATACCCTCTTCACTGTGGGAGCAGGAGGTGGCTCTGGGGCACCAAGTTGCGCCCAGTCCTCAATGGGCCCCTTCGCTGGGGTGCCAGTGCAGATTCTGCGCGTAACCGTCCACCTAGCCCAGGCCCAGCCTAGTTCAGGGCCCCCAACCCCACTCCCGCGCCCCAAGCGCCGGAGCCCCCACTCATTGGCGCCACTGGGGACCGGGGAGCGCAGGGCGCGTCGGGCAGGACTGGCCTAGAGAACAGAGGCTTGCAGGTGGGAGGAAGGCGGCGGGGGGTGGGGGGGGCGTGGGAGGTGGAGGGAGACGCCGGGCAGGCCGCGGCCCCTCCCCGCTCCCTCCCCGCGAGCCGCCAGCTACAGTGCCCCTCCTGGGCAGGGGGCGGAGAAGACGGCGACTGGAGGGGAGGAGGCGGCGGCAGAGGCGGAGGAGGCAGCGGCGGCGGAGGCGGGATTTGGAGTTTCCCTCCGCAGCGGCGGCGGCGGCTGCCCCTCGGCTCCAGGAGAGGCCGCCACCCGGGGTTCCGGTGGCGTTAGGCTGCAGCAGTGGCGCTTCCCGCCGCCCGAGCTTCGGAAACTTCCCGGCCGCGACGCAGGGAACCGGCGCGGAGAACCGAGCAGAGCGGAGGTGAGTGGAGCAAGCGGCGCCCCGGGGACCCCCACCCCCCACCCGGCCTGGCTGCCCCCGCCCCGACGTGCGCTCCTCCACCCTGCACCCCCAAAGTCCTGACAACGCACACCCCACGAAGCCGGCGCACGCGCCCCTACGACACCCATTCGGTGCTGCTCCGCACACCCCCGCACGCCGCCCGTGCACCTCCCGTGTCTCCTGCCACTTGCACCGGCTGCACACTCGCGCGCATACAAACCACGCACCACAGACCCGGGTGCCTGTAGTGCACACACTAGCTGCCCCTGCCCCACCACTCACCACTGTCCCCAACTCATGCCAACCCACCGAGACCCTGCCACGCCCCAGTACACACCCAGGCGCACACGCACGCTTCCAACACGTCTCTGCCATACCTGCACCAACATAGCTCCCCCTACCATGCCCCCACCACCTCGAACTCCCCATCTGCCCATTACAGACACCCCACCCACGTTGCCAGCCCAGAGACACTGCAGTCCACCCATCCTGGAGCGAGGTCCCGTCAGAAACCCACATCCCAGTGGCTGACGCTCCCCACGTCCCAGGCACACACCTCCAGCATCTCCAACGCGCACTCTCATCCACCCCAGCACGCGCGCACACCTGCTGGATTCACGCTCTCCAGCATCCTGCCCCGCCCCCATCACAAATAGCCTTCGACACCCCCCAGCACATCTCTGAGTCCCTCCCTCCCTCACCCCCAACACCTGGCACGCGGGCTCTAGAGGCTGCAGCATTTGGTGGCATCCCTGCCAGGCACCTCTGGCTCCCCTTCGGCAGAGGCTCAGCAGCCTTGGGCCCCCCAGGTGCCTCCCTAAACAGACCTTGAGACTCCCCAGCGACTAGCTTGGCCTCTTCCCTAAGAAATAAAGAAGGCACTTTGGGGTCCAAGGTAGGGTACTTAGATGTGGAAGCAAGGGGCCCCGGGGAGGGGCGGGGAGGCGGCGGAGAGAGCCCGGCGCTGAAATGGAGGCGGCCCAGGTGGGACCAAAGGGGCGCCAGCTGCCCGGCAAGCACGTAGTAGGTGGGTTCCATGGGGGCTGGCGTCCGCGCGCGCTGTCTGGGTGCCTGCCTGCGTGTGTGTTACGGGGAGGGCTGTGTGTGCACGTGTGCTTGTGCGTGTCGGGGTGGGGGAGGAGTGTGTGATCGGCAGAAGGAAAAGCAGGAGCAGCTCCCTCAGGCAACAATTGGTTTCATTCATTCATGCCTTCTTTGTTAACGAGCATTTCTTCCGCGAGCGCCGGGCGCGTGCCAGGCCCTGCACTGGGGGCTGGGGCCAGCCTGGGGCCGGGCACACACCCGTTCCTGCCTTGGAGGAACTCCCAGTCCCGCGAGGAGACCGACCAGGAAAAGCAGAAAGCCATCCCCAGCAGAAAGTGGATTTGGTGGAAAAGACACTGGATTTGGCAGGCACGCTGTCGCCGGGACTTGTGCTCTTGGCCATGTGACCCGGCCGCGACAGCCGAAATCCTGTCACTCGGCCCGGCGGGAACGGTGCATCTCGTGGGGGAAGGCGGCGCGGCGCCGCTCTCGGGAGGCTCCCGGGACCAGAGGGCGCACGCGGCGCGCGCGAGGCCTGCAGGCGGCGGCGTCCCCGCGGCCTCCAGGGGGCGCTGGCCCGGCCCGGCGGAGGCCCGGGGCGCCCGGCGGGGGCGGGTGCGGGGGCGGGGGCGGGGGCGGCAGGCGCAGCGCCCACCCTGCGGCGGGCAGCGAGCGCGCGGCCTGGCTCAGCCCGCCGGAGGGGGCCAGACGAGGCCCGGGCGCGCGGCGCGGCCTCCCCCAGCACAGCGCACCCGGGAGCGGCTGCCGGCGGGGCGGCGCCCAGAGCCGGCGCTACAGGGGGCCTGAGTGGGGGCGGCCCGGCGAGGGTCGCGGGTGAGAGGGGGATTAGGGGGTTGGCTGCGCTCAGCCCTGCAGTGCGGAGGTGGCAACAGGTTCCCATTTGTCCTGTTGCTGGCGCTGCGGGCGCTGTGGGCCCCGAGCACTGAGCTCTGACTTTGGAAATTGAGCCCCTCATGGCCTCCTCCCAAATGCTTTCTCCCGGTGCGAGGACTTGGCAGCAGGGCTCCGCAGTTAGGTGCAGGGGAGCCCCTCGCCAAGCGTCGGGAGACGTGGACCCTTGGATCCTAGGCTTCCCCTCCCTTCCCCATTGCGGAGGTTGCCTCTCCCCGTCCTCATTCCAGCCCAGCTCCTCTCACCTCCAGGGAACCCTCTCCAGAGAGCGCCACTGAGCAGCTCAGGAGCTCCCTCTCTAGCCGAACTGAGCCCCCACGGCAGGGCGGGCCGGGGAAGTGGCTGTCCAGCTCCCTGCTGGTCACAGCCCTGCGCCACCCCCACTCTCCACAACAAGACTGGCACATGGCAGAACCTCCGTGGTGCCTTCAACCCCTGCCCACTCTGAGCTCCCACCCACAGCTGCAGTGGGCCTGGAGGCAGCCCCCAGGCTGGGTGCCGGTGTCCACCTCCACCACTGTGGAGCTAGGCTGTGGACAGAAAACAGAAGACAAAGTCCCTGCCCCAGGAACACACTGAGAAAGGGGGAAAGTGACCACACTAGGGAGCACAGAGGAGGGAGACTACTGGCTCCGAGTTGGGAAGGCTGCCTGGAGGAGGGGGCCTGAAGAATGAGCAGAATCTCAGAATCTGGGCAGGGGGCATAGGAGGGAGGCCTGGGCTGGGGCCCTTGCCCACTGGGTGAGAGAAGGAAGGGCACAGTCCAGCTGCCCAAAGCCCTTGGATGCAGGAATTAGGACTCTTGTTAGACGCAGGGACATGGGGGGTGTGGCCGGAAAGCAGCCCAGTGCCAGGGTCCTGGGAGTCCCCGGCTAGCAGCCCACTGCCCGAAAGGGAGGGAGAGAGGCAAACTGGAAGCCCCTTAGAGGTGACCCACCTAGCTTTCCGTCACCTGCCCTCTTACCTAACCATGACCTGAGACATTTTCTCCTCTAACTCCATGGCTCCTGAGAGGAGTCTTTAGACTCGTAGTTTGCTTTGCATTTTCCACTTGTTAGAAAAATGCTTTGTGGTGCCCATCCTCGTGTGCATAACTTTGCTTTCTTTTACTTTAGTTCCTTAGATTCCCAAAAGTGGTCAAAGGGTTGGGATTTTTTCCTAGCTCTTGATATTGCCAGATTAATTTCCAAAGGGGCCGTACCAATATATAACCCTGCAACAGTTGAACAGCACGCTGATTTCACAGCAATCTTGCCAGCACTGCGTGTTCTCAAAAATGAGAACATTTCTAATGCAGTAGGTGGGAAGTGTTACCTCGTTGGTCATTGTTACTTGTTTATTGGAGTGGCTTTCCTTCCACGCCTGAAGTTGAACCTTCCCCCAAATATTTGTTAGGCCACCGCATTCCCTCCTTCCTGCAGTATGCAGTGTTTTCAGGTTCTTTGCCCATTTATCTACAGGGGTCTTAACCTTTTAGTTGGGTATGAGCTTTATCTTATCTGGCGTACATTTTCCTTCAACACTGTTATTTGCTTTTGTTGAGCTTTAAGCAGAGAAGGGACTTTTAGCCAGATCAGCATTGTGGACACCTCCCCCTGACCCTGGTCTCCTGCCTCAGTGCTCACCACACCTGAGACCTTGTCCAGTGCTCTTGCTGCCTGTGGATCTGTCCCGCCTGTTGTGCCCATGGAGGAAAGGATGGAGGCCACCAGCCTTGGTTGAGTGGATGGCATTCTGACGTTGGGCAGGGCTGGGCAGGGCAGGGTGGAGGGCAGGTCGTTGCAGGCCCGGAGGCAGGGAGACTGTTGTGCAAGACGTGACAGTGACCTGGCCTAAAGCTGATGAATTTGAGCCCTCGGCTAGGGCAAGGGACAGGGGAGAGAGGCGTGGATGTGAGAGATATTTAGGTAGAAACTAGTTCTTTCCACTTTGATTAGCCGAAGGGGGGTTAAGGGAAGGAGGCAGAGGGGGGAGCCACGGGTGACTCTTAGGATCAGTAATGTGATAAGAGCAGAGTGCCCCAGTTTAGGGCTGGGAGCTCAGGGTTCCTGGGTGCTTTTGGCCAGTCCTGTGCGAGTGAAGCGGGCTGGTATTGGTAGGTATCCAGGAGCTACCCCTGCCTGCCTAGCCCTGCAGCAGACCTCTGGGCCAAAGCTGCACTAAGTTTCTGGTCCTGCCTCCTCCTCCCCTCCGTGATTTCGGTGGCATCCCAAGTTTGCCCAAGCTGCTAGCTCTGAGCCCATTACAGAGATGGGGCCACTGAGATCCAGGCAGGGGAGAAGATGCTCCAGTATCACCCTGTGAGTTGGGCTGGAGGCAGCTTCTGCGGCAGAGGGGCTGGGCTCTGGTCCTCACCCCTCCCCCTGCCTCCCGAGGCCAGGCTGGCGCCGGCCAGGGGAGCCGCAGCTGGTCCCCTGCTGGGCCCCTGACCTGCCCTTGGCCTCTGCCCCGACCCCGTCCCGCCTCGGTGGAAGCCCCAGCTCAGCCGACTCGCAGGTCCCACCCGACTGCTTCGGCTAGCACCCGTTGGCTCACCGGCCCGCCGGGCCCGCCCCCGGAGCCCCGCCCCGGCCCGCCCCTCGGAGTTGTAACTCCACGTCCGAAGGCAGTTTCCAAGGTGGAAGCTGGGTCCGGCTGCCAGGAAGCGGCCGGTGCGCGGGCTGCGCGGGCTGCGCGGGGCTCGGCTTCCACGTGCGAGCCTGCACCGCCGCCCCGCCCTCTCCTGGCGGCCAGGCCTGGGGACTCTCTGCCGCGGGACGGCGCCTCGCGTTCCGCCGTGGCAGTGGCCGTGGCCAGAACGTCCACGCGCGGTCGTCCACCGCCGGATCTCGCTCCAGGTCTCTTTCCTTTTGTTCTCTCCTAGGGGTAGGGGGAGATGGGGGACCGGGGGCCAGACCACCTCTGAGAGGACTCGCTGAGGCCCAGCACCTCGGCGCCTCCTCTGTTCCCCTGGCCCACCTGGCCCTGGGGGAGATCTAGGCCTCGAACGGCACTCCTCGCACGCACACCCCCAGCCAGAGTCGGAAGCTCGAACTTGGGGAGCGTTCGCGAGAAGACCGAGACAGGAGCAGAAAGGGGGTATGGAGGGAGGCGGCTGCGACCTCAGGGTACCCCAAGATGAGCCTCGAAGGGGCGGTTAGCCGCTCAGCCCTCTTCTCGAGGACCCTTCCCCGGGCCGAGCTGCTGCCTGGGGGGTTTCTTGGGGCGCCTTGTTGGGAGTCCTCATGGTGGGGGACCCTGGGCTCCCGCCTTCAGGACGCGGGGCCGGCTTCAAGTCTGAGCCCCCTCGGCCCTCCGGTAGCTCACACCGCGCCTTCTCTCTCTTCGCAGCGCCCGTGGTCCAGCGTGTAGGGAGCCGATCGCCCATGGAGGGTCTGGGCCGCTCGTGCCTGTGGCTGCGTCGGGAGCTGTCGCCCCCGCGGCCGCGGCTCCTGCTCCTGGACTGCCGCAGCCGCGAGCTGTACGAGTCGGCGCGCATCGGTGGGGCGCTGAGCGTGGCCCTGCCGGCGCTCCTGCTGCGCCGCCTGCGGAGGGGCAGCCTGTCGGTGCGCGCGCTCCTGCCTGGGCCGCCGCTGCAGCCGCCCCCGCCTGCCCCCGTGCTCCTGTACGACCAGGGCGGGGGCCGGCGCCGGCGCGGGGAGGCCGAGGCCGAGGCCGAGGAGTGGGAGGCCGAGTCGGTGCTGGGCACCCTGCTGCAGAAGCTGCGAGAGGAAGGCTACCTGGCCTACTACCTCCAGGGTAGGTGCCGCGGGGCCCTCCTTCCAGGGGGTTCGGGATTCATTTGACCTTAGGCCAGCCCCACTTCTTTTTTTCTAAAGCGAGTTGAGGCCCCCCTCCCCTGATGACCTGCCAGGCTGCTTTGAGAGGAGGGAAGCCTGAGTGTGACCGTGGGGAAGTTCTTCACCCTCGGCAGCCCAGTCTCTGAGCCTGGAAAATGGGGAGAATTAGCCTGACCTGAGCTAGTTCTCAGGATGCTCAAGAACGAATTACAAAGTGCGGGCTCCCCAGGGTCTCGGCAAGGGTATCCCCACCTCCCCAACCTGCTCAGGAATGAGCAAGGGAGGCAGGGGTCAGACAGCACTGGTGCAATCACGGCTCACTGAAGCCTCCTGGGCTCAAGCGATCCTCCTGCCTTAGCCTCCCGAACAGCATATAAAGTGTCAGGTGTCCAGCCCGGGGAAATAGTATCTGTAAATAGAGATGCTGGCTTCTTGAGCCATATTCTCCCCCAAGTTCCCCCACATCTTGGGGTCCCACTTCATCCCTGAGAGTCAGGAGATGCCCAGGCAGAGAGCTGACATCTGAGTTCCTCCTTTTCTTTAGCTGATGGCCGCAGTCCTCCCTAAGGCTGGCAGTGCATCTCGGCTCTGTTGAGCCCTCACACCTGCCTCAGCTTGACCCTAGGGGTGTAAGATCCTTTCCGGTGGCTCAGCGTGAGCCCAGCTTCTTGCAGCCCGAGCTGACTGAGGGTGGCTAGGGCCCCACGTGGGTACCAGGACACACCAAGCTGCTGGGTTTTGTGTTCCCTTTGGGAACATTTGCAAACCCTCCAAGTTGTCCAGGGTCATCTCCCCAGCCCCAGACAGAGGCACTTGGCTGCCCAGAAGGCCAGGTCAGCAGGCCCCATGCCCTCTCCCCAACAGGAGGCTTCAGCAGATTCCAGGCCGAGTGCCCTCACCTGTGTGAGACCAGCCTTGCTGGCCGTGCCGGCTCCAGCATGGCGCCGGTGCCCGGTCCAGTGCCCGTGGTGGGGTTGGGCAGCCTGTGCCTGGGCTCCGACTGCTCTGATGCGGAATCCGAGGCTGACCGCGACTCCATGAGCTGTGGCCTGGATTCGGAGGGTGCCACACCCCCACCAGTGGGGCTGCGGGCATCCTTCCCTGTCCAGATCCTGCCCAACCTCTATCTGGGCAGTGCCCGGGATTCCGCCAATTTGGAGAGCCTGGCCAAACTGGGCATCCGCTACATCCTCAATGTCACCCCCAACCTCCCAAACTTCTTCGAGAAGAATGGTGACTTTCACTACAAGCAGATCCCCATCTCCGACCACTGGAGCCAGAACCTGTCGCGGTTCTTTCCGGAGGCCATTGAGTTCATTGGTGAGTCCACCCCACCCACCCTTCCCTCCTGTCCTCCCCAAGGCCTGCTCTGGCCTCCCCCTTGTGAGTACTCCTCCCAAGCCCCGCTGCCATTCCCAGAGCCAAAAGCCTAGGTGACAGTTCTAGGGGACAGGCAGAGCTAGGGCGGCCCCCAGAGGCCACTAGAGAAACCTGCAGGTCGTGGCCATCTGGCCCAGGGGGCAGGGCGGGGCCTTTGAGGGCCCTTCGGAAGGCCTCGGCCTCACACACGCCTGCCCTCCGGGTCTCCCGGGCCCTTTCCTGCCCCATCTAGATGAGGCCTTGTCCCAGAACTGCGGGGTGCTCGTCCACTGCTTGGCGGGGGTCAGCCGTTCTGTCACCGTCACTGTGGCCTACCTCATGCAGAAGCTCCACCTCTCTCTCAACGATGCCTATGACCTGGTCAAGAGGAAGAAGTCTAACATCTCCCCCAACTTCAACTTCATGGGGCAGTTGCTGGACTTTGAGCGCAGCTTGCGGCTGGAGGAGCGCCACTCGCAGGAGCAGGGCAGTGGGGGGCAGGCATCTGCGGCCTCCAACCCGCCCTCCTTCTTCACCACCCCCACCAGTGATGGCGCCTTCGAGCTGGCCCCCACCTAGGGCCCCGTGGCCGGCAGGCCGGCCCCTGCCCCACCCCCACCCACGGGTGTCCCTGCCCACTCGTGTGGCAAGGGAGGGGAGGGCAGGAGGGCTCGGCCTGAGCAGGGTGCTGGGGGGAGAGCGCAATACCTCACGCGGGCTGCCGTCCTAATCAACGTGCCTATGGCGGGACCACGCTCGGAGCCTGCCTCTTCTGCGACTGTTACTTTTTCTTTGCGGGATGGGGGTGGGGGTTCCCTCTCCAGGTGGTTGTCCAGGCCCAGGTCCCGGCCCTGGGTGCTCAGCCAGCTCGGCTAGGCCCTGCGCCTCCCTGCGCTTCCCCCTTCAGGAAGGGTGTGTGCCACCTCGTTGCACTGGATCCCAGTGGCTGCTTGGGGGAGAGGCGTTTGCCATCACTGGTGTTGTCACCTCCCTGTTTCTCCACCAAGGGCTTGGGCCTCTCGGGGCTGGGGCCTCCCAGGGGATGGGGACCCAGAGTGCAGTGGCCGCCCACATCCATGGCCTAGGAGCTACTGGGCAGGTTCCCGGCCACACATCTGGTGGGCTGTTTTGTTTTTTTTTTTTCCTCTTCCCCCAGATGTCTTGACGGGATCACTGGGGCTCTTTGTGAGTGAGGGTGGCCAAACTACCGCCGGAGGAGATG
The DNA here is from genome assembly GCF_000001405.40 of Homo sapiens. Classification (NCBI taxonomy): domain Eukaryota; kingdom Metazoa; phylum Chordata; class Mammalia; order Primates; family Hominidae; genus Homo; species Homo sapiens. Next base: position 153,650,949 of record NC_000023.11, read on the forward strand.
GGGTCTCAGAGCGAGAGCTGCGGAGGGGGAGGGGAAGAAGAAGGCCTCACTTTTGCTGCTGCGGGGCCCACACAGCCGCTGCTACTTTGGGGGGTGGGGAAGGGGCCAAGCTGCAGACACACACAGTCATTCATTTCTGTCCACACCCCTGTGGGTGGCGGGTGTGCGTGTGTGTGCTTGTGTGTGCGCACGTGTCGGCGCTCACACACACATGCTAGCCCACTGATGCACCCAGCCCAGGGCTGGCAGTCTTTGCAGCGTGGGGCCGTCTCACCCTGGAGCCTGGAGAGGATCTATGCTTGTTTGTTTTTGTAATCCATATCATAGTTGCTTTCTTTAATTGTTCCTTCTGAATAAACAGTTTATTTAAGATACTGAGTAGAGAGAGAAGCTACCTCCTGAGCGCCTTGGAGGGTTTGGGGGAAGGTGGGGAAGGAGGCCCTCTTGGTCTCTCTGGACTGCCCATGGTGGAAAGGGGCATGTGCCAGGCTGGCCAGGGACTCAAGTGCCACCCCACTCCCTGCCCCATGTTATCATTTCCCATCTTGTGCTTACACTGCCCGCTGGCCCACGCTCTGAGTCGCCCATTCATTCACCTCCATTTGAACCCCTAGTCTGTGCCACACACTGTCCTGGGGACTAGGTTGCAGCAGTGAGCTCCGCCTGCTCACAGCAGACTTTCTAGTGGGGGAAGAAACGACAAATGCAACAGTCACAGCACTGCGGTTGTGCCGTAGACGTTCATTGCCATGGACAGAGCAGAAAAGTGAGGGGCCAGCACTCACAACTGATCCCTGAGACACCGGCCAAGTCAGCCCCGAGCCCTGCCTGGAGCCTCCTGAGGGCTGCCCCGGCTGGGTGGCATCCTGAGAGTGACAGGGAGGGGTGTGGGCAGACTGGCACATGTGAGTGTTGTGGTTGTCTGGCTGTGGAATTTGGGCTGCAAAGGCCCAGGCTGGGGACTAGAAGAGCCCCATGGAGAACATGGAGACCAACGGGCCACCTAAAGGGACAGAGGTGAACTGCACCTCTCCTCATATTGGGACACTGCAAGTGCCTTCTCCACACCATAACTGGTGGGGTCTATAAGGCTGTGACTCTCCACCATGGACATGTAGTAGAGGGGAAGGGCAGCTGGAGGGTGGCGGGGAGCGAGTGCAGCCAGAGAAAGCTGTGGAGGCTTTGGAGCAATGTGGCCCAGAACCCACAATCTAAAGGCATATGCGTGAATGGCTGAGCTGGTAGGAAAGGAAGAGCAAGGTGATGAACTGAGAAATGAGGTGAATCCTCTGGGCCAGCGGAGTAAGCCACTCTGGGGTTAGCCCAGGAGCCAGGACCCTCCACTGGAACGCAGCCCCACCAACACCTTGATTTCTGTCCAGTGAAATCTATTTTGAATGGCTGATCTACTGAAATGGAAGATGTGAAATCTGTGTTGCTGTAAGCCACTAACTCTGTGGTAATTTATTACAGCAGCCACAGAAATCTACTAGAACAGGTGACCTAGGAAGATATATCCCAAATAAAGAAGAGGGTGTGTGCTGATCTTGACCTTGGATCTGGGGGGAAGTGGAATAAAAGGAAAATGTTCCCCCTCCCCTGAGAGCTTATAGCCACAAGCTGAACTGTTCTTTTAGAGTGGTCTAGGCATAGAGTAGTGGACACTCCAGAATCTCTCTCAGAGGTACTTAGAAACAGTGATTCAGCCGGGCACGGTGGCTTACACCTGTAATCCCAGTACTTTGGGAGGCTCACCTGAGGTCAGGAGTTCAAGACCAGCCCGGCCAACATGGGGAAACCCTGTCTCTACTAAAAATACAAAAAAAAAAAAAAAAAAAAAAAACTGAGCTGGGCATGGTGGCACGTGCCTGTAATCCCAGCTACTTGGGAGGTTGAGGCACAAGAAGCACTTGAACCCAGGAGGCGGAGGTTGCAGTAAGCTGGGATTGCGCCACTGCACTCCAGCCTGCATGACAGAGTGACAGAGTGATGAGAGAGTGAGAGTGAGGCCCTGTCTCAAAACAAACAAACAAAACAAAACAAAACAAAACAAGAAACAGTGATCTGGCTGCTGGAGAAGGCTCCTGGATTTGTCTTGAAGCTGCATTCGACTATCTTACCTACAGGGTTTACTGAGATTGTGACAGCCCAATAAAAATAGCAGTTTAAAACATAAATAAAATACATTTTTAAAGTTTCTTATTTTAGAAACAAGGTCTCAATATAGAACTTAAATAGGCCAGGTGCAGTGCCTCAGCCTCCCAAAGTGCTGAGATTACAGGCATGAGCCACCGCACCTGGCCTATTTAAGTTTTAAATGAAGTGGTTCAGAGGTCATATTGCTCCAGAGTGACCAGCAGAAGCAAGCACAAATCCTCTGTGGAGGGAGGGATGTCCTTTAAACACAGGCCTCAAAGCACCGCTATAGAAAATTCCAAAATACGTAATTTTTTAAAATCCTAAAATGTACAAGGAAACAAGCCACCATGAGTTATAGAAACATTTAGCATGTGAATTCAAGTATCAGTCCTGCAAAGATAGCAGCCTTTGAAATTATATAACAGACTATAAGTATAATTAATATGCTTAAAGAAATAAAAGGAAATATTGAAACTGTAATAAAAAAGCAAGAGAATATAAAATGACTAGATACGCTTGAAAGAAAACCAAAAAGAGCTCCTAGAAATGAAAAATATGACAATTGAAATTGGACATTTAAAGTTTAAACAGCATATTAAACATAGCTGAAGAAAGAAATAGTGAACTGGAAGATGGATTTAAGGAAATTACCCAGAATGCAGCACAGACAGACAATAAGACAGACAGGTCACACATATATTTAGTTGGATTTCTAGAAGAAAAAAAGGAGAATAGGGAATATAAAGTATTTTAATAAACAATGCCTGAGAAATTTCCAAAACTGATGAAAGACACCGTGGAAGAGACTGCTGAGTGTCCCCCAGTATCCATTCTCTGCTTCTCCTTTTTAGAAATAAAATGCCCAAAGGTTAATAGCGTGTATGGCTTCACAGCTAAAAACTTTATTTCCCATCCTCCCTTGCGGCTAATTGTGGCCATGTTTTTGCATATTGTCTCATATTTCCATTAGAGCCCTTAGCATTTTAATCATAGTTATTTTAAACTTCTGGTCTGATCATTCCAACACCCCTGTCATAGCTGAGTCTGCTTCTGGTACTGGCTCTATCTTTTTGAACTATGTTTTTTGGCCTTTAGTATGACTTGTCTTTTTTTTACTTTTTGTTTTTTTTGTCAAAAGCTGGACACATACTGGGTAAAAGGACCTGCTGCGAATAGGCCGTAGTGATACAGCAGAATGTGGAGGGAGGAAAAGCATTCAGTCCTGTGATTAGGTTTCTGTCTTTGGGCGTGCCTATGCCCCTGGACTGTGAATTTCACCAATGCTTCTCAGATTGTGCCCCGCTTAGGTGGGCCAGGATGGCTACAAAAGACTGAGTTGGGTATTTCGCTTCCCTCAGGTCAGTTAGGCTCCGCCAAAACCCTAATAGGTTGGGCCTGGTAAGGGTTACTCTTGAGGGCAGGCCTAGTTAAGAAAGGAACGCCCTGGGCGTATTTCAAAATGACCACTTTCCCCTCCCCCTGCCAGAAGCATGATGAGATTTTTCTCACTGTGAGAACCTGGTTGAGCTCCTAAAGGTAAAACTTACAAAAGTATGGGAGCCCCAAAAGACTGCCCCATCCCAGAGTTTTAACTCTCAGACTTGTCCGCACTGAGCCCCCAGCAATTCAGCAATTGCAGTTCGGGTGTCCCTACGCCAGCACTGGTTCCTGTGCCTGGCCTCCTGCTCTGCTAAGTTGTGATTCTCTGTGCCCACCTGTCTGTCTCCCCAATTTTGGGGGCAGCATTTTGCCCAGTGACTTCAATTCTCTGATAAATCTAAGAGGAGTTGTTGATTTTAAATGTGTTCCACTTTTACTCGTTCTTAGGACAGACCGATGACTTCTGGCCTCCTTACACACTGGACCAGCAACAGAAACTCCCCTGGGTCTGTTTCTATTGACCGATTTTTCTTCTCATGATGGCTCACATTTTTATGCTTCTTCTACCTGAGTCAGAAAGCCGGGATGTAGAGCTCTCTTAGTCTGTCTCCTTTCTCTCAGGGACCACAGTCCTTCACTGACTGCTGTCCCCCATCTGAAAACAATGGATTTTCATATATTTTGCCCAGTTTCTAGCTGTTTATGGTGAGACAGTAATTCTGGACCCTCCTATTCCCTCATGGTCATATTGATATTGAGTGACTTTACATTTTGTTAAGACAAATAAGCATATTAAATTTTTTAGCATAACTAGAATATAAATAGGATATACTACTTCCAAACTAGTAGAGGAAAAAAGCAAATAATGAAGGAAAATATCAACTAATCAAAAAAAGGTCAAGTAAGGGAAATAAAGAAACAGAAACATTGGAATAAGTAGAAAGTATAATATGTTAGAAATAGATCCAAAAGACGGCCAGGCACGGTGGCTCACGCCTGTAATCCCAGCACTTTGGGAGGCCGAGGCGGGCGGATCACGAGGTGAGGCAATCGAGACCATCCTGGCTAACATGGTGAAACCCTGTTTCTACTAAAAATACAAAAATTAGCCGGGCGTGGTGGCGGGCACCTGTAGTCCCAGCTACTTGGGAGGCTGAGGCAGGAGAATGGCATGAACCTGGGAGGCGGAGCTTGCAGTGAGCCAAGATCGAGCCACTGCACTCCAGCCTGGGCAACAGAGTGAGACTCTGTCTCAAAAAAAAAAAGAAAGAAAGAAAGAAAAAAAGAAATAGATCCAAAAAGCATTAAGCAAAATAAATAGATTAAATTCTCCGGTTAGACTGGATTTTAAAAAATCCAGCTATAAGCTGTTTACCAGAGACGCATCTAAAGGGTAGAACCAGAAAAGGTTGAAAGGGCAGGACTGGCTGGGCACAGTGGTGGCTCATACACTCAATCCCAGCACTTGGGGAGGTCAAGGCGAGAAGATCACTTGAGCCCAGGAGTTTGAGACCAGTTTGGGCAACATAGTGAGACCCCGTCTCTACAAAAACAATTTTTTTTAATTTTTTTTTTAAAAAAGAAGGCCCAGGCACGGCGACTCACGCCTGTAATCCCAGCACTTTGGGAGGCCGAGGCGGGCAGATCACCTGAGGTTAGGAGTTCGACACCAGCCTGACCAACATGGTGAAACGTGGTCTCTACTAAAAACACAAAAATTAGCTGGGCATGGTGGTGCGGGCGCCTGTGATACCAGCTACTCAGGAGGCTGAGGCAGGAGAATCGCTTGAACCCAGGAGGCGGAGGTTGCAGTGAGCCGAGATCCAGCCACTGCACTCCAGCCTGGGTGACAGAGCGAGACTCCGTCTCAAAAAGAAAAAAAAAAAAAGAAAAAAAGCCCTGAAACTATCAAAAAATTAGTCAGGCATGGTGGTGCGCACCTACGGTCTCAGCTACGTGGGAGACTGAGGCAGGAGGATCACTTGAACCAGGAGGTTGAGGCTGCAGTGAGCCGTGATTTTGCCACTGCACTCCAGCCTGGGTGACTGAGTGAGACCCTGTCTGGAAAAAAAAAAAAAAAGGGCAGGACCTCCACCTATGGCCAAATGCAGATATCAGCAAATAACCTCCCCAAAAAAGTAACTTTATATAAAGCTGGACAAAATTGACAAAAACAAGCTTTTTGATCTGGAAGTCAACGGAAAATGTCTCATAATCCAAGTGGCTGGATTTTGAGTAAGAACAGCGGGAGTCTGTGGCATTCTGGCCCAGGGCTGCTCCCATCCCTCCTGGCTTGCTGGGCATGGAAGCTATGCCAAGGAGGGGAAGGCCATGAAGACCAGCAGCTTCTCCCCATAGGCTTGAAAGGCGCTCGCTCATTTGGATGATTGGTGGGCAACACCTGTGCCCAGCGGCATGATCGGTGGAAGTGACTTCTTGGAGGTGGGCTGGCAGGGAAGATTTTTTCCATTTAAAAAATATATATTCTAGTTAAAAATTTTAAGCCTGGTTTCCTAGGAGCTACCCTGTATCTGCCTAGCTTGGTGGTCAGCCAATGACTGGACAGAAGCTGTGCTCAAACATCTCAAGCCAGTAAGGCTTGTGTCCTTGGGTCTGGGTGTGGGTAGGGGAGCTTATTCAATGTTCAGGCTGCTTTAAGGTCTTCTGGGCTTTCCTTTCCACTGGGCCCTCTCACATCTCTTATATACACGTGCATAGTCCCAGGGCAGTCCAGGAGAGCGTGAGTAGCATGGGACCCCTCCAGTCTCTGGTCAGCTAGAAATATACTGCCGCAAGCACATCCATAGCCTCAGTTGAGTAGAGCTGATCTGTTTGCCCTTCCCAGCCCGCCCACCTCCAAGAAGTCACTTCCACCGATGACACCACTGGGCACAGGTGTTGCCCACCAATCCAAATGAGCGAGCGCCCTTCAAGCCTATGGGGAGAAGCTGCTGGTCTTCATGGCCTTCCCCGCCTTGGCATAGCCTCCATGTCCAGCAAGCCAGGAGGGATGGGAGCAGCCCTGGGCCAGAATGCCACAGACTCCCGCTGTTCTTACTCAAAATCCAGCCACTTGGATTATGAGTCATCTTCCGTTGACTTCCAGATCAAAAAGCTTGTTTTTGTCAGTTTGGTCCAGCTTTATAGTTACTTTTTTGGGGAGGTTGTTTGCTGTTATCCACGTTTGGCCATAGCTGGAGGTTCTGCCCTTTCTTTTTCTTTTCTTCTCTTTTTTTTTTTTTTTCAGACAGGGTCTCACTCAGTCACCCAGGCTGGAGTACAGTGGCAAAATCACAGCTCACTGCAGCCTCAACCTCCCGGTTCAAGTGATCCTCCTGCCTCAGCCTCCCAAGTAGTTGGGACCACAGGTTCGCACCACCACACCCAACTAATTTTTTTATTTTTTTGTCGAGACGGGGGTCTCACTATGTTGCCTAAACTGGTCTCAAACTCCTGGGCTCAAGTGATCTTCCCGCCTTGGCCTCCCCAAGTGCTGGGATTTCAGGCGTGAGCCACTACTGTGCCCAGCCAGTCCTGCCCTTTCAGCCTTTTTTGGCCCTATTCTTTAGATATATCTCTTATAAACAGCTTATAGCTGGATTTTTTAAAAATCCTAACTGGATAATTTAATCTATTTATTTTGCTTAATGTTTTTTGGATCTATTTTTAACATATTATGTTATACTTTCTGCTTATTCCAACGTTTTGGTTTCTTTTTTTTTTTTTTTTTTTTTTTTTTGAGACGGAGTCTCGCTCTGTGGCCCAGGCTGGAGTGGCACGATCTCGGCTCACTGCAAGCTCTGCCTCCTGGGTTCATGCCATTCTCCTGCTTCAGCCTCCCAATTAGCTGGGACTACAGGTGCCCGCCACCACGTGTGACTAATTTTTTGTATTTTTAGTAGAGATGGGGTTTCACCGTGTTAGCCAGGATGGTCTCCATCGCCTGACCTCGTGATCCACCCGCCTCGGCCTCCCAAAGTGCTGGGATTACAGGCGTGAGCCACCGCGCCCAGCCCCGTTTCCATTTCTTTATTTCCCTTACTTGACCTTTTTGTGATTAGCTGAATTTTCCTTCATTATTTGCTATTTTCTTCTACTAGTTTGGAAGTAGTACATCCTATTTATATTCTAGTTACTCTAAAAAATTTAACATGTATATTTGTCTTAACAAAACATAAAGTCTCTCAATATCAATACGGCCATGAGGGAATAAGAGGGTCCAGAATTACTGTCTCACCATAAACAGCTAGAAATTGGGCAAAATATATGAAAATCCATTGTTTTCAGATGGGGGACAGCAATCAGTGAAGGACTGTGGTCCCTGAGAGAAAGGAGACAGACTAGGAGAGCTCTACATCCCGGCTTTCTGACTCAGATAGAAGAGACATAAAAATGTGGCCCATATGGATTGCTTGAGCCCAGGACTTCAAGACCACTCTGGGAAGTATGGCACAACCCCATCTCTACAAAAAAATACAAAAAATTAGCCAGGCGTGGTGGTGCACACCTATAGTCCCAGCTACTCAGAAGGCTGCAGCAGGAGGATTGCTTGAGCTCAGGAGGTGGAGGTTGCAGTGAGCCGTGATCACACCAGTGCACTCCAGCCTGGGTGACAGAGAGGAATTTCAGTTTCTGGTCCAGCATGTAAGGAGCCTGCAAGTCATCAGTGTCTCCTAAGAAGAAGTAAAACCAGAACAGACTTAAAACTGAACACATATTTTGATATGTGTAATTGGAGGCTCTGAGGAAGAGGAGAAAGAGAAAGGGGCAGAATAAATATTTGAATAAATAATGGCTAAACACCAGCATTTGGTGAAAAGCATTCATCAGATCCAAGAAGTTCGAATAACCCCAAGTGAGATAAACACAAAGAGAGCCACTCATAGACATTTCATGGTAAATTATCGAAAGCCAAAGACAGACAATTTTGAAAGTATTATAGCAGAAGAAATAAATGACCCATATAGAAGGGAACCACAATAAAATTAACATCTGACTTCTCATCAGAAACAATGGAGGCCACAAGGGAGTGGAACAACAAACTGAAAGCACTGAAAGAAAAAAATACTATCAACCAAAAAAAATTTGTTTTGAGACAGAGTCTCAGTCTGTCACCCAGGCTGGAGTGCAGTGGTGTGATCTCAGCTCATCGCAGCCTCAACCTCCTGGGCTCAAATGATCTGCCTGCCTCAGCCTCCCAAAGTGCTCAGATTACAGGTGTGAACCACTGCACCCAGCCCCCAAATTTTATATCTAGCAAAACTATGCTTTAAAAATTGAAGCTGGGTGCATAGCTGGGTGCGGTGGCTCACGCCTGTAATCTCAACACTTTGGGAGGCCAAGGCAGGCGGATCACCTGAGGTCAGGAGTTCGAGACCAACCTGACCAACATGGTGAAACCCCGTCTCTACTAAAAATACAATAATTAGCCAGACATGGTGGCATGCACCTGTAATCCCAGCTACTTGGGAGGCTGAGGCATGAGAATCGCTTGAACCTGGGAGGCAGAGGTTGCAGTGAGCCGAGATCACATCACTGCACTCCAGCCTGGGTGACAGAGAGAGGCTCCATCTCAAAAAAAAAAAAAAAAAAAAAAAAAAAATTGAAGGTTTAAAAAAAGACATTCCCAGATAAACAAAGGCTAACATAGTTCATTGCTAGCCTGCCTCCTTACAAGAAATACTCAAGGAAGTCCTTCAGGCTGAAAGGAAATGACACCAGTTAGTAACTGGAATTCAAAGTAAGAAATGGAGAGCAGAAAAAATGGTTAATAAGTGAGCTAATATAAAAGCCTCTCAACATATTTTTATTCATTTCTTCTCTTTTAAAAACATAAGATTGCATTAAAAAATAGGTATTACACTGTATTTCAGGGCTTATAACCTATATAGATGTAATAAACATGGCATTACTAGCACAAAAGAAGTGGGAAAGAATGTAGCCATACTGAGGCAAAGTCTCCATATTTCACCAAAATTAAGTGAGTATTCATCTGAGGTGGATTGTGATTAGTTAAGACTCATAATGTAATAGCTAGAGAAAACCCTAAGAAAATAACTCAAACTTGGAGTGAATGAAGCATGTTTATGTCTAAATTTCTGCTTCAATGTAATTAAAAATCAACAGAGGAAAATTGGCCAGCACGGTGGCTCACGCCTGTAATCCCAGCACTTTGCGAGGCCGAGGCGGGCAGATCACTTGAGGTCAGGAGTTCAAGACCAGCCTGGCCGACATGGGGAAACCCTGTCTCTACTAAAAATACAAAAGAAAATTCAAATATAACAGATGGACATTTCAATGCTCTATTTTCAATAGTTGATGGAACTAGACAGAAGATCAGCAAGGATATATAAAATCTGAACAACACTATCAACAAATTTGACCTAACTGATACCTATAGAACACACCATTCAACAATTGCCAAATACACATTTTTTTCAAGTGCACATGAAACATTCTCCAGGATAGACCATAAAACAAGTCTCAATATATTTAAAGGAATTTAAATAATTTAAATAATATAAAATATTTCTCTGACTGCAACAGAATTAAATTATAAATCTAAAAAGATAGAAACCTAGGAAGTCCAAAATACTTGGAAATTATACAACACTCTTCTAAATAACTGGCACGTCAAATAAAAAACAAAGGAAATTAGAAAGAATGAAATGAGAATGAAAATGAAAACAAAACATATCAAAATTTATGGAATGCAGCTAAAGCAGTACTTAGAAGGAAACTTACAGCTTTAAAGGCCTATACCAGCAAAAAAAGAAAGATCTCAAATTAATAACCTACGTCTCTACCTTGACAAATTAGAAAAAGAAGAGCATGCTAAACCCAAAGCAAGCAGAAGGAAGGAAATAAAGATTAGCACAGAAACTAATGGAATTGAAAACAGGAAAACAATAGAGAAAAATCAATGAAAAGAAAAGTCAGCTCTTTGAAAAATCAGCAAAATTGTCTTGGGTAGAGTGACCAAAAAGAAAAGAGAATCAAATTACCAATATCAAGAAGAGAAAAGGGGGGCATTACTACTGACCTATAGAAATTTAAAGGATTATAAGAGAATGCTTTGACCACTTTATGCCAAAAACACTGGACAACTCAGATGAAATGGAGAAATTCCTAGAAAGACACATGACCAAAACTGACTTTAAAATAAATTAAAAATCTGAATAGACCTATACCAAGAAAATAAATTGAATTAGTACTTGAAAATATTCCCACAAAAAAAATCCAAGCCCCGATGGCTTCACTGGTGAATTCTATCAAATAACTAAAGAATGATTAATGCCAATCCTTCACAGACTCTTTCAGAAAATAGAGGAGTAAGAACACTTTCCATCTCATTCTATCAGCCCAGTATTACCCTTGCACCAAGTATATCACAAGGAAAAAAGCTACATATCAATATCCTTCATGAACTCCTGGATGCAAACATCTGTAACACAATATTTAAAAACTAAATCTAGCAGCACCTAAGGATTGGGCACCATCATCAAGTGGGATTTATACCAAGAACCCAAGCTTGATTTGACATCTGAAACTCAGTGTCATCCACCACATGAACAGAAAAGGACAAAAACCGTATGATCCTCTCAATAGGTGCATAAAAAGATTCGACAGAATCTAACATCCATTCATGATTTAAAACAGTCCTTTTGCGGGTGGCGGCGAGCGCAGAGGACGCCATGAAGGCCCCGGGCACACGACTAGAGTACCAGGTGGTGGGTCGCTGCCTGCCCGCCCCCAAATGCCACACACCGCCCCTCTACCGCATGCGAATCTTTGCTCCTAATCATGTCGTCGCTAAGTCCCACTTCTGGTACTTCGTATCTCAGTTAAAGAAGCTGAAGAAGTCTTCAGGGGAGATTGTCTACTGTGGGCAGGTGTTTGAGAAGCGCCCCCTGCGGGTGAAGAACTTCGGCATCTGGCTGCGCTATGACTCCCGGCGCGGCACCCACAACATATACCGGGAATACCGGGACCTGACCACCGCGGGCGCTGTCACCAAGTGCTATCGAGACATGGGCGCCCGGCACCGCGCCCGGGCCCACTCCATCCAGATCAGGAAGGTGGAGGACATCGCAGCCAGCAAGTGCCGCCGGCCGACCGTCAAGCAGTTCCACGACTCCAAGATCAAGTTCCCGCTGCCCCACAGGGTCCTGCGCCGTCAGCACAAACCACGCTTCACCACCAAGAGGCCCGATACCTTCTTCTAAGGGCAGGGCCCTCGCCCGGGTGTGCCCCAAATAAACTCAGGAACGCCCCCCACCCCCCCCCCAAAAAAAAAAACCTTTCTACAAACTAGGAACAGAATGGAAGTTACTCACGATAAAGGGCATCTATGAAAAATCCACAGCTAACATCATACTTGATGATGAAAGACTAAACGTTTTCCCTCTAAGATTAGGAACAAGGAAAGGATTCTTTTACCACTTGTATTTAATGTAGTATTGGAGGTTCTTGGTAGTGCAATAAGCTGGAGAAACAAAAAGAAAAAAAGAGAAAAGGAAGGGAACAAGGAAATTATAAGCATCCCAATTGGAAAGGAATAAGTAAAAATTTTCTTTACTTGCAGATGACACGTGCTGTGTGTAGAAAATCACAAAGAATCCACACAAATAAAACCTACTAGAACTAATAAAAAGGGCCAGGCATGGTGGCTTATGCCTATAATCCCAGTGCTTTGGGAGGCTGAGGCAGGAGGATTACTTGAGCCCAGGAGTTCAACACCCACGTGTGCAGCATAGTGAGACTCCATCTCTAAAAATAAAATAAAATAAAATAAAATAAAATAAATAAAATAAAGTAAAGTAAATTAGAACCGAGCATGGTGGCCTGCTCCTGTAGTCCCAGCTACTCTGGAGGCTGAGAGGGGAGGATTTGCTTGAGCCCAGGAGTTCAAGGCTGCAGTGAGCTATGATTGCACCACTGCACTCCAGCCTCTAGCCTGGGTGACAGAGCAAGACCCCAGTCCCCCCCAAAAGAGAGAGAGAGAGAGCTAATAAAAAGTTTAGCAAGGCCGCAGAATACAAGATCAATATACAAAGAAAATCAATGGTTACTTCTATACACTTTTAACGAACAATTCAAAAATGAAATTATGAAAACAATTCTGTGTACAAGAGCATAAAAAGAATAAAATTTACAAATAAATTTAACAAAAGAAGTGCGAAATGTATACACTGAAAACTGTAAAACATCATTAAAAAAATTAAAGAGCAAAATAAGTGGAATGATATTCTGTGTTCATGGATTGGAAAACAACATCGTTTTAACATAGCAACACTCTCTGGCTGGGCGCGGGGGCTCACGCCTGTAATCCCAGCACTTTGGGAGGCTGAGATGGGCAGATCTCCTGAGGTCAGAAGTTCGAGACCAGCCTGGCCTACATGGTGAAACCCCGTCTCTACTAAAAATACAAAAAAAATTAGCCAGGCATGGTGGCAGACACCTGCAATCCCAGCTACTTGGGAGACTGAGGCAGGAGAATCATTTGAACCCGGGAGGCAGAGGTTGCAGTGAGCCAAGATCATGCCACTGCACTCCAGCCTGGGTGACAACAGTGAAACTCCATCTCAAAAAAAAAAAAAAAAAAAAAAAACCCATGTGCATCAAAAGACACTATCAAAGAGTGAAAAGATAATCCACAGAATGGGAGAAAATATTTACAAATCATATATCTGATAAGGATCTAATATCCAGAATACATAAAGAACCCTTACAGCTCAACAATTAAAAGATGAATTATCCAATTAAAAAAAGAACAGAAGTTTCGAATGAACATTTTTCCAAATAAGATATATAAATAATAAATACATGAAAAGATGCTCAATATCATTGGTCATTAGAGCAATACAAATCAAAACCACAATGAGATAGCATTTCACACACACTAGAATGGCTATTTTAAAAATCACACACAATAACAAGTGTTGACAAGGATGGAGAGAAATTTGAACTTCACGCATTGCTGGTGGGAATGTAAAATGGTGCCGTTGCTTTGGAAAACAGCTTGGCATTTCCTTCAAAAGTTAAACATGGAGTTATCATATGGCCCAGCAATTCTACTCCTAGGTATATACTCAAGACAATTGAAAATCCACATCCACACAAAAACTTGCACACAGTTGTTCATAGCAGCATTATTCACAACAGCTAAAAGTGGAAACAACCCAAATGTCCATCGATAGTTAATAAAATGTGGTCTATCCATACAATAAAATATTCTTCAGCTGTAAAAAGGAATGGAGTACTGATCCATGCTACAATATGGATGAACCCTGAAAACATCATAGTAAGAGTAAGCCAGACACAAAAGCCCATGTATGGTATGATTCCATTTATTTGAAATATTGAAATAAGCAAATCCACAAAGATAGAAAGTCAATTAGTGGTTGCCAAGCACTGGTGGGGGGGGGTGCGGTGTGTAAATGGGGAGCTACTGCAAATGTGTACAAGGTTTCCTTTTGGGGTGATCAAAATGTTCTGGAATTAGATGGTGGTGATGGCTGCAAAACACTGTAAATATACTAAACACTGCTGAATTGTACGTTTTACAGGGTGAATTTTATGGTATGTGAATTGTATCTCAATAAAAACAAATTTTTAATTTGAACGGAAAAGGATTGAAAAAACTATACCAGTTAAATGTTAACCAAAAAAAGTTATAGTTGCTATGTTAATATCAGACCAAGTAGACTATAAGGGAAAATCATTGCTAGTATTAACATATATCACTATATTTTGATCAAATATTCAACTTACCTAAAATACATACCAATTCTAAACTCAAATACACTGAATAACATAACTTATAAATACATAAAGCAATAATTGAAAGAACTACAAGGAGAAACTGGCAAAAAGCAGTTGAGCCTCTACTCAGGACATCATGTGAGGAAAGACTTGGTTCCCTGGGGTGAGGGAAACTGTGGAAATCTCCACGGGGTGTGAGGGAGGAGCTCTGGAGAGATGGGCATGAGCTTTTGTTTTTTAAAGACCAGCATGATAGTAAGCATGGGCTTTTTCTATTTCTCAAAAGGGGGCAGATAATAGGGTTGAAAAATATTGAAAAATTATCTTAAAGCAAAAATCAGATCCTGTCACTTGTTCTGTTTAAAACGTCCGTGGCTCCCAGTGCCCTCTTGAGAAAGTTCACTTTCCAGGCTGATCTCTACCCACCTCCTCTCACAACCTCCCTCAACCAGACGGGATTCTTTGTTATTTCTGAAACATTCCATACTTCTTATCTTGCCCACCTGGTGTTGGGGCTAGTGATAGGGATCCGTGGATGAAGCTGGGGTGGGGTGGAGAACATGGTTGCCACATGCCCAGACAGTGCCTGGCAGGAAGAAACATGTGGCTTATAGTGCCAACTCAGCCACCGCCTGGCCAGGGGGCCCGACTTGGTCACTTCGTCTCTTCAACAGACCTGTTGCTCTCCCGGGTTCCCTGGCAGCATCCTCAACTCCCTCACAACCCCCCCACCACCCCCATTGAGTCGATGACCAAGCTCCATCTTTCCAGTAGTCCCACATCTCTTGCCTTGTTCTCCACATGGTTCAGGCTTGTCTCCCAGCCACCAGCCCTGCCCTGCCCCACTTCCAGGCCATCGCTCACACCGAACTCCAAAGGGATCTTTGTAGGGCCCAGCTCCCATGCCCCATTTCCACCACTGTGCAAAGACCTCCCTGGTTCCCACTTAACAGGACATAAAATTGAGGCACAGAGGAGCTTAAAGGCAACACAAGCCAGGTGGCATGGTGGCTCACACCTGTAGTCCTAGCTACTCGGGAGGTTGGGGATGACTTGAGCCCAGGAGTTCTGGGCTGTAGTGTGCTATGTCCATCAGGTGTCCGTACTAAGTTCAGCATCAATATTCTGGGAGCAGAGGACCACTAGGTTGCCTGCGGAGGGGTGAAACAGCCCAGGTCGGAAACGGAGTAGGTCAAAACTCGTGTGCTGATCAGTAGTAGGATCACACTTGTGAAGTGAATAGCCACTGCACTCCAGCCTGGGCAACACAGTGAGACCTCATCTCGTAAAAAAAAAAAAAAAAATGGCAACACAAACCATCTGCAAGACCCCAACTCAAATCCAGCGTGGGTTCCCCCAGCCCAGGGTTCTCTTTCCTTCAGACACACAGAGTTTGCATTCACAAAGAGAAGTGGGGAAAGAATGCCGCCTTGTTTTCTTCAATTCCCCACACAATCATGTCCCAAGCAAGACCTCGCTTGCATGGATGCAAGCAAGAGGATGCAGTGGCAGAGTGTGGGTTCAAATCCTCACTGTGCCACAAGCTGTATGGCTTTGGCTCACTTAGCCTCTGTATGCCTCAGTTTCTCCATATGTGAAGTGGGGATGATGATCATGATAGCAGCTATCTCACAGGTGAGGTTCAAGTTAATACATGGAAAGCTCTTCAATAAAGAGTCGTTACTAGCATGCTTTTTTTTTTTTTTTTTTTTTGTAAAGGTGGGTTCTCGCCATCTTACCCAGGCTAGTCTCGAACTCCTGGGCTCGAGGGATCAGTGTTCTTTTTATTAAAAGGAATAAGCCTTCCAGAAATACCAGATACAATGCTAGATACATATTTGCAAAGAGAAGGGTGAAAAGTAAGTCTACTTTCATGCCCGTCAGGCACCTCGAACTCACCACATCCAGAATCAATCTCATTACTCCTCCCCCAAAGTAATGCCCGTTGAACTCTTCTTGATGAATGTTCTGCTGCCAGAAACATGATCTACCTGGATCCCCCCGCTTCATTCCCCACCTGCAACCCATCACCAAGACCTGTCCACATGACTCCCAAAGAGCTCCTAGGACCACCTCCGTGTCTCCCTGTCCCTAGGGTGGACCCACAGGTTGAGCTTCCCTTGAAACTCCGCTACCCACAGGTTTGCTTCAAGATAGAGCACGTGACCCACCCTGTGTGGCCCAGAACAGCAGAGACAGCTTCCTTTTGTGATGCCCACCAGGGTTCCCCTGACCCTCAATTCTGGTCTGGTTCCAGACACCCCAATTCCTAGCAGCCGGCCCCGGCTCAGCACCTAACCCACACTGGGCAAGGATGCTCTCTGGCTACAAACCCCTTCGATGGCTCCCCACTGCTCCTAGACTACAGCTCCAGCTCCTTCCCCTGCCAGGCTTGGTCTGGCCCGTTCCTCTTGCTGCCAGCCTCAGCACCAGCCCTGAGCCTGAGAAGCCCTCACAGTGTCCAGCACAGCTCCCTTGCCATCACTTCACACACACACACCACCTTTTGCCTTTGGCTAAACCAGTCCTTTCTCTCTCCCAGGCTGCCATCCCACTGCCTAGGTGACCCAAACTGCCTTCCTCATATGCGGTCTCGGAGGGATGAAGGAGGGGTGCCGCCTCTGCTTGACCTGGGGGTTCCCCCTCTCGCCCCTATCACAGATGGGCAGGACCTCTCCCCCAAGGTTGGACTTCCCCAAGGCAGGATTTGCAGGGTGTGGGGTAGGGGCAGTCGCGGAGAGGAATGGATTTGAGAGGCTGCCCAGGGTGCTGAAGGAACTAGGGAGGCTAATGGACGTCTAAAGATGGGGCCGTGGCTCCCCCTGCTGACGGGAGGCCATATTGCACCCTGTGTCAAGGCAGCCCAGAGCTGGCTTAAGCTCCAAGCCGAAGCGATCTGGCCACGTGCCTGGACTGGAAGAGCTGGCTGTTCTGAGCGAGTGCCGGTTTCTTCTGTAAGGCTGGCTCTGGCACTCCTGCTCATTGCTCCCAGACCCACAAAGATCATTTTTATCATCCCCGTAAAACCACCCCTCCAATAGAGGGCGTCCTCCTGGAGGGCAGGCGCCTCTTCTGATAGGCCCAGGTCAGTGCCCAGCACCTGGCCCAGAGTAGAGGCTCAGTCAACATCTGACCAAAACAACAGCAAGTAGGTATCGTGGGAGTCCAGTGTGAACAACAGAGAAGATGGGAAGGGGGGCCCACAGCAGGGGTGCCCACAGGCAACAAGGCCCCACGTAGGGGTGAGGGCAGGTGGGACAGGTCTTGGAGGCGAGGAAGCCGTGGTACTGGCTGACTGAGGTCCCCTGTGGGGCCCAAAGCCTGGAGCGAAGGATGGCCTGGGAGCGGCTGTGGGGATGGAGGAGGAGGCTGCCCACCCACCTCCAGCCTGCTCTCCCTGGTGGAAGCCAGGTCCCCTGGCTCCAACCCTGAACCCCACTCCAGCCTTCACCCACAAGACCCAGGCCAGCCTTGGTTTGAGCCTCACCGCCTCCCTTTGGGGCCCAAAGTTCAACAAGGAGAGTGATCTTCTCTACCATTCTCGCCAGTCAAGCCATGGGTCATCAGGCTTACACTCTGAGGGCTGGCAGGGAGCAAGGGTCTCAGAGTGGAGGGAGGGGTGGCCAGCTTGCCTGGAACTCTCGCTGGGGCCAAGAAGTGGCTCTAGGGGTCTTCCCCTGATGGGCCCAAGAGAAAGGCCTAGAGGGGCCAGCAGAGCTTTGGGACCCAGCAAGGCAGGGCTCTGGAGCCCTGGCCCCTCCAAAATGGAGGTTGGTGGGGCTGGGGCCACTCAGACCAGAGGACAGGCCACGGCTCTCCACTTCAGAAGCCACCGCCAAGCTGCCACTGCTCCCAGAGCCCCAGCTGCCAGCCCAGGTCTACCCCAGCCTGGAGCCTGAGGGTTCCAAAGCCCCCGCACAGCAGAGGGGAAGAGGGCCCTGTGTCGCCCTCTCCTGGACAAGGAGCTCCTCTCACCCCCTGACCCTGGGGTCCCCTACTCTTCTGCTCGACAAGATGGCCTCTGGCCATCAAGAAAGGGAAGGGAGGGAGGGATGGAAGGTGACAGTCCTGGGCTCTGGTCGCCCTCCATGCACCTGTGAGCCCTTCCCAGTCCCAGGCACCTGGCTGAGGCACCCCAGGCCCGGCCCTGCATGGCAGGGGCACTGGAGCACATCCCTGGGGGTCTGGAGCCAGCACTCAGCCTCCTGACTGCGCCCCCTGCTGGCAGCCCAGCAGGCGTGCGCTGCCTCCACTTTGTCCCAGGACCCCAAGGCTGGGCAGTTACACCTCTGGGGTGGCAGAGCTGCCCGGCCACGCTGCCACTTGTTGGTGCTTTGGGGGGAGGGGACAGGAAGTTTTTGGACAGTTGGAAACTTGTCTGGGGAAGCAGAGGTTCAGGTGGCAGTGGGCGAAGCCGTGTGGCAGGCTCTCATTGGTTTCCTTCCCACAAGTGACCAGGTCCCCTCCACACTCGCCGCACCCCCAGGTCACCACTGGCCCATTGCTGTATCTTTCTTTATTGGTTTGGGGAAAACTGGAGGGGGCTGGAAGGCCATGACCATGACACAAGCAGGACCACCCACACTCAGCGAAGCACACAACAGCCGTGCAGGAAAGACAGCCCCTGAGGCCCGCCTGCCAGCACCCCCTCGGCTTTTGGCGGGGCGGGGGGGGCAGGGGCGGGAGAGGCAACAGGGGAGGGGAGCCACTGCCCCCAGGCAGGGCAGAGCCTGGGGACAGACTTGGGGGTGCCCCATTCCAACCCCAGCGCCATGCGCCACACCCTCAAATCTCAAAATCCAGCAGAGGCCAGCCCCAGGGGGAGGGGTTGGGGGAGGGGACCGAAAGCATCCAAGGGAAGGAAATCTGGGGGTCAGTCCACTTGGCCTCGGCATCTGCCTGAGAGGGAGAAGCAGAGGGAAAGGGGGTAGTCAGGAGCCGGCCTGCCAGCCCTGTGCCCCCACCCCCCGCCTCGGTCAAATCCCGGACTTCTTAGAGGCCCTCTCCCCCTGCACCCCCTTGCCCAATGTCAAGCACCCACTGGCCCTCCCTGTCCTTCCACCTCTCCTGGGGCCCTGGCTCCTCCCTCTGCTCTCTGCCTTCAGTCCTCTGGCCTGTGGGGGCCACCCCACTTAGCTCTTGGCCACATGGAGCGCCACCACCCTCTAAGCTCTCCAAGGAGCCAGCTCCTGGGCGTGCAGGGTCCACCCAAACACACCTGGGCATCACCACTTGGGGGGCTGGCCAGCACGGAGGCCTGAGTGGCTGTGGCGGGCCATGCCCTGCTCAGAGGCCCCCTCGCCCTCTGGGATCTGCCCCAGCTTCCGGATGTGGCGCAGGAACGAGGTGGCATTGAAGGCTCGCTGCCAGAAGAGAGGGAGATCAGGCCAGGCCTGGGCCCAGGCCCCAGCCCCTAGACTGTGAGGACTGCAGTGGTCACTGGGCAGCCACGGCGATCAGGCTACAGCTGGGGTGCGGCGGGCGACCACACTGGGTCTCTCTCCACACTGACCTTCCAGTGTGTCCGAGCAAAGTTCTTCCGGATCTGCTCACTGACAGAGCCTAAGATGTCCCTGTCGAAGGCTGTGTCCCCAGAGATCCTGGGGAAAGGCTGAAGGTCAGGGGGGGTCTCTCTGCAAATGCAGGCCCCCTGGCCCTGGGGCAGCTCAGCAGGGCTCCCACTCACCAAAGGTGCCGCAAGGCCTGTTGGCAGGTGAACCTCTTCTGGGGGTCTCGCTCCAGAAGGTGCCGGATGAAGTCTTTGGCTGGAACAGGGAGGCTGGGTCAGCCTGTCAGGTCCCCACTCCCTTGCATCACCTCCAAGCACGGGCCAGCCTCAAGCTCACCTGATTCTGAGATGTCATCCCAGAAAGGAGAGTCAAACTCATAGCTGGCCCTCAGGATCTGGCTGAAGAGCTCAGGGTCGCTCTCGTCGTAGAAGGGGGGGTACCCACACAGCCTGGCACCCACAGATGAATCATCCAGCTGTCCCACCCTCCCCAACCCAGCAGGGGCAGGCAGGCAGGAGACAAGCCTTCCCAGCGGTCACTCACAGGATGTAGGAGATGACGCCCAGGGCCCACACATCTACGGCCTTCCCGTAGGGTTTCTGCTCCAAGAGCTCTGGGGCTGGGGGCCAGAGACAGACAGACGCACGCACAGGCACACACGCAGCCATGCCGCTCAGTGTCACTGGCTCGGCCTACTCAAGCCCAGGAATGGCCCACACAAAGGCAACGGGCACAACAGCCTTCCCGGCTGTCTAGGGTCCCCCAGGCCACCCCACTCCCAGCAAGCCTCAGGGTGTCGTCCCTCACCCACATATCCAGGGGTCCCACAGGCGGTGCCTAGCATGTTCCCAGCCTGGATTTTGGAGAGTCCAAAGTCAGAGACCATGATCTTCGAGTCCTCAAAGGGCGTGGCATACAGGAGGTTTTCGGGCTGTGACACACGGACACCGGGAAAAGGGCCAGTCAGTCCTGACGCGGTGCCGGTGCTGGGACAGGATGGGGACTAGGCACTCTCAGGTTCCCCAGAGCCTTGGTGGAGCAGGAGATCAAGAAAGGCCCCAGCCGTGCTCCCGGGAAAACAAAGGCAGGGCCAGGTGGGCAGGTGGGAGGGTGGGGTGCAGAGGCCCCAGCCAGGCACCTTGAGGTCCCGGTGCACGATCCCCAGGCTGTGCAGGTAGGAGACGGCGCCAAGGACCTGACCCACCAGATGGCTGGCATCCTTCTCTGTGTAGGAGCCGCGCTCCATGATGCGGTCAAACAGCTCGCCACCCGTCACCCTGGGGGTGCCAGGGGTTTGGCTGACCCAGGCACTCAGCCTGGCCTTCAGCCCCACTCACTGCTCAGTCCCTCCCCGGCTCCCACAGCCTGCCCAGGCCCTCCTCACAGTTCCATGGCCAGGTAGAGGTGGGAAGGGCTCTCGTGGACATCCTCCAGAGCGACGATGTTGGGGTGACTGATCCTGCAATGGCAAGGAAGCGCCTGTGGGCCAACAGAGTCAAGGGGTGCTCTGTCCTGAGGCCCTGGGGAAAGCCTCCTCCCTCTTCTCTTCCTCCCACCTCTGCTCCCCATTCCCTACCACATGCCACCCCTGCCCGGTCCAGGAAGGCAGAGCTCCAGCCTGAGCCCCGGCCTTCCTTCTAAAGCCCATTTGAAAAGCACAGATCAATATCAACTCACTCCCTTTGCCACAGGGATGTGCAGGCCCAGAGAGAGCACTGCCCCAGGCCTCCCAAAGGTTGGTGGCCAGGCCTGGACTAGAGCCAAGGACTGCTTGCACCCCCCCATCGACCTATGCCCCGTCCCAGGGCCCCGCGAGGTGCGCACCTACGGAGCACTGCGATCTCGTTCTCCACCAGGGCCTCCTTGCCCCGGAGGGCCTTCTTGGGGATGCACTTGAGGGCCACGAGGTGTGCGGAGCCCCGCTCCTGGGCCAGCACCACCTCGGAGAAGGCACCCCTGCCGCAGACGGGGCGGTGGGAGGTGGGAAGGAAGTGGGAAGAGAGGAGAGGCAGGAGGGAGAGAGAGTGGAGCGGGGAGGGCCCCCTGTGAAGGAGATGGGGAGGCCCTACCTGGCCCTGTGCCACCCCCCACCACCACTCACACATGCCATCTCACAGACTCACTCACATTCACACACCCCTACATATTCACACACACACACATCATCTCACACCCACTCGCGTAGTCACACACACATGCCATCTCACACAGGTACACACACACACACACACACACACACACGATCACACACGCGCGCGCACACTCACGAGCCGAGCCTCTCGCGGATCTCGTAGACGCTGCTGATGTCCTCCGTGTGTTTCTTCAGCAGCAGCATGTCTGCAGGGGCAGGGGAGAGGTGATGGGGGTCTCTCCCCGCCCCGCCGGGGGCAAGGGCAGCTTCCTCCTCCACCCCCTGCCAGGCAGGCCTCAGCCATTGCCGCTGCGCGCTCGACCCTCCCCTCCCCCGTCCAGGTCCACACCCCCAGACGGACGCCTCCCAGCGAGGCCACCGCATACACGCCTCCACATCCCAGGCCTACAGCTGCTATCCCACGCACCCTCCCCCGCACCCCGAAGGCGACCAGCGCCTGGATGCTGCCTCTCTGCCTCCACACATCCGGCCGCTTTCCAGAAGGCTCCATGCTCACCCACGCCGTCCCTCCCCCATCCACACATCTACAGCGCCCAAGCCCCCACCCCCGCCTAGACCCGCCACCCATGGCACAGCGCCCACAGGCACCCGCTGCCCAAGCCACCAAGCCGCCCGGGATGCACCTGCGACCCCCGCGCGCAGCCACCTGCCAAGACCGCGGCCACCCACGCGGCCGCAGACGCAGCCCAGCCCTCGGCGCCGCGGAGCAGGGGGACCTGGCAGCCTGGGCCGCCCGCGTCCCGAGCTGCGTGGACCGAGCGCGTGCGGGCAGGGGGCGCGCCAGGCGTGACAGGTGTGCTGCGGACGCGCAAGGCTGCGGCGGCCGCGGGCCGGATCCGGTGCGCCCCCGCCCCGCGCGTCCCCGCGCCCCGGAGCAGGTGCAGACCTGGAGCGGGTGCCGCAGCGTCGTGCCGCGCAGTGGCCGCAGCGCCAAGCCCCCCGCCCGCGCCCCGCCGGCCCCGCCCCCTCCGCGCACGCCCCCGCCAGCCGCCCAAGCACGCAGTGGCCCAGCGCGGCCGCGGCGCCGCAGGGCACCTTGTAAGGCAATCGCCGGGATCCGGCTCGGGTGCCGGCCGCCACCGCCCAGCCCACTGCTCGCTCGCGCCGCCTCCCGGAGCTGCGGCCCGGCTGGGCCGGCCCCAGGGCCTTTGCACCACCGGTGGCTGTCTCCCGGAGAGCTCTTCGGCCACAGGTCGGCAAGGCTCTCTGCCTTCCAGTCTCTGCCTTCACCGCCTCTCCGAGGACAGGCTGACCCGGCCACTTGCCCGAAAGCAGCCTCCATGCCTAGCTCCAGGACCCTGCAACCCTGCACCACAGCTCTGCCACCCTGGGCTCCCGGCACTCACTGGGCTCCCTCTGGCTCCACCATTAATCCCTCACCCTCGCTTTCTTCTCTACCCAGCAGCCAGAGCATTCCTTTTATTGAGATCATGTCACCCTCCTGCAGCTCTCTATGTCAATCCAAGTCAAAGCATGAGTCCTTAGGGGGCGGCCTAACGACTGCCCTGGCCCCTCCTCCTCCACCTCTTCCCCGGCCACACTGGCCTCCTGACGGCCCTAGCCTTTGCTCCCCTGCCTGGAATGTTCTTCGATCAGATATCTGCCTGGCTTGGCTCCTCGTTCCATCAGATCTCGGCTCAAATGTCCCCTCCTCAAACCGGCCTCCCCCGCCCTGCCCCTGCCAATTCTCTCCGCATAACCCTGCCCTGTCTTTAGAACGTCCAACCGCAAAAATCACCTTCTTCGCCTGGTCTTCCTCACCAAAGCGTCCGCTCCCAGAGAGTGTATCTCCGCGAACCCAACCAAGACGAGCCCAGGAAATAAGTGCGGGTGACCGAATTCAATCCTGCATCCAACAGTTACTGGACCCCCCTCGC
Source organism: Homo sapiens (assembly GCF_000001405.40). Taxonomy (NCBI): domain Eukaryota; kingdom Metazoa; phylum Chordata; class Mammalia; order Primates; family Hominidae; genus Homo; species Homo sapiens. The sequence continues at coordinate 153,674,771 of NC_000023.11, forward strand.
TGCTCGCCATCCAGTCCCATGAGGTTGTGGCCAGCATCACAAGGGTTCCGTCAAGTGACCGTGGGCCCTGGCATGACACGACGTCTTCAAGAGAGTCCACGGGGCAGGAAGAGTTTTTAAAAAATCATTTTTCCAGACCTCAACTCCCATATATACTCTGTGTAAAAACTGGGAAATCTGAGAAGGCCCCTAGCAGCTCTTGCCCCCTGGCCTTTCCCAGTCACCCCTCCCAGGACACTGCAGAAGGCTCCAGGGACCCCAGCACTCAGAAACTCCAGTCCCACCTGCTCCTCTATGTGAAAATGGTTTCCTGGGACCGACATCTAAAACAGAAAAAAATAGGAATGGAACTGATGGTGAGCCCCTTCTCATGACAGCAGGAAGTGCAATTTGTTTACAGATACCTACAGATAGTTCCCCAGAATGTCTAATACGCCAATGGTGCTTTGCCCAAGCAGAGTTCTACAACATGGTCCTGGGTTATAAAAAGAAATAGAAATACACATATTTCTGTGCCCCAGAAAAGTAATAAAAAACTGCCCGCGTGGAAAGAGATGGCACAAAGAGACCTATCTGAGGGGCAGCAGATGGAAACTGGAGGCCAGAAGGAAAGCACCCACCTCCAAAGTGGGCCTGGGAAAGACGAGCCAGCGGGCAGGTATTGGTCCACGAGGTGACTCAGGTGGCCCTGGCCTCATGTAAAAGCTGATGGCACAGTTTTTGTTTGAATCATTGTATCATGGGGTTTTTTTTGGTTTGTTATTGTTGTTGTTGTTTGAGACAGGGTCTCACTGTCGCCCAGGCTGGAGTGCAGTAGTGCCATCTCAGCTCACTGCAGCCTCTGCCTCCTGGGTTCAAGCAATTCTCCCGCCTCAGCCTCGAGTAGCTGGGACTACAGGTGCATGCCACCACACCAAGCTAATTTTTGTATTTTTAGTAGAGGCAGGGTTTTACCATGTTGGCCAGGCTGGTCTCGAACTCCTGACCTCAGGTGATCTGCCTGCCTCAGCATCCCAAAGTGCTGGGATTACAGGCGTGAGCCACCGCACCAGGCCTATATTGTGTGTTTACAAGAGAAATTACACCCTCCGGCCTGGCAAGGTGGCTTATGCCTGTAATCCCAGCACTTCAGGAGGCTGAGGCTGGAGGATCACTTGAGCCCAGGAGTTCCAGCCTAGCCTGGGCAACATAGCTTTTCTTTTCTTTTTTTTCTTTTCTTTTTTTTTTTTTTTTTTTGAGATGGAGTGTAGAAAGTAAAAAGTTCCTCTTCAAAGTTTCCCTTCTTATTAAAAAATAAATCATAAGTTTAGAAATAATAGTTTCTTTTAAAGACTAACTTCCTTCAAGCCTCCTTGCTTTGTGCTAATAACTCTTTGTTAAGCCCTATCCTATGTAGCTGTTAAACATGCTTACAGGCACGTAGTACATTCTATGTCCTTGTACTTTAACCAAGATATCTGTGCTGGACGTGCTCACAGGCATGTCCCAGCTCGCAGCCTATCTCCCTTTCCTATTGGGGAATATTATTACTTTTCTAAGCCGTTTCGTAAGCAACTTCCTCTTTTCCTTTATCCTTCCATTACTTTTATCTATTTTCAAAAGTTTTAAACTACTAGCCAATCGGGTTTTAGGTTAGATTGTGAGGTCTGGCTGCAGCCAATGGAAACAGGACACAGTAGCAAGGACAAACGGCATAAGGAATAAAAATTGCTTCCCTCCTTTGTTTGGTGTACTCATGTGGCAAAACTGCTGGCGAGTGTACCCTTTCCGCAGAAAGTTAAAAAATGGCCTTGCTAAGGAGATTAAACTTATGCCGGGTGTGGTGGCTCATGCCTGTAATCCTAGCAGTTTGGGAGGCCAAGGTGGGCAAATCACCTGAGGTCAGGAGTTCGACACCAGCCTGGCCAACATGGTGAAACCCCGTCTCTACTAAAAATGTAAAAATTAGCCGGGCATGGTGGCTCACGCCTGTAATCCCAACTACTTGGGAGTCTGAGGCAGGAGAATAGCTTGAACCTGGGAGGTGGAGGTTGCAGTGAGCCAAGATCGTGCCATTGCACCCCAGCCTGGGGCACAAGAGTGAGACTTCATCTCAAAAAAAAAAAAAAAGAAAGAAAGAAAGAAAAAGAAAATTAAATTTATGTTCAAGTGCTATTTCTTTGTGCCACCGGGGAACAAACATTTCTAACATGGAGTCTCAGTCTTGTCACCCAGGCTGGCAGGCAATTGTGTGATCTCCGCTCACTACGACCTCCGCCTCCTGGGCTCAAGCGATTCTCCCACTTCAGCCTCCCAAGTAGCTGGGACTACAGGCACCCGCCACCACGCTGGGCTAATTTTTGTATTTTTGGGTAGAGACAGTTTCACCATGTTGGCAGGCTGATCTCGAACTCCTGACCTCAGATGATCCACCCTCCTCGGCCTCCCAAAGTGCTGGGATTACAGGCGTGAGCCACCGCGCCCAGCCACCTGTGTCCTTTTGATGTCCGTTCATCACTGCATGTGTGTGTGCATGCCCGTGTAGGTGTGGGCGTGTCTGTCTCTGTGAGCCCTTCCTTACTTTCTGGCTCTGTGCTCATCCCTTATATTTCCTGAACCGGTCCTAGAAGCAGCCGTTTTCTCTAAGGAGCCATTTTTGAGAGAATGGTGTTGGAGACGAAGATCTGGGCGCTAGGTGTGCCCATTGTTCCTGGAGTATTGCTGCTTCTAGGCCCTCTCCACTGACAGCAAGAACTTATAGTGTGTGTGTGTATATACATATATATACATAGTGTGTATATATATATAGTGTGTATATATAGTGTGTATATATAGTGTATATATATATATAGTGTGTATATATATAGTGTATATATATAGTGTGTATATATATAGTGTATATATATAGTGTGTATATATATATAGTGTGTATATATAGTGTATATATAGTGTGTGTATATATATAGTGCATATATATAGTGTATATATAGTGTGTATATATAGTGTGTATATATAGTGTGTATATATATAGTGTGTATATAGTGTGTGTATATATAGTGTGTATGTATATATATAGTGTATATAGTGTATATATAGTCTGTATATAGTGTGTATATATACACTAACCCATGTACATATAGATAGATATGTAGTATATATAGTGTATATATATACACTAACCCATGTACATATAGATAGATAGATATACAAGCCCATATAATACCCATTTAATATATATACCAACCCATGTTATGTTACTAACATAACATCTATAAACAGATACACACGCGCATCAGTATCTATATTAAACTCAACAGGAGTGCACACTGATGTCTCCAACTCTAATCCATCACCACCTGGGTCATTCTAGCTGCCTGCCCTTGCTTGTCTATAACCTCCCACTCTAAAAGTGAGAAACCCAGGCCAGGCACGGTGGCTCATGCCTGTAACCCCAGCACTTTGGGAGGCTGAGGCAGATGGATCATCTGAGATCTGGAGTTCAAGACAAGCGTGGCCAACATGGTGAAACCCCAAATCTACCAGAAATATGAAAAATTAGCCAGGCATGGTGGTGCATGCCTGTGGTCCCACCTACTCGGGAGGCTGAGTTAGGAGGATCTCTTGAGCCTAGGAGGTCAAGGCTACAGTGAGCCATGATTGTGCCACTGCACTCCAGCCTGGGCCACACAGCAAGATCCTGTCTCTAAAAATAAAATTAAAAATTAAAATTAAAGTGAGAAACCTGGCTCCCACCGTCTTCCATCCATTGCCGTAGTTCTTGAATTCCGGTATAAAGGTGGAGAGGTTGCAGAATCATTCACCTCTACCCTGGTGGGGGGTGATCTTATCAATTAGAGTGCGGCGCTTATGTGTTCTTCCTTTTGCTCTTAGTCTGACAGATGCCTATTTTAAGTTCCCTCTGTCTGCTGTAAAGTTCTATGGGTTTTGACATATTCAGAGTGTCACGTGTCCACCATTACAGCATCATACAGAACAGTTTCCCTGTGCTACAGAATCCCTGTGCTGCGCCTACCAAGCACGATCCCCTCTCTCAGACCCCTGGCAACCATGGATCCGTTTTCTGTCTTTTTTTTTTTTTTTTTAATCTATTTTGCTTTTTCCGGAATGTCAGGTAAATGGAGTCATAGAGTAGGTAGCTTTGTCAGGCTTTTTACTATGCAATATGTATTTAAGATTAACTTATTTCTTTGCATGGGTTCATAGCTTTCCCCTCTTTATCACTGACTAGTATTCCATTGTCCAGATATACCACATTTTATTTGTTCACCTACTGAGGAACATCTTAATTGCTTCCAGTTTTTGCCAATTACGAATAAAGCTGCTAATACTATCGCACTGGTCTTTAAGGAAAAAAAGGCTGCTATAAATATATGTGGGGTGGTTTTTGTGTGGACATAAGTTTTCAAATCATTTGGGTAAATACCAAGGAGTGTGATTGCTGAATTGTATGGTAAGAGTATACTTAGCTTCGGAAGGAACTGCCAACCGCTTTTCAGGGTGGCTGTACCTCGTCACATTCTCACCAGCAATGAGTGGGAGTTCTTGCTGCTCCAGGTCCTCGCCAGCATTAGGAGTTGTCAGTGTTTTGGATTTTGGCTATCTAGTAGGTATGCAGCGGTATCTCCTTGTGGTTTTAATTTGCAATTCCCTAAAGATGTATGCTGTTAAACATCTTCTGATATGCTTATTTGCCATTTGTATTTCTTCTTTGGAGAGGCATCTGTTCAGATCTTTTGCCCATTTTTAAATTGGGTTGTTTTCTTATTGAGTTGGGATTTTTCTTTTCTTTTCTTTTCTTTTTTTTTTTTTTTTTTTTTTTGAGACACAGTCTTATTCTGTTGCCCAGGCTGGAGTGCAGTGGTGCAATCTCAGCTCACTGCAACCTCTGCCTCCTGAGTTCAAGCGATTCTCCTGCCTCAGCCTCCCGAGTAGCTGGGATTACAGGCACCCGTCACCATGCCCAGCTAATTTTTGTATTTTTAGTAGAGGCAGGGTTTCACCATGTTGGCCAGGCTGGTCTCGAACTCCTGACCTCAGGTGATCCACCTGCCTCGGCCTCCCAAAGTGCTGGGATTACAGGCATGAGCCACCGCACCTTGCCAAGACCCCATCTTCTTCAAAAAATTTACAAATTAGCCGGGTGTGGTGGTGTGTACCCATAGTCTCAGTTACTTGGGAGGCTGAGGCAGCAGGATCACTTGAGTCCAGGAGTTGGAGGCTGCAGTGAGCCATGATCATGCCACTGCACTCCACCCTGGCAACCAGAGAGTGATAGCACAACTCAAAAAGAAAAGAGAAAAGAAATTACACCCTTTGCAACTGTGTAAACATCTGCTGAAATCCTGTACGTGTCAACTTTGAAATGTATGTGTGTTGGTTGGGTGGTGGTGATGTGATACGGTTTGGATGTCTGTCCCCTCCAAATCTCATGTTGAACTATAATCCCCAATGTTCAAGGTGGCGTCTAATGGTACGTTTTTGGGTCATGGCGGTGGATCCCTCATGAATGGCGTGGTGCCGTCCTCACAATAATGAGTGAGTTCTTGCTCTGAGTCCATACGAGATCTGGTTGTTTGAAAGAGTCTAGCACCTCCTCCACCCTCACTCTCTTGCTCCCATTCTTGCCATGGATATGCCGGCTCCCTCTTCACCTTCCACCATGAATGGAAGCTTCCTGAGGGTGTCACTAGAAGCAGATGCTGGCACCACACTTCCTGTATAGTCTCCAGAACCATGAGCCAAAATAAGCCACTTTTCTTTATAAATTACCCAGCCTCAGATTTTTTTTTTATAGCAATGCAAGAACGGGCTCACATATGACAGATAAAGAGCTGTAGTCCCAGCTACTTGGGAGGCTGAGGCAGGAGAATCACTTGAACCCGGGAGGTGGAGGTTGCAGTGAGCCAAGATTGTGCCACTGCACTCCAGCCTGGGCAACAGAGTGAGACTCTGTCTCAAAAAAAAACCTAGCCTTCAGGGCTGGGCGCGGTGGCTCATGCCTGTAATCCCAGCACTTTGGGAGGCCGAGGAGGGTGGATCATCTGAGGTCAAGAGTTCGAGATCAGCCTGGCCAACATGGTGAAACTGTCTCTACCAAAAAATACAAAAATTAGCCGGGCGTGGTGGTGGGTGCCTGTAGTCCCAGCTACTTGGGGGGCTGAAGTGGGAGAATTGCTTTAGCCCAGGAGGCGGAGGTTGCAGTGAGCGGAGATCACACAACTGTCCGCCCGCCTGGGCAACAGAGTGAGAACCTGTCTCAAAAAAAAAAAAAAAAAAAAAAGGACAAAGGACACAGGAGCCAACCGAAAGAGAGTCCAATGGTCCAAGATGGAAAATTTGAGCAAGAAAATAAAGAGTTGTGTTAGATTAAAACCAAATATAAGGTACACATCTATGAGTCCATACCGTTATAAATAAATGATTACATAAATAAATGTGGGAGAACAGACAACACTCCTGCACAGAACAAAACATTACTTGTGTAGATACTGCCCCTCCAGGAGGTGGCCCCGCTCCCTAACTGGGCCTCACGGAGCGGCTTCCTTCCCAAGAGCACGGTATGGAAAGGGGGAACAGTCACTTCCCAGTGGAGAGACCCGACAAACAGGACCCCAGCCGGTCGTTCCAGGTCTACATGGCCCCCGATGAGGCGCTTCACCCCCGTGGTCTTCCTCCTGATCACCCCTGAGGCCCACCTGATCATGGGAAACAGCAAAAGTTTCCCAACAGAGGTTGTTTTACAACACACTGCCCAGTCCTCCTCGAAGCTGTTAGGGCCACCAAGAACAAGGAGTCTGAGAAACTGTCACAGCCAAGAGGAGCCTCAGGAGACAGGATGACTAAATGCAACATGTGATCCTGACAGAAAAAGGACATTAGGGAAAAGCCAAGAAAACCTGAATAAACTATGGGCTTTAGATACTAACAGTGTTGATTCATTGTTTGCAATAACTGATGTTGATTCATTAATTGCAATAAATGAGCTGTCCTAACATAAGAGGCTAATAAGGCGGGAGATGGGGGTGGGCTGTATGGGAATTCTTGGTACCCTCTTTACAGTTTTTCTGTACATCTAAAACTAGTCTAGAAGGTGAGGGTTGAAAAATTACCTATTGGGTACAACGTTCACTATTCAGGTTGTAACCACCTAATGGGTTCATTTTGCTCACTGCCCAGATAGATAGAGCCAATTTATCAAGACAGGGGAATTACAATAAAGTTTTGTTTTGTTTGTTTGAGACAGAGTCTTGCTCTGTCACCCAGGCTGGAGTGCAGTGGCGCGATCTCAGCTCACTGCAACCTCCGCCTCCTGGGTTCAAACAATTCTCCAGCCCCAGCCTCCCGAGTAACTGGGACTACAGGCACGCACCACCGTGTCTGGCTAATTTTTGTATTTTTAGTAGGGACAGGGTTTCACCATGTTGGCCAGGCTGGTCTCTAACTCCTGACCTCAGGTGATCTGCCTGCCTCGGCCTCACAAAGTGCTGGGATTACAGGTGTGGGCCACCGCACCGGCCTGTTTTGTTTTGAGGCAGGGTGTCGCACTGTCTCTCAGGCTGGAGTGCAGTGGTACAATCACGGCTCACGGCACCCTTGACCTCTTGAGCTCAAGTGATCCTCTTGCCTCAGCCTCCCCATAGCTGGGAGCACAGGTGCGTGTCACCGCCCCAGCTAATTTTTAAATTTTTTGTAGAGACAAGGTTTCGCTATGTTGCCCAGGCTGGTCTCGAACCCCTGGGATCAAGTGATCTGTGTCAGGCCTCTGAGCCCAAGCTAAGCCATCATATCCCCTGTGACCTGCACATATACATCCAGATGGCCTGAAGCAACTGAAGATCCACAAAAGAAGTGAAAATAGCCTTAACTGATGACATTCCACCATTGTGATTTGTTTCTGCCCCACCCTAACTGATGTACTTTGTAATCTCCCCCACCCTTAAGAAAGTTCTTTGTAATCTCCCTCACCCTTGAGAAGGTTCTTTGTAATTTGTAATTCTCCCCACCCTTGAGAATGTACTTTGTGAGATCCACCTCCTGCCCACAAAACATTGCTCCTAACTCCAGCGCCTATCCCAAAACCTATAAGAACTAATGATAATCCCATCACCCTTTGCTGACTCTCTTTTCGGACTCAGCCTGCCTGCACCCAGGTAAAATAAACAGCCTTGTTGCTCACACAGAGCCTGTTTGGTAGTCTCTTCACATGGACGTGTGAGACAATCTGCCCACCTGGTCCTCCCAAAGTGCTGGGATTACAGGTGTGAGTCACCAGGCCCAGCCGAGAAAGAGTTGAATACACGTAGAGGAGACTGGAGTTTTATTATTACTCAAATCAGCTGCCCTGAAAATTTGAAGGCTGGGATTTATTTATTTATTTTTTATTTTTTTGAGATGGAGTCTCGCTCTGTCGCCCAGGCTGGAGTGCAGTGGCATGAGCTAGGCTCACTGCAAGCTCCGCCTCCCAGGTTCAAGCGATTCTCCTGCCTCAGCCTCCTGAGTAGCTGGGATTACAGGCCCGTGCCACCACACCTGGTTAATTTTTTGTATTTTTAGTAGAGACGGGGCTTCACCATGTTAGCCTGGATGGTCTTGATCTCCTGACCTCGTGATCCACCCATGTTGGCCTCCCAAAGTGTTGAGATTACAGGCATGAGCCACCGTGCCCAGCCCTGAAGGCTAGGTTTTTTTTTTGAGACAGAGTCTCACTCTGTTGCCCAGGCTGGAGTGCAGTGGCACAATCTTGGCTCACTGCAACCTCCACCTCCCGGGTTCAAGCGATTTCCGGCTAACTTTTGTATTTTTAGTAGAGACAGGGGTTTCACCATGTTGGCCAGGCTGCTCTTGAACTCCTGACCTCAAGTGACCCACCCGCCTGGGCCTCCCAAAGTGCTAGGATTACAGGTGTGAGCCACCGCACCCAGCCCGAAAGCTAGGATTTTTTAAAGATAGTTTGGCGGACAGGGGGCTAGGGAATGGGTGCTGCTGACTGGTTGGGTGGGGGATGATTCTTGTGTGCTGAGCTGAGTCTGCTTTTAGGTAGGGCCACAGGACCTTGAGTCATAGGTCTATGTGGTCCGGGTGGAGCCATCTGGTAGTGAGAAATGCAAAAACCTGCAAAGACGTCTCAAAAAGCCAACCTTAGGTTCTACAATAGTGACATTATCTACAGGAGTAATTGGAGAAGTTACAAATCTCTTGAGCTCTGAACAATGGCTGGTCATCATGAATGCTTCCATGTTAGCAGAATTCAGGCCCCTCTCATCCTCCTCACCTGATGGCCTTTCATTACTTTTACAAAGGCGGTTTCATCTTGGGAAGGTCTGTTATCATTTAAACTATAAACGAAATTTCTCCCAAAGTTAGCTTGGCCCATGCCCAGGAAAGACCAAAAACAGTTTGGAGGGTAAATGCAGACAGGGTTGGTTAGATCAGCTCTCTCACTGGCAGAATTTTGTTACTGTTACAGTTTTTGCAAGGCAGCTTTAGGGTGATGGGTCTGCACGGAATATATGCATGTAACAGAACCGCGCTTGTACCCTCTCAATCTATAAAACAAATAAAACCAGCCTAATAAAAGTTTACATAAAATGTAAAAAACAAAGCAAAGCCTCCTTTCTGCGGGTCTGTGTAAACGAGCACAGCTGGTGGGAAGGGCGCGGGTGGGGGGTTCTGCTGCCCCCCATCCCTGCCCTGCTGCAGGCCCTCGCCCCCAGCCCCATTCTTTCTGTTCTCCGCTTGGCTGCAGCCGCACGTCGGCCCCCTCCCCAGGAGCTGGAAGTACAAAGCCCTTCCAGGTGGACTCTGGCTCCCCCTTTGTTCCCAGCTTATTCTAATTCCAAAGCTCATTGTGCCCGGCTCGCCTTCAGAAGAGGAGGCGCCCCCATCCTGTCTCCAGCTGCCCATCCTCCCAGGATAACCAGTCACCCCAGGGCCCGGTGGCCCCTCACCCAGCCCCTCCCCGGTCCGCAGCTGCCCTAGGCTTGAGTGGGCGCTGGCTCCAATTCTCAGGCCTCCCCCAACAAACAGGAGCATTCCGGCTAGCCCCCCTCCCCTGCCCTCCCCCCAGCTCCCCTTCTCCTCCCCTCTCCCTCCTCCTCAGCTCCTACTCCAACCCCCCAGCCCCAGCTGGGGCCTGAAAGGCTGCCCACTCCCTGGGACACGGTAAGGGGAGGGTGCAGCTCTCCCCCCGCCCCTCCCCGGTCGCCTCTGCCCCAGAGAACAGTTTGCTTCTCACCCAGAAGCCACCATAGGAGCTCTGGGCTGGGCACAGGTCGCAGGGCACCCCCACCCCCTCCTGCACATGCTCGGAACCCCCCTTCAGTGAGTAGAACACAAGGGCCTGGCAAGACAGGCGGAGGCTTGGAAAGGGCTGGCGGGGGACAGCTACCCGGCCCTCAGCTGGGGGCCTGGAGAGCCCACCCTGCCCCTCCCCAGCAGCTGCTGCCCCCGGGCCGAGCCTGACGCGCCTTGACAAAGCCCGAGAACGCTTTGAAGCCTTCGGACGTGGGAGAGGACCCAGCCAGGGATGGAAATCGCTTTGCCTTTGTTCCCCCAACTGCTCAGCAGCTCGTGGGAGCAGCCTCAGAAGACCCTGTCACTGGCCGCCCGGGTCAGAGCCTGTGACAGAGACCAGAGCTCCGGCCGGAGCTCCCCGCCGGGAACTCCAGCCTTACCAGCCTGAACTTCATGCACTGCTCAAAGAGGCCCAGCTCGCCCTGGCTGGGCAGGGGCGGCTCCCAGGGTGGCCGACGTGGGGAGGGTTCCTGAACCTCCCTCAGGAGCCTCCTGGGACAGAGTCCTGGAGGTCAGCAGAGAAAGGGAAGCCCAGGCTGTGGGCCCCGCGTGGAGGGAAAACTCAGGGGGAACGCCCCGAGGCTGGGAGGGCACAGCCCCATCACACTCCATCTCGTAGTCTTGGAGAAAAATTTAGTTCTACCTCCAGGGCACAGAAAAGCCCAAAGAAGGGATGAGATAAAGGAGGGGCTGGTCAGATTTGTGCTTCAGGAGGGTCCCTCTGGCTGCTCAGAGAATGCAGTTTGGGGTCTGGCCCAGGCCGTGAGGAGGAGTTCACAGTCACTATGGGGTCCAGACCAGCTGGGGGCGGGAGGCAGGGCCTGGCCCAGGGGCTGGTAGTGGGTGCACCCCAGGCTGGGCTGGCAAAGGGCGGGGAAGAAGGTGGGTGTGGGAAGGGGTGGCTGCCTGGAGAAGAGCCCAGTTCCAGGAGGTCGTGGGAGTCAGGTATGGGGGCCCACTGGACCTCCCCTCAGATGTGGGGGCTCCCACTCCGAGGGTCCATGGAGCAGTGGCAGCCATTCTGGACAGCCCCCCACCCTTCACTTCTGTCTCCAGTACCCTCCAGCCTGGCCACCTCGCCCTCTGCCTCGGCCTCCTCTGATCTCACAAAGGCAGCAGCAGTCAGGGGTGGCGACTCCCTCATGATCCTGTCCCTGGCCTCGGAACCCACCGGAGGAGTAACCGCAGCAGTGGTCACTTCCCCAAAGTGCCATCAGCTCTCCTACATCCTTCTCGAGCCTCTGCTTTCTCTCCCTTCCACCCCCACCCCTTTGACAAGCAACATCTGAAAGTCTCCCCTGCCCGCGGCTCCCAGAGCTGTCTGGCCGTGGCCTGCACTCTCCCTCAAAGCGGCCCTCCCCCAGGTCACCGTCCTCCCTTCGATGACATCACGCGCCCACCCCGCACTCCTGCTGGGCTGAGGCCCTCCGAGCCTACTTCACCGGGTCCTCTTCTTTCTCTCAAAGGCAATGGGGTTTGCCTGTGGTCCAGCTGGGTTGGCCCTCTTCCCTCTGTCCTGGGTCCTTGAGTGGCCCCGCTTCTTTAGGCCATCTATGAGTCACTTCTCTAATGCCCCTGTCTCCAGACCAGCTTCAGTCAAAGGCTGGGCCAGAGAAGACCCTAGTGAGAAACTTCTGATGAGCAGTGTGACCTTGCCACCTCAGGGGTACCCACCCACCACCCCTGGTCTAAGCACAGGTGACACCGCCTGTCTCCCCCAACCACACACACCCCTTGAGGCTCCTCCTCCAAGCCTGGGTGGGGACACTGTCCCTCCCTCACCCAGCAAGCTCAATCTGGCTTGGGCCGGAACTGCTTTTCTTCCTAAAGCTGGACGGATGGCCGCGGGCTTAGCTTAACGGGATGAGCCATCTGGGGACTGCAGTGTCCACGATCAGATCAGGGAGCTTGAAGCTGAGGGGGGCACACTTTACCTCCCAGGCCAGGACAATGACCACTTCCTTCCCCACCCCACCCCCAGGCTACTCTTAGCCCTAGAAAATTCTAAACAAGCTGCTCAGCTGGCGGCGGAGAGGCAGCCCAACAAGCTGGCTCTTGCTAGGGAGGCCTGGGGGGTCCTGGGGAGAGGAACACGGGGTGGGTGGGGGGCGGGCAGCCAGGACCTCAGGCCTGAGGCCTTTGGGGAAGGGTCTGTGCACCTGCCAGGCACCAGGGGGCAGCCTTGCCTTGTTCCCGCTCCAGTCCCCTCAAGTCCGAAGCCCCTACCCACTCTCACGCCAGGCAGGGGTGGGGGCCGCCGGGGTCATTTACCCGGGCCCCTTCTCTGCCTTGATGACAAAGTCGAGGCTTGCTCATCAGCCAGGCAGGCTCCCCTCTGCCCACTGTGGAGACACAGAGGCCTGTCACCTGAAGAGCTGGTCCCGGCCTCCAGCTTCCAGGGTAGCCGGGAAGCTGTAGCCCCCAGTGGGCAGCGGTGGAGAGAGCTCAAGGAAGGAGGGAGCACCGGGAGGAGACGGCTGCAGCCTGCCAGGAGCGGGGAGAAAGGGAGAGAAGGGGAGGCGGAGGGCTGAGGGGGCCCGGGGGACGTCTTCCCAGGGCTGGGAGGGGCCGGCCGGGAAGCCTGGGCTGCACTAGGAGCCGGCGACCCTGGGGCGAGGGGCGGCCCGGAGCCCTGCGGGAGGAGCTGGCGGCCGCCCCAGGTAGCAACCATCCTGCCTCCCGCTGGAGCGGCGTCTCCTCCCCGGGAGGAGGGCAGGGAGGAGGTGGGCGGAGTGTGACGAGGAGGGCGGGAGGGAGGGATGCGGGAGGGGGAGGGGGAGGGGGGCCGGCCGGCCGTGGGGGTGGGGCGATAGTGACATCACCCCGGAGTCGGTTTTTAAGCGGCGGCCGGCCGGGGACGGGGAAGAGAGGGATAGTCGGAGCGAGGTGGCGAGTCGCTGAGCCCGCCGCGGCCCCGAGAGCGGCTGCAGCCGCCGCCGCCGGGAAGGAGAGGGCGAGGCGCGCCCGAGCCGCCGCCGCCGCCGCCACCGCCGCCGCCGCCACCACCGCCACCGGAGTCGCGGGCCAGCCGGGCAGCCTCCGCGGGCCCCGGCCGGGGCGGGGGGCGCGGGCCACAGGCCCCTGCTCCGGCCGCCGCTTGCAGACCGCGGGCGCCGATGTCGCCCGCGCCCCGCTAGGCTGAGCCTCGGGTCGGGCGAGGAGCCGCCGCAGCCGCCGCCGCCCGAGCCGCGGGCAGGAGCCTCGGGAGCCGCCGCCGCCGCCGCCGCCGCCCGGCCGGGCCCCGCCGCCGCCCGCGCGCCCCCGGGCCCCCGACACACATGAGATTCTTCAGGCTCACTTTCAAGTGCTTCGTGGACTGCTTCTGACTGCGCCGCCCGCGCCCCGCACCCCGCCGCCCGCCCGCCGCCCCGTCCCCCGGCCCGGCCGCCCCCCGGCCCCCGGCCGGCCCGCGCCCTCGGGGCCCTCCCCGGTGCCGCCGGTGCCCCCCGCCTGACCGCCGCCCCCCGTGAGGCGCCGCGACCCCGGCCCGGCCGTGCGGCCCGCCGAGGCCATGGCGAAGAAGAGCGCCGAGAACGGCATCTATAGCGTGTCCGGCGACGAGAAGAAGGGCCCCCTCATCGCGCCCGGGCCCGACGGGGCCCCGGCCAAGGGCGACGGCCCCGTGGGCCTGGGGACACCCGGCGGCCGCCTGGCCGTGCCGCCGCGCGAGACCTGGACGCGCCAGATGGACTTCATCATGTCGTGCGTGGGCTTCGCCGTGGGCTTGGGCAACGTGTGGCGCTTCCCCTACCTGTGCTACAAGAACGGCGGAGGTGAGTTCCCCCGCCCGCCGCGGCCTCCTCCCCCAGCAGGCCGCCGGCCCCCGCCCGACCCCCGGAGCCGCCGCGGAGGGGTGAAGTCCGGGCAACGGGTGGCCCCCGGGCACGCGGGGGTCGGGGCCGCCCCTCGTCCGCCGCTGCCGCTCGGTGGCCGGGCCGGGCGCCTCCACCCCCCTCGCAGTCATGTGCCTGGCATGGTGGGGGGAGGGGGCCGGCGATGCCCGCGAGGCTGCCCCCCAGACTCCCGGGCTGGGAGGAGCGATTGGCCGCCGAGGTGGGAAAGCAGGCCTGCGCCTTGGGGTCTCCGCGAGGTAAGGAGCCCTGGCTGCCCCCACGGGTCGGGCACACAAGCGGCACATTGTGTGGGCCCCCCACGTGTGCACACACACGAACACACACACACACAATGGGCCACTCTGTCCCTCCCCCTGCCCTCCCCTCCCCTCGCGGCCCTCCCGCCCCTCCCCTCTGGCCCGGGCCTGGAACACTGGGTGCCCGAGCCAGGCTTGGGAAGCCTGCGGCCTGGCCCGCCTGGCGCCGCCACTGGACACACTGCATGCACGTCCCATGCCCGCCCGCCCGCCCGCCCGCCCGGGCCCAGCTTAGCAACAGCGATGGGCACGCGTGTGTCCTGTGACTACAAAACAGCACTGGGGTTGCTGGAAGCCGAAGTGACCCGGTGATGGGTGGGAAACAGAGGTCCAGAGCAAAGGCCTTTGCCCAAGGTCAGGAGAAGGATGCTGGGACCTGGAGTCAGGCAAGTTGCAGCCAAGCTCAGCCTCTGAGTAGTGGAGCGAGCCCAGCCAGGGCAAGGGTAGGAGGCCCAGAGAGGAGAAGGGGGTAGTGGCACCCAGCTCTCCCTGCCCTTCTGCCACCCCCACCCCAGCCTGCTGGCCTCAGGAGATAGGCCTGTGTCACGCCCTGCCTATCTCCTGCAGAGCCTGACTCCCTGGCCTTGCTAAGGCCGGCCTGGCCCCTCTTCCGCACCTGTATCCCTCTGTCCTTGCACATCGCCATCCCACCAGCAGGGGACTGTGACCCACCCACCCTCTGCCTTAGACCTCACACTTGCAGGCAAGCGTCCAAGGGCAGGACAGTCGCGCTCCCTGCCTTTGGATGAGCCCCCCAGGCCTGATCACCCAGCCTTGGCACACATGCACACATGCACGTGCCCTCACTGTGCTGCCTGAAACAGGGAATTGCAGCACTAGGGACAGCCCGCGTGTCTGAGCGTGTGTGTCCTCCATGGCCATCGCCCCAAGTGACCGTGGGGGTGGAAGCCCTGGGGGCCTAGGGCCCCTCTGCCACCCAGGGAATAGGGCTCCAATGGCTCAGGGGCTACTGTAGCCCCTCTTCAACACACTCAACCCACCCCCTCAAGACTCCACCTGGGGCCTGAGTCAGTGGCCACCCCTACACTGACTCACCCAGTCGGAAGTTGTGATGGGGCCTTTGGAGTCTGGGCTGGCCCGCTGGGCCTGGGCAGCCTGGCTGGGGGCCACCCTGAGTCCACGCTGTGCCTCCACCCCCAGGTGTGTTCCTTATTCCCTACGTCCTGATCGCCCTGGTTGGAGGAATCCCCATTTTCTTCTTAGAGATCTCGCTGGGCCAGTTCATGAAGGCCGGCAGCATCAATGTCTGGAACATCTGTCCCCTGTTCAAAGGTGAGCAGCCCTTGGCCAGCCTCAGGGACTGCCCCCTTCTCCCAGCTGGCTCCCACTTGAGAAATCTTTTCCTGTCGTGAGCACCAGGCCTGGGGCCACGTGATGGCGTCCCAGTCTCGAGGGGGGAGCCTGGAGGAGATGTTCAGGCCGCACAGCGAACTTGGGGAAGCGGGGACTAGAGGGGGCATAGGCAGCTCCACAAGGCAAGGACAGGCCAGGCATAGCCGGGCTGGGGACGGGACCTGCCCAGCAGCACCCTTGGCTCTCTAGGTAGGTCCTACTGTTACTATCCCCAAGGACGCTGGGGCACAGACAGGTGGAGCGACGTACTGAGGTTGCCCACTGCAGGGGCGACTGTCTCCAACACTACCTCAGGCGACTAGAAACCCCCCCCCCCCACCACCACCATCAACACCAGCTGCTGAGGACTGGAGGCTACTGGGTGGCCAGGCAGAGGCTTGGACCTCCTGGAACCGCCATGGTGGCAGTGGGACCCACAGAAGGGGCCAGGTGTATGAGGCTGGAGACTCCACAGCACTTGGTCAGATGGGGACAGGAGGAGAGGGGCTCGCTCTGCCTTGGGTCTAGGGGGCGGCTGGAGGAGAGGAGACAGGCTGGGGAGTCAGCGCAGTGTTGGGGCTCACACAAGGGGGAGCCCAGGGGAGTCAGGAGCACCACAAACAAGGCTCCAGGAGGACAGATGGTGGGAGCACGGCCAGCCTGGGTGGGGACATAAAGGGGTGGCAGGGGGAGGTGGCCAGGGAAGAATCTACATGGCAAGGACTTCCCGGCCCCAGGCCTGGGCTACGCCTCCATGGTGATCGTCTTCTACTGCAACACCTACTACATCATGGTGCTGGCCTGGGGCTTCTATTACCTGGTCAAGTCCTTTACCACCACGCTGCCCTGGGCCACATGTGGCCACACCTGGAACACTCCCGACTGCGTGGAGATCTTCCGCCATGAAGACTGTGCCAATGCCAGCCTGGCCAACCTCACCTGTGACCAGCTTGCTGACCGCCGGTCCCCTGTCATCGAGTTCTGGGAGTGAGTCCGGCACCTCTGGGCCAAGCCCATCCCATCCCCCAGGTCTCCCTCATGTTGCCCGGCTCCAGGGGAGTGGCCCTGAGGGGGCACCAGGGTGTTGCCTGGCAGTCCATCCTGGACCCTGCCTGCCCTTGCCTGTCCTCGGAGAGTCCTGGGGCCAGCCTCGCTCCTGGGTTCGGCAGCCGATCACTGTCCTGGTCACTCCCCCCTGATGGGGGAGCTGGGGCTGCATGTGAGGTGGGATGGGAGTGGCCTCCCAATGGCCAGGGGATCGTGGGCTCCAGGCCCAGCCCAATTGGACAAGAGGGACCCGCTGAACCCTGGGCTGTGGGAGAGAAGGGAGCCACAACTCCTGGGGGTGGACCCTGTGGCTCCATCCTCTGCTGGCACAGGCCTCATGGGACCTCCCTCCCTCCCCTAGGAACAAAGTCTTGAGGCTGTCTGGGGGACTGGAGGTGCCAGGGGCCCTCAACTGGGAGGTGACCCTTTGTCTGCTGGCCTGCTGGGTGCTGGTCTACTTCTGTGTCTGGAAGGGGGTCAAATCCACGGGAAAGGTACCACTAGAGGCATGCAGCGGGGAGGGTGGCTCAGCCCTGGGAGCCGGATGTCTGTGCCAGGCACACCTGTGGCAACGGGAGGTGACCAGACAGAGTCTAGCCCTAAGGAAGGGGGAGGTACTGAAAGCCAAGCAATGCTCCCCACCCTGCAAATCCAGGGCCCAGCAGCCTTTGCTCCTGGGGATAGAGGCCCTGGCAGGCACTGTCCCTTCCCTGTGCCCATCACCCCCACTGGTGCCCTCCTGCCAGTCTCTGACTCTTGTGACAGTCTGGTGGACCTGGTCTGGCCATCTGTTACCTATCTTGCCTTGGGGACCCAGAGCAGAGTCTGGCCACATCCCTTGGGGGCTCCTGGTCAGGCTGGGGAGTCACCTGAACAAAGAAGACAGTGTCTAGAGCTGTGGGACATGGCCAGCTCCCTGGGGGACAAGGTCCCCAGAGCAGCATGTGGGAAGAGGGGGCAGACAGTGTGGCAGCTGCATCTCGCCTGCCTCTGCCTGGCCCAGTTCCACTCTCCACCTGCTCAACCCCCACCTCTCTCCAGAAGAGGAGGGGGACCCGACCCGGATCCAATATCCCGCTCCCTGCCTGGGCCTCCCACACCTGCACTGCCCACACACTCATACAGCTCTCACTCCCCACGTGCTCCACGCCTCCTGTCCCCACTGAGGAGAGCTCCCAGAGGCTCGCCTGCTCCCCACCGACACGCGTCCCTGCAGACAAACGAGGCGCCCAGGGAGCTTCCCCACTGCACTTGGCCAGGGCTGCCGGGGCGCAGCCTTGCCCCTAGCTTCCTCTGGCGGGAGCCATGGCTCGGAGGACAATGGGGACCTCTGAACATACCTGCCCGCAAGGGGGACCGGAGGCGCTGGGAGTGGGGGTGTGAGGGAGGTGGTGCCACAGCCTCCGCTGAGCAGCCTGGCCCCCCAGATCGTGTACTTCACTGCTACATTCCCCTACGTGGTCCTGGTCGTGCTGCTGGTGCGTGGAGTGCTGCTGCCTGGCGCCCTGGATGGCATCATTTACTATCTCAAGCCTGACTGGTCAAAGCTGGGGTCCCCTCAGGTGAGGTGGAGGTGGAGAGGCTGCAGCAGGGCGCTGCGGGGGAGCCCTGCAGGCCCCTCATGCCTGCGCTCTCCGGCCCTTCTCTAGGTGTGGATAGATGCGGGGACCCAGATTTTCTTTTCTTACGCCATTGGCCTGGGGGCCCTCACAGCCCTGGGCAGCTACAACCGCTTCAACAACAACTGCTACAAGTAAGCACCGCCGCCCTGCCACCCGTGCCCTGTCCTGCCCTGCCCCGCCCTGCCCAGCAGCCTAACCCATCCACTCTGGCCCCTCCACCCCTCAGGGACGCCATCATCCTGGCTCTCATCAACAGTGGGACCAGCTTCTTTGCTGGCTTCGTGGTCTTCTCCATCCTGGGCTTCATGGCTGCAGAGCAGGGCGTGCACATCTCCAAGGTGGCAGAGTCAGGTAGGGCCCTACCCCCAGCCCCGCCTCCAGAGCAGCGAGTGCTACCCAGATGCATGATGTACAGGAACATGCAATAGAAATGCTGAAAAGTGACGAGGATTCAAACGGAACTTGTCAGATTGTGGGCCTGTGGGGGCAGGTCCTGGGATTTGTCAATGTTGACAGAGAAAGGACCTCCCAGCCCCTGCCGCACGACCCAGGGTTGACAGCGCCTCTGAGGCAGGCGTGGGCATGGGCGCGAGTGTTGCAGGCAGGGCTCAGGGTGCGCACAGGGCAGGACATCGGCTACAAGGTCTAGAGCCTGCACCTTTCCCACAGGGCCGGGCCTGGCCTTCATCGCCTACCCGCGGGCTGTCACGCTGATGCCAGTGGCCCCACTCTGGGCTGCCCTGTTCTTCTTCATGCTGTTGCTGCTTGGTCTCGACAGCCAGGTTTGCATGGGGCTCTGGGACAGGGAGCCAGGAGGGGGGCGGAGGGAGGGCTGCAGGCAAGGAAAGGGGTGGAGGGCGGTGCGGGGCTCGGCCTGAGCTGCCCTGGCCACAGTTTGTAGGTGTGGAGGGCTTCATCACCGGCCTCCTCGACCTCCTCCCGGCCTCCTACTACTTCCGTTTCCAAAGGGAGATCTCTGTGGCCCTCTGTTGTGCCCTCTGCTTTGTCATCGATCTCTCCATGGTGACTGATGTGAGTGGGGTGGGGGGTCTGCCTGTGACCTCTGGTGGCCGTCTGCCATCCTCCCTGACTGGGCTCTGTCCCCCAGGGCGGGATGTACGTCTTCCAGCTGTTTGACTACTACTCGGCCAGCGGCACCACCCTGCTCTGGCAGGCCTTTTGGGAGTGCGTGGTGGTGGCCTGGGTGTACGGTAGGTCATGGCTGAGGGCTGGGCTGGGGGATGGTGGCGGGGAAGGCAGGTCTCCAGCTTGGCCCTCCCGCCTCACCTCGCCGCAGGAGCTGACCGCTTCATGGACGACATTGCCTGTATGATCGGGTACCGACCTTGCCCCTGGATGAAATGGTGCTGGTCCTTCTTCACCCCGCTGGTCTGCATGGTAAGGGCTGGGGGAGGTGGGGCAGGGCGGGGGGCGAGGCAGGGCGGGGTAGGGGCCCCATTAACCGCAGCATTCTGGTCCGTAGGGCATCTTCATCTTCAACGTTGTGTACTACGAGCCGCTGGTCTACAACAACACCTACGTGTACCCGTGGTGGGGTGAGGCCATGGGCTGGGCCTTCGCCCTGTCCTCCATGCTGTGCGTGCCGCTGCACCTCCTGGGCTGCCTCCTCAGGGCCAAGGGCACCATGGCTGAGGTAAGGCTCCCGCCCGGCCCGCCCTCCCCTCCCCTGCTGTGAACATTCAACCCAGCCTGCTTCCTAGCCAGGGAGTGGCCCCGACTAGGGTGGCAGGCAGTGGGAACCGGAGAGAGGCAGAGGAAGTCACCGTGGGGACGAGCAGGTGACCCTGGGGGCTTCAGCATGTCCTCCTCTCCTGCAGCGCTGGCAGCACCTGACCCAGCCCATCTGGGGCCTCCACCACTTGGAGTACCGAGCTCAGGACGCAGATGTCAGGGGCCTGACCACCCTGACCCCAGTGTCCGAGAGCAGCAAGGTCGTCGTGGTGGAGAGTGTCATGTGACAACTCAGCTCACATCACCAGCTCACCTCTGGTAGCCATAGCAGCCCCTGCTTCAGCCCCACCGCACCCCTCCAGGGGGCCTGCCTTTCCCTGACACTTTTGGGGTCTGCCTGGGGGAGGAGGGGAGAAAGCACCATGAGTGCTCACTAAAACAACTTTTTCCATTTTTAATAAAACGCCAAAAATATCACAACCCACCAAAAATAGATGCCTCTCCCCCTCCAGCCCTAGCCGAGCTGGTCCTAGGCCCCGCCTAGTGCCCCACCCCCACCCACAGTGCTGCACTCCTCCTGCCCCTGCCACGCCCACCCCCTGCCCACCTCTCCAGGCTCTGCTCTGCAGCACACCCGTGGGTGACCCCTCACCCCAGAAGCAGCAGTGGCAGCTTGGGAAATGTGAGGAAGGGAAGGAGGGAGAGACGGGAGGGAGGAGAGAGAGGAGAAGGGAGGCAGGGGAGGGGCAGCAGAACCAAGGCAAATATTTCAGCTGGGCTATACCCCTCTCCCCATCCCTGTTATAGAAGCTTAGAGAGCCAGCCAGCAATGGAACCTTCTGGTTCCTGCGCCAATCGCCACCAGTATCAATTGTGTGAGCTTGGGTGCGAGTGCACGCGTGCGTGAGTACGGAGAGTATATATAGATCTCTATCTCTTAGCAAAGGTGAATGCCAGATGTAAATGGCGCCTCTGGGCAAAGGAGGCTTGTATTTTGCACATTTTATAAAAACTTGAGAGAATGAGATTTCTGCTTGTATATTTCTAAAAAGAGGAAGGAGCCCAAACCATCCTCTCCTTACCACTCCCATCCCTGTGAGCCCTACCTTACCCCTCTGCCCCTAGCCAAGGAGTGTGAATTTATAGATCTAACTTTCATAGGCAAAACAAAAGCTTCGAGCTGTTGCGTGTGTGAGTCTGTTGTGTGGATGTGCGTGTGTGGTCCCCAGCCCCAGACTGGATTGGAAAAGTGCATGGTGGGGGCCTCGGGGCTGTCCCCACGCTGTCCCTTTGCCACAAGTCTGTGGGGCAAGAGGCTGCAATATTCCGTCCTGGGTGTCTGGGCTGCTAACCTGGCCTGCTCAGGCTTCCCACCCTGTGCGGGGCACACCCCCAGGAAGGGACCCTGGACACGGCTCCCACGTCCAGGCTTAAGGTGGATGCACTTCCCGCACCTCCAGTCTTCTGTGTAGCAGCTTTAACCCACGTTTGTCTGTCACGTCCAGTCCCGAGACGGCTGAGTGACCCCAAGAAAGGCTTCCCCGACACCCAGACAGAGGCTGCAGGGCTGGGGCTGGGTGAGGGTGGCGGGCCTGCGGGGACATTCTACTGTGCTAAAAAGCCACTGCAGACATAGCAATAAAAACATGTCATTTTCCAAAGCAGGCTCCTGCTTCCGCCTCTGCTGCTCTAAGGAAGGGGTCGGGGTACAGGAGGCAGGGGGAACCTCCTCCAGCTGGAGCTGCTGCCGTGAGCAAGGCTCTGCTCTGGAGGCCTCTGCGGCCGGCACCCTTCTGGGGACTGGGAAGGGGGCAGGGAAGGCAGCAGCCCAGGGGAAGGCCTTGTCCCCCTGGAGCCGAGGCAGTTGGGGAGAGCAGGACGAGAGTGAGCTGGAGAGCAGCCACACCCGCGGGGAAGGGTGGGCGTAAAGCCATGGGTGCTGAAATTTTCAAAATGTTACCCCAAGAATTTGTCACTGAACAGGTGCCTTGTGTCACTTGGGCCAGGCTGGTAGCAGCAGAGGGGATAACTCTGCATCAGGGATCAATTTTGAAGGTGGAGCCAATAGGGGTTGTGCATGACCAGGATGCAGGGCTCAAAGAGGAGTTAAGGACAACAGATTTGGCCTGAGCAAGAGGAAAGATGGAGCTGCCAGGTCCTGCAATGGGGAGGCAAGGAGAGAATGGTCTGGAGTCAGCCTTGGGTGTGTCATGCAGGAAGTGTCATCCAAGTGGAGATGTCTAGTTGGCAGGTGGACACAGGAGTTCCAGAAAGTACTGGAGATGGAACTGTGCAAGTTCTTACCACATAGAGATGACACTGAAAGCCCTGAGCCTGAGTGAGCTCACAGGGACGCCGCAAGCCCCGGAACACAATGAGAGGGGCAGAGCGAAGACGTGGCAGTGATAGGGGAGGACGCCTGAGAGTTCCTGGTGGGGTCCTGCAACCTGAGCCAGTGAGGACCCCTCACAGGTCAGGGAGGAGCAGTGGCTGGCTCCATCTGTCCAGTGCTGCTGCTGGTGAAGGACAGTGACCTGCAAATGCTCACTGAGTCTGGCAAGGGTCACGGGGGCCTGGCGAGGGTGGCTTGCATGAGCGGGTGCGTGTGAAAGGCTGGGTGGTGTGCGACTGAGAAAAGGAGTGGCGGCAGCGCAGTGTCATCTGCAGACGAAGGGAGAGACAACAACGTAGTTCACCCAGACAAGGAAATATGAGCCAGCCTGGAAAGGGAAGGCATTCCAACACACGACACAACATGGCTGACCCTGGAGGGCATTTCTGTGAAATGAGCCATCATAAAGGGATACTTGCTATAGGGTTCTGCTCCTGTGAGAGAGACAGGGCCTTACATGAGAGGAGGGAGATCCACAGAGACAGAGGGCAAGGGTGGGTGCCAGGGGCTGGGGACAGGGTGGGGAGTGTTGAGTGGGGACAGAGTGTCAGTTTGAGAAAATAAATTCTAGAGGTGGATGGAAGTGGTGGCTGCGCAACACTGTGACTGCACTTAATGCCACTGAATTGCACATTTAACGATGGTGAAAATGGCTCATTACATATACACTGATGACACTATATATATGTATGATATATATGCGTTTTACCATGAGAAGAGGTGGAGAGGAATTGGAGACACTGAGTACAGACAGGTCCTTCAACGGGCGGGACCCCGTGCACAAGATGAGCATGTGGCACCCCACCCTCAAAGGGCTGGGCACCATGGCAGGGCACAGCAGGCAATGCAGTGGGCGGCTCAGGCAAGCACAGAGAGCATCAGAGATTGGAGCCTGTGAAGGGGGAGCAGGTGACCCCTCAGAGCAAAGTGACAGCTTGGGCTGCTCCCTTTGCGTCCTGCCCAGGACTGCTATCGTGCTATGGGAGAACCCCCAGAGGCCCTGCTCCTCAGCAGGCAGCACCCCCTATGGAGGGGCTTTACCCCTAAACTTCTGGAGCCAGGGGAGGGACCTGGCTTGGAATACGGCCAACCAAGAGCCTGGGTGAGAAATACACGGACCAGACAGGGAGCAGAGAAAGGAGTGGCAGTGCAGTCCCACCCTAGCTCAGCCAGGGGCTCTGGAGCCTGTCCTGCAGTCCCTGGCCCCCATCTCTTCAGCAACCGCTGTTTCCAGTTTTCTTTTTCTCCCTGAGAAGCCTGTCCTCTCACCATGCCTGCGCCTTCAAGAACCCCGCCTGCTGGCAGCTCCCACATCTCCGGCCTGGCCCTCCTTAGCTGCAAAGGTGCTTCCCAACATCAGCAAGACCTCTCCCCAGGGTGCCCCAGGCCCTCACACAGCCCCTGTCCCCAACCGACTCCAACTGTCCTGCAGCCCACAGTCACCCTCAGGACCCCTGAGCTCAGGCCAACTGCTTTATACACTGTCAGCCAAGTCTCTGCCTGGATGACAATCACCCTCTGCTAATTGTTCTCCGCACCTCCAGGCCAAATGCCCTCCAAGCCACCTCATGCACCACGATGACACTAAACACACAGAAAAAAGACATTGAAAAAAGGAAACTTCACAGAGGCCTGTCACTTAAAGAGGGTCCTGAAATAGAGACACCATTTCCTCAGGACTTAGCTCCTGCATCAGGGGTTAGGACACAGAGATCAACAAGCAGCAGGCTTTGCCCTCAAGCAGCTCGCAGTCTAGTGGAAGATGGGTAAGAAAACAGATCAGGACGCCCACGGGTGCAGATGCCCTGGAACAGAAGCTGATCCAGGAAGGCGCGAGCCTGCAGGCCGCCCTCCAGTCTAGGCTGGGCAAGCACCTCAATTTTCATCTCTAAGAGCCTGTGCCCACACCCCCTGCCCCGTTGTTGTTCCATCACTCCACTAGAAAGGGCGCTCCAGAAGCTGGCCTCGTGCAGCTTTCTGTCTGCTGCTGGCCTAGGCAGAACAGCGGAAGAAGCCATCAGGGCTGGTGAGGGAAGCACCCGTTTGGACTTTAGCCTTTCAAAGCTCAGAGAAGGGTGAGCTCAGGGAGGTCCAAGGTAGCTGAGAGCACTTCCTGGAAAAGTGGGATCAGCCTTCGGCCTTGGCACAGCAACCAGAGGGTATCGCCCACGTGTCCCCTACTCCCTCAGACACCACCTCTCAGACCGCCTGGAAAGGGACAGAACTCGTCATGAGGCGGCTGTGCTCTGAGCACAAGGGAAGGGCGACAGGATGCTAGAGAAGGGAACCACTGGCCTGGGCCCGGACAGGGCAGGCAGAAGCGAGCATGCACAGCAGGCCGTCAGCTACCCTGCCAGCATCAACATCCTTCAGGGGTCCCCCCAGTTCCAGGAGACACACCTCTAACCTGCTCCCCTGACCCTTCCGCCCAGTCCTCATGCAGACACCAGGCATGGCAGAGGCCCTGCAGGGTGGAAGCACTGTGCTGCGGGCGGGGGCTGCCTTCCTCATGTGCTACTGGAGAGTAGCACAGTGCAGGGGCCTGGGCACTGGTGCCAGGCAGGAAGCCCCGGTACTGGCCTGGCTTGCTGTGGGCCTGGAAGACACAGCTCTGAGGGAGCCACGGGAGGGACACCCTGGAGCCAGCACAGCGCTCTGGTGGCAGGCACACACCCAGCACGTTCTCAGGGCCAAGGGCCCCAGCCCATTCCCAGCCCCTTTCTGCCTAGCTCTGCCCTGGGCCAGCTCCAGGTCACTGCCAAGGACAAGTCTCCTCTCCCAGCTGGCATTAGTCAGAGGTCATCCTGCAAACCTTCGGGGGGGGGGGCAGGGAGTGACTAGTGGCGTTCTGCCACGTTCTGTCTGTCCCAAATGTGACGAACAGGAACCCAGAGAAGGCAAGCGAGTCCTCTACCCGGAAGCCCCGCCGGTTTACTGAGCCTCCCAAGCTGCCCACACCCAGGGAGGCAGACAGGACACACACTCGGCGGGTGGCCCTGAAGCGAGGCCTGGCCCAGCCCGGGGAGCAGGAGGACAGAGAGGGCAAGGCCTTCGAGAACAGGTGTGAGCCTGGCCTTCAGTGGGGGAAACAGGTTGAAGGGCTGTGGCCGCTTGGGGGCTCCAGGCAGGAGAGAAAGCAGAGCCCTCCCCACAGCTGCAGTCACACACCGCACCACGTACACACCATGACAACTTTTATTGCCCTCAAGAGAAACTCCAGTCCACCTGCTCCACCCACCCTCCTGCGGGACCAAAGAAAACACCCAGAGGGCAAAACAAAAAGGGGCTCAAACCAACAGGAAGTCAGCCCCACCGCAAGCCGGACTACAACTAACTCGTGCTCTCCACGCTCAGGCGTGGAAGCCAAGGCTGTGCCAGGCCTGGCCAGGCCAAGCAGGATGACAGCAAACGCATTCTGAACGTGTAGCAATCAGGTCCCCTGTAATGTGCTTGGAGAGTGTGGACAAGGGCCGAGATGACGAGCTATGAGCTGTGGAAGGGAATGGGGGAAGCAGAAGGGCACAAACAGAAGTACTGGAGGGAGAGGCCGGGCTCTCAGGAAGCAGCAGGCACGTGCCAGGTGGAAGCCAGCTGCAGGCAGGGGAGGAAGGAGGCCCTTACTCTTCCTTCTTGTCCATGGGACCATCTACTGCAGCCTGGAAAGGGACAGAAATCCCACAGCAGTAGGTTGGCCGGGTCCACTCCTCCCCTGCCACCTCCAGCCCCATGCCCCAGAGGTCCACCTCGGTTCCCCTCTCTCCTAACAACAGCTATTCAAGTGAACAAGGGGCCCCCTCCCCAGCTGCACCCAAAGGCCTGCCAGGGTGGGAGCGTCAGCCCTGGCCCACGCTCTAGGGAAAGCCCTGGACCTAACGCCAGCCAGGGAGGACTGCCAGGACCTCACTGGGGGCTGAGTCCTGGCTGCAGGGAACAGCAAGGCATCCAGTCCCCTTCAAGACCTGATCAGACCCTTCCCAACTCTGCACACCTTTGACAGGTGCCCTCGAAGCCCATCTGCCAAGCCTGCCCCATACAGAGGGCATGGGTGCCCCCTTTGAGGCTGGACCCTTCCTCCCCACCTGCTGTGGTGCCCAAACTTGGGCCACCAAGCACTGAGGCCAGCTGTCCAAAGTTAGGAGTATTTATGTGGCCCTCACTCCCAACGTCAAGACCGCCTGGGCTTCCAGATGCGGCCTGGTGCACCCAAGCTAGTCTGAGGACTCAGATCAGGCCTAGGGCAGCAGGTGATGGCCACAACTAGCGCCTGCTAGGGAAGGTGCCTTTTTGACACCTTGTGCCCTCACTTGCCCAGGGATCTTTGCCCTACGTCACTCCCCAGCACCCTAGGAAAGAAGGCCAGCAGTGGGTCCCAGAGTTTCACCTGCTTCTTTGTTCTTGACCAGGCCCCAAACCATGGCTGCGCCTGAGCACGAAGGTAGGAAGGCTCAGAGCCTAGTGAGCCAGTGCCACTCCTGAGGGCCGCCTTGGCAAGTGCCTACATCTGCTGCCAGGCCACCCCCCTCCTGCCCGGTGAAGGGTCCCACTCAGTAGGGCAGAGGTGGCCAGGGGGAGTGGTGGAGAGGGCAGCCAGCCCCTGGGCCCCTGGAAGGTTCCCTCCGCACCCGCAGGGGCTGCCTCATCCTGCTCTGCTCTCCTGCCCTGGGCGCAGCAATACGGGAGGGCTGACCTGCAGCTTTGCGTGCTCCTCCAGCAAGCGGTCGTACTCCTTGGTGAGGCCCTCAGACTGCTTCCGCATGGCCAGAACCTGGTTTTCAGCTTTCTCTAGTTCTTGAAATGATGTAAATGACCAAGAAAACAGAAACGAAAAGACAGGAATTAGGGGGAAAAAACCCGACTGCTACAGACACCAGAAACTGGCCCAAATCTATCTCAAACGAGGTTATACAGGAGGCTACTTCTCAAAATAAAGCCCCTCTGCTTTTGCAGGCCCCCAAAGTAGAGGGAAAGGGCTGACAAAAAAGCTCAAGATAAAGCAAAAGAAACACAGAGGCCATCCCCCAGTCCCTTTAATGGAGAGGAACTCTAGTGGCTCTCGGCAAGGGTAACCTCCAGGGAGGCTGAGAGTGGGAGACAGGGAGCAAGATCCCAGCCTGCAAGCGAGACCCAATGACAACCACGCCTTGCACACAGCAGCAGCAGGCGAGGCCTGTGGTATTGGGGGAAAACGCCCCAGACTTAAGTCTATGCGTGGGAGACCAAAGACAGGCAGGCCGCTTGGGAGCCGCCCACTCCCCTCCTGAACGCCACTCCCACACTCCCCTCATTCTCAGCCCCCAGGCATGCTGGGGCTACCGTGCCACACTCTGGACGGGAAAGCCCCAGCATGCACTGCTCTAGTGCAGGGCAATCGAGGCCCACCAACTGCAGCCTGGTTCCTCCTGAGCCCCATTCAAACCACTTAGCCTCACTGGCCTGCCGGCTAAGCATGGCTGCATTGGGGTTGGAGGCGCAGGGTGCTATTGGTCTGTTTTCAGCCAGCCCTCGAGCGTGCGTGCAAGGCTTGTTACTAATACTTTGGCACAAAATGGGCAGCAGCGGGCAGAGGAGGCTCCTCTGGACTTCCCTGCGGGGAAGGACACGAGGTCGAGCCTCACTTTGCTTAGTGCTGGCCAGCTCGTCCTTTAGCTTCTGCAGGTCAGCCTTCAGGCTCCTGTTCTCTTCCTCCAACTTCACCTCAGCATTCCCGACATCCAACTTGCCTCCGTCAACAGCAGCTCCCTGGGAAAAGTGCCAAAGGCCAGGGTTACTCAGGAGGGAGGGAGGGAGAGGTTCCAGCCCCATCCTCCCCACCGAGCTGCGGTTCCTCAAGCTGCCCTGGCCACACGCCCCTTCGGAAATGTCAACGCGGAACCGAGCCACCACTTGCTCCCAGCTCCTAGGCAAAGGCCAGGGCGTGGCTGCCCGCCGAGGGAAAGAGAAGCGCCAGCGGGGCCACCTG
Source organism: Homo sapiens (assembly GCF_000001405.40). Taxonomy (NCBI): domain Eukaryota; kingdom Metazoa; phylum Chordata; class Mammalia; order Primates; family Hominidae; genus Homo; species Homo sapiens. The sequence continues at coordinate 153,703,279 of NC_000023.11, forward strand.
CTGCAGCTCGCCGGGCACGCCTTGCCTGCCCTGGCCCCTGGCCCCTGGCCCCTGGCCCTGCCTCCTTCCCAAGCAGCAGGGCTCAGCAGCTCCATGGTGCTCACCAACCCCTCCACAGATGGCGGTGCCTCGTGCTCCCTACATGGTGCCGCTCACTGCAGTTAGGAGCCCCCAGTCGGCCTGGCCAGCTCTATCCCACCTCTGCATCCACATCCCTCCGAGCTTGCCTTGCAGCTCACCTCCTGACGGGACGTCTAAGACTGGCCAACTACCCTGCCCCCACCTCCTCTCCAGCACTGAGGGATGCCACAGACCCCGAGTTCCAGAGGGGGTGCGGCAATCTTGCAGGGAACAAGGGCCTAGCTGAGGGCCTTCGGATCACAGCAGAGGGCCTGGCTCACTGAGGGGCCATTTTTCTCAGGGAAGGGTCTAACTGGAAGCAGTGGATGGAAACGAGAGCAGCAACACCCTCCTCCTCACCCGGACCCTCACACACAGACGCCTCCAGCAGGCATACTCTCCCCACTGAGGACTTCCCCTCTGCGCCTCCACCCAACTCTGGCTTTTCAGGCACATTTCCCAGCGTGACAGGCTAGCAGTGGCCACTGAGGCCCTGAAGAATGTGGCTCCCACAGTGTAACACCAGGACGCCCCATGGTGGGTCGGGAAGCTGGGCTCACCTTCTTGAGCTGGTCATTCTCCTCCATGTACTTCTTGGCCGCCTCACTAGCACTCTCCGCCTGCTTTTTAAAGGCTTCATTGGAGGCCAGCAGCGTGGCCTGCTGCGAAATGAGAGTCACCAGGCGTCTAAGCAGGCTGCAATTATTTACAAAAAGAAGGGAGAAGTGAGAAAAAGAGCATGAAGGGCTGGCAGGAGCACCTCCTGGTTGCTCCCACTCCACACCTAGCTCCAGCCTGGACCTGCCCTCTTGCCAAGGCAGCCGAGTGAGAAGCCGCCAACCTGGTGCTGGCAGCGTGAGGGAAAAGGTGGGGCCCAGGAGCCGTCCTCTGCCGCTGTGCCCAACGGCCACCCTCAGCTCTCAGAGGGGCTGGAAGCAGGAGCCTGGGGGGCTGGGAAGAGCCTCGCTACAGCATGAGGTCCCAGAACGCGGCACTTTCCGGGTCGGGGCCTAGACGTGCCAGACAAGCCACAGCACCACCTTCCTCCCTGCGAGGCTGGGCTTGCCTTGGTAAGGTAACGAGAGAAGCTAATCAATCCAAGCACTTCCAACATGCCAGGCCGCATCCTCACATCTACCTGATGAGGAAGTTACTATCACTGCCCCAGCTTATAGAAGAGGAAACTGAAGTTCAGCAGCGTAAATCAATGTACCCAAGGCCAAAAACCAGAAATGGACATGGCTGGAATTCCAAATTATGTCTGCCTGACTCCAGAACCTGAGCTCGGAACCACTCTGCTCTCTAAACTAACAGGGAACAGCTCCCAGGTCCCAACGTAAGATAGAACTCTCTTCTCTGGCCAGCCTCCTTCCCAACCCATCATGCAGGCTGCGCTGGAACACATCCGTTATGTAACAGCACCCCGAATGAGGTCTTCTTGGGCTGGAGGGTGTAGAGGAATCAGGACACAGGCGCAGGCTGCCTCTCTGAAGCAGCCAGGAGAGACAGGCAAACAGGTGGCAGCTGGAGGCAGATGCTAGTCCCCAAACAGAGATTGGAATGGCCACTTCATTTCCCTTGGTTCACCCTTGCCCCGAGATGTTAGCTGGCAGGAAGAGAGGAGGGAAGGACTCGTTCAAACAGTCAAAACAAGGCAGGGGTTCCTTTCTCACACACCTCAGAAGGCAAGGGTCACACAGGGCCTGGGGGAAGGAAGAGACAAATCTGCTTAGTCCAGAGTGCTTCAACAACAGCTTACTCAGAAGAGTCGAAGTGGCCTCCTGCCCCAGCCAGGCCTTCACACTTCACAGCCTCTGCTCATGGCCAGGGGCAGCCCGGAAGGGCTGGAGAAAGTAAAGAGCAGACAAGGTGAGCTACCTCCCTGGCCCAAGCCATGGCTCTCCAGGGCCTCGGCAGAGCCCCTTTCCAGATGTACTCAGGACAGAAAGTACCCACCCGGGCCAGGAGACACCCCTGAGGTTCCTGGTTTGGGGAGAGGCTCCCAGGGGCCCCTGGCAGCACCAGGAGAGCCAGGCCGTTGATTCCTGGCAGAGAAGGAGAGTTTCCAGTGACATGTGCTTTCTAAAATTAGCGGCCCAGGACCTCGTGGCCTAGGGCTCAGGTTTCCCTGCCTCAGCCCCCAGCTGCCCACCAGCCTGCCCCGCACTGGGCTACAGCCTGAAGGTGGAGGAAGCTACTGAGCGCCCTAGGAGCCAGAGAGAAACAATGCATCTGACTCACATCGGCATGGCCAGAAGTCAATGGAGAGGCCTAGAAAGAAAGGCAAGTCTGACTAAGACCCAGGCCCCCGGCAAGGAGCTGCCCAGCCCCAGAGCGGATCCCAGTGATGTAGAAAGAGGAAGAGGACCGCTCCTCCCAGCTGGAATTGAGGGGTGGGGGTCATGCCACCTGGTGGTAGAGAGAGGACCAAGCAAGACTGAAGGCTATACTCCCCGCCACCAGGCCAGGCAAGCGGCTGCTGGTGAGTGCCCATGGCTGTCACCCCAGTACCCAGGGAGATAGCTAACACAAATGCTTCCGCGGCAGTGCAGCAGAGGCCCAGCTCTTTTCGGACCGTCCCAGGCCCTTCCCGGCTATTGAGAACCAGGGCTTCCAAGATAGGCCAGGGCATACACAAAGTCCAGCGCAAGATCCACGCTGTGTGTGTCCGAAAGCCTGGCCCTGCTCAGCCCCAGCCCAGGCCTTCAGTTCCCAGCCTTGAGACAGTCTGGGGCTCCCCTCTGCCAGGCCCCGGTTCCCCTTCCTCTTGCCAACCCTCACAGGCGCTCCCCACCCCCACAGCACCCCGGGCATACTCCTCCCACTGCACCCCCAGCCCGATAGTTCTTTTTCACACCTTCTAGGTCCTCTCTCTTCCTGCTGGATGACCCGGGATCATTCTCCCCCCAGGAACCTCACCTTCAACTGCCTCCTTCCTGGAGTCACCCTGCCCAAGCCCCTGGTCTTTTCCCTCCCATATATTCCTCAACCTAGGCTGGCCAAGGCCTGCCCTTCCAAGCCAGCAGCAGGGCCACCAGTGGCCTCCTAACCGCCCAGGCCGGAGGTCACCCTGAACTCCTTGCTCTGCTGCTAAGTTACCCTCCTGAGGTCCCCTCGCAACACCCTCCTCCCACTGTTATTCTGCTCCCTCTGGGGTCTGCACTCTTCAGCTGACACCCTATACCTTCCTCCCAGCCACTCTTATCCCCGAAAGGGTTTTCTCTGTGGCCCAGACTCATACCTAACCTCCTGCTAAACATTGGCTCCTGGATGTCCCCAGAGACATTCTAGACTCAGCTTGTCCAAAACGGGCCTTCCCTTGTCCTGCCTGACCTGACCACCTCGTGTAGCCCCTGCTGTAGTGGTGGGCAGGCAAACCGCCTTGGACTCAGCCCTCTTGGCCCCCAGCCCAAGCCACAACCCAGCACTTTCCATGTCAACTGCAAACATGCCCACCATCATCCCCACTGCTGGCGCCTCCTCCCTATCTGCTGCCATACGGCTTTCCCATCCACCTCCCAGAGCAAGGCAAATCCGACCATGTCAGCCCTCTGCTTAAGCCACCTGCTGCCAGCACGCATGCCCTCAGTGAGCTCTCCTCCTTCACTAACCACGTGGCCCCCTGCTCTAGTAACACCTAACCCCTCACCATTCCTGGAACACGCCTGGCTCTGTGTGGCAGTTCTCCAGGCCGGAATGTCCTCTCGACCCAGCTCAATCCTCACCTCCCCCCAGAAACCCTTTTGGATCTCCCACCCCATCAGAGGGACGCCTTCTGGGGGCTCCTGCAGCAGCCCCCCAGGCACCCGCATGTAACTACCTCATTCTCTGTTCTCTGCGTGGCTGCCATCCGTTTATATGGCTGCCCTACCAGGCTATGAAGGTCTTTAGGCTGGGCACTGTGCCTTCATCTCTGCACTCCCATACCTGGCACACTGAAAAGGGGTCTTCCGCCCACTCCAGCAAGTATAGCTAAAAAAAAAAAGGGGGGGAGGGCGCGGGGCTGGGCTTCCAGATGACTGGATCCCACTCCCAGGAGAGGAAATGCTCCCTGACAGGTGAGGGGACAGATTTGAGGCTGCACGTAAGGCTGGACAGAATCTCCCTGGGCCTAGACTGCACCTGTGTTCACCTGGGAGCCTGGCACCAAGAGGGGCAGAGGCAGACACAGAGCTGCTCAGTCTAGCAACAGAGGAGACAGAAGACAGGAGTGGGAAGGCGCCGTCTCAGACCCGTTCTGATGGGCAAGCCAGGCTCATGGCTGCAGGGGGAAAAAACATTCACTGCCGCGACCTGAAGGCACAACCCAGAGCTCCAGCCTCTGCATCCTCACACCCTCAACCCCCACCCAGGGCCCAAGCAATGCAGACCAGGTCCTCTCTGATCACTGGCATTTTTCAGCCTGGGAGCCAGCCTTCTAGAACATTTTCCCGCTCCCTCACACTGGGTCACTCAGGCACGTTAACGTGCGCTTGTCTGTTCCCTTGTAGCTTCCCAGGCCCCCAGGACAGGGCACGAACATGGCCTTTAGCTTCTGCCTCTGCTGGATCTCCCAAGTAGTCTTACCCGAATCACTGTTCTTAGCTATTCATTTCCAGAAAACAGGAAAGAACCTAAGAGCCAAAGGCAACTCCTACAGATACAGGGTGGTCACCAATAGAATGGCCTGGGGTCCAAAAAAAGGCCAGTGAACGAAACTTAACAGAATCCAGATGTGGCCTTGGAAGACACATGGCAGCCCCAATGCCTCAATCTGACTGGGCTTTCTTGATAGAATGTTGTTGGACACTGAGCAGGGCTATCGTGCTTTTATAAAAGGTTGAGTAAACCAGAGAAGGCAGGAGAAACAGAACCTCTCCACAGACTAGAGAAACAGGGCCAACCATATCAAATGGAGAGAGCCATGGCTCATAAGCACTTTTCAGCAGCCCTGTCTTCCCCCATGAGCAAGGGGAAGAGGACACGGGCTTAATAGGAAATGGAGAAGGAGCAAGTCCCGACCAAAAGATTCCATGCTGTGGCCACCCCCGGCCCGCCCTGCTGACGGGTTTCAGGCGAGTCAAGTCATTCAACCCCCAGCCCCTGCATACACATGGTGTTCACATAAGCTCACTCCTCAGCCCCCAGCCGGCAGAAAGCCGGTGTCCCAGCGCCACCTGCTGACTTTCCAGGCCTACCGCAGGGTGGCCAGTGGACTCTGGGTGAACACGCCCCAGCTGTGGAAGAAAAAAAATGAGGCAGCGCCCAGGCAAGGAAGCAAGTCAGGTGACGCCTCAGGAAGGCTTCAGTGAAGAAGAATGACTAACACCAGGGCTTCCACTGCCCTCAGCGACTCTTACCCACCAGTCTGGAATCAGGAAAACAGGTTACAACTGGGAGAGTCACCTAGAGCAGACCCGAGAAGGCTGCCCCAAAGGGCTGCCCCAAGTCCATTTTGGTACAGCTGCGTGGCCTTCCCTGTAGCCTCCCAGCACACAGACGCTGGAGAAGACGGGAAGAGGAGGGCTAGAGCTGGGGGAAATGGAGGCCGTTTCAAATGAGAACATGACTTGTGGCAGCTCCAGCCCACGACCCAGATGGAGCTCACCCATCCTGAGGACAGTGCACTAAGCGCAGGGCAAAGGGGCAGGTGTGGGTCTGGCCTGTCCTCCCTTCTTCTTGAGAACAAGTGACACAGACCAGCTGGGTTTCTGGGGTTTTGCTGTGTATCTTTTTTAAAACCAGCTATCTGAGGGGTTTGGGGTAAGCTGGAGGGTAGAGAGCAACCGACTGAGGTAAGACAACTTAGGCAAAGGTAGTCTGTGATTAGATGACTCAACCTAAAAAAGAAGAAAAAGCAGCTCAGCAGAGAAGCACGGGCAGCTCCATCTGGGCTAATGGCAGCGATGGGATTCTACCCTGGAGGGGTAAAGAGGAAACAAAAGATGCCTGTGGATCAAGTTCAGGTCAGCAAAAATTCAGGGGGCTTCCACACAAACAGGGGCCTTCCTGCGACTGGCTGCTAACCAGCACTTTGGGCCTAACCTTGACCGTCATTTAAGCTGAGTAAGGCAGAGAAGGCAGTGCAGGTCCTCTGAACACACAAACCCCAGCCCAGAGGGAGCTGCCGTCCCCAACACACTCCAAGACTCAAGAGGGCCTCTCGCTAGCTGTGCCCCCGAAGTGCAAGGTTGGCAGGAAGGGAACAGGAGCGACTGCCGGAGTCTTCCACAAGTGGAAACCAGTGGCTCATCCAGTGTGGTCCCCTGGAGGTGGCCCCGATGGACCCGCCTTCACAAACTGTCATAGCTCCTAAGACCTGAAAAGCTGGGCTTCTTGGCTAAAAAGCCCAACAAGTTCAACCCAGGCACGCACCTAAAGCTGTCGCCGTCAGCCCGGGACAGCCCATTCAGTCACCAAATGTTTCAGCGCCCTTCATATGTGCCAGGCCCTTGGCACTGAGCTGAACAGTCTGAAGGGGAAGAGCCCAGGTTTTCCACGATGGGCAACCCTGCCAAGTGCCACACCTCAGAGCTGCGTGTGCAGGCTGCCCTGGGACCCGAGGACAGCGCTATGGGTCAGCCGGGAACATGGTGTGGGCCCCTCGGAACAGGCTCCACAGGGAAGCCTCGGAGATTCACGAAGAGGAGGTGCCGGCTGGGCCGGCAGCTGGAGGGGGTGTTCCGCACAGAGGTCCCCAAAATGCTCAGAGAATCGAGTTGGGGGAGAGCATGTGTTACGTGAGGCTCTCCCATGAGACCCACATGACTGCTTCATGACAGGGGGAGGCCGAAGCAGAGACTGTGGGGGAGCCGCGTCCTGGAGGATCCATGTGATAGCGAGCCACTGGAAGTGGGGTGCACAGGCCAAAGGGGGGAAGGCAGGTGGCAGGGAGCCCGCTTGGTCTATACGGGATGGTGGTGGCCCCACCACAGCAGTGGTCCCAAGGGTTGTGAGAGAGAGGCTTAGGAGGTGACATCTACAGGCTGTTTCATGGGTGGAGTCCAGCTCTGCAGGCTGAAGACTTCTGGAGGTTGGCTACTTGACACCGTGAAAGCGCCTCACCCTGCTGGGCCACACACTGAGAAATGGCCACGATGGTTGGGCAGTCACATGGGACAAGAAGAAAGGGCAGAGCAGCCCCAGGCTTCTGGGTCAAGTGACAGGACTGAGACAGTAGTGGCAGAGGCAGGACAAAAGCTCAGAAGGCTTTGGCTGGGAAGCTGGGACTCTCCCACTGCTATCCCAGGCAGCAGCAGCAGACTATGGGGGGCCAAGGGTACAGACTTGCTTCTAGGTGTGATGTTTCCTTTCAGGCCAGGCCCCCTTTCCCAATTACAAAGGCTACTCGGGAGCTCTCAGGCTAACCTCCTATGTGTTCTGAGCCCAGTCCCGCTGAAAACTAGTGCCAAGCACCAGGCCTTCTCCAGAATGTGCTCCCCTCCTTGGCCACTAACCTGCTCACATCCTCCTTCTTGATCTTGCTTCCCTCTTCCTTCTGCTCCCCGATCTTCTATCGCTCTGCTGGAGGCTGGAATCCATCCTGCCAGCACATTCCCTTTGCCCTGGCCTCAATGCCTCTGAAGCCAGCAACCCAAGCTCGACTGCCCGGAAGCACCCTATCCTGCTCATCTGCCAGGCCTCCCCTGCTCAACCCTGCTCTCCCTGTCCCCTCCTTTCCTTGCTGCCCCCAGGCCTGGCCAGAAGTCCCACTCTGCAACCAGCCCTCACACCTAGCACGATAGTGTTACTCCATGGGCAGCCAGAGCTCCCTTTCCAGCAGGGGGCTGCGTCCTCGATTCCGCAAGTCCACAGCAGAACCAAGATCATCTCAGACTCCCAGAGACTGGAAAAGCCTGCTGATTCAACTCCACCTGGGCCTCTCAGCTCTGTCCCCTCCACCCCACTTCTACTACCACTGTACCACTGCCCCCGTTCAGGTTCCCAGCAAGTCTCACTGACAACCTCCAACTTGGTCTCCCCACTTCAGGCTCTCCTGCTCCACTCCAACCCATACACCCTTGCAAAATGTTAATCCACACAGGTGACTGCATGCCAGCAGTACTGGAATACCCACTAGGCAGGCTCTCTACCACGCAGAAAAGTTGCATACGAAGTCTGGAACCCTTAACTCCTAACCATCTAACCTGCTCGGGCCATGAGTACCTGCTCGCGCCATGAGTACCTGCTCGCGTTCAAGAACTGAGCCTCTCAGTGGGACATAAAGAACATGGAAAGAAAGAGAGGTGGGTGTGGTGGCTCATGCCTGTATTCCCAGCACTTTGGGAGGCCGAGGTGGGCAGATCACATGAGGCCAGGAGTCAGAGACGACCAGCCTGGCCAACAGGGCAAAACCGTCTCTACTAAAAATACAAAAATTAGCCAGGCGTGGTGGCATGTGCCTGTAGTCCCAGCTACTTGGGAGGCTGAGGCATGAGAACTGCTTGAACCCAGGAGGAGGAGGCTGCAGTAAGCCAAGACTGTGCCACTGCACTCCGGCCTCAGCGACACAGAGAGACTCTGTCTCAAAAAAAAAAAAAAAAGAAAGAAAGAAAGAAAAAGAAAAAGAAAAAAATCAACAGCAACAAAAAAGAAAGAGACAGATAATAGGAGTGGCATGGGTGCTCCAAGAGGATCAGGAGGCCCAAAGAAAGCTGACTAGCTGAGGCCACTGTTTATGACATCAGAAACAGAGCTGCAGGCTCGACATCCACCAATGAGGAATTGGGTAGACACTCAAGAACACTCAAGAACGCTGGAGAGGCCAGGCACAGTGGCTCATGCCTGTAATCCTAGCACTTTGGGAGGATGAGGTGGGAGGATTTCTTGAGCCCAGCAGTTTGAGATCAGCTTGGGCAACAGAGCAAGACTCTGTCTCTACAAAAAATTAAAAAATTAGCAGCACGTGGTGGCACATGCCTATAGTCCCAGCTACTCGGGAGGCTGAGGCAAAAGGGCGGGGCTGCAGTGAGCCATGATCACACCAATGCACTCCAGCCTGGGTGATGGAGCGAGACCTTGTCTCAAAAAAAATAAATAAATAAATAAATAAATAAATAAATATGCTGGAAACAGGTCAGTTGTCCCAGAAAAACATTCATGATAAACTGAGTAGAACACTCAAGTCACCAAGGGGCATTTAAAGCATGTGGTGCTTAAAAGCCCCGTGGTTAACTTTTTTTAAACACGGGAATGTTTTTAAAAAGCATGTGGAGGCTGGGCGTGGTGGCTCAGCTGCCGCACTCTCCCGTGTTCCCATCCAGTAGCCTGATCCAAAAAAGCCATGAGGTTGGTCTTGCGTGACTTCTTAGAAAAGGAAACGGTGATCCCAGAGATCAGTGTGGATTCACCAGTTGCCCATAAGCGATCTAGTTAATCATTTCTGGAATTTTGCCAGAAATATATACTCCTTGCTAGTCTAAGAGTTAAATCTAAGATGGTGGCTGTGACCCTAGAGGACCTTGGCTTTCTGTGTGATGCTCTTGTCCAGCCTTATGGCCACACAGCCCATTTGCAGCTTGCAGGAAACACTGAAAAAACAAAGCAGGCCAGGCGCGGTGGCTCACGCCTGTGATCCCAGCACTTTGGGAGGCTGAGGCAGGCAGATCACCTGAGCTCAGGAGTTTGAGACCAGCCTGGCCAACATGGTGAAACCCCGTCTCTACTAAAAATACAAAAAATTAGCAGGGCATGGTGGCGGGCGCCTGTAGTCCCAGCTACTTGGGAGGCTGAGACAGGAGAATGGCGTGAACCCGGGAGACAGAGCTTGCAGTGAGCCGAGATCGAGCCACTGCACTCCTGCCTGGGCGACAGAGTGAGACTCTGTCTCAAAAAAAAAGAGTGAGCCCCCTAAGGCTTCTATGTGTATGTGTGGATAGAGCCAATCCACATGGCAGCCACTCATGTGGGTTAGGACCACACCTAACTACACTGTTCTGCCAGCACCTTCCCCACACTTCGGCATCTGGTCGTTAAGAACAGACTCAGACTGGCAAGCATCATGCTAAAAATCCATCTACACTCCATCTATAGAAGGCTGACAGAACTTCTCCAGGAATTCACAGCAGTCACCAATGATCCCGCTCTTCTTTTCCAAAAGCATACAAGCTATTCTTTCTAGAGCATGGCTGGAGATCAAAGTCAACCCTCCCCAGGTCAATTCCTCATCTACCTTCTCCTCCCTTTGGAAATTGGGATGTTTGCCAGGCTGCAGTCTGCCAGTATCTCTCCCACTCTGCAAATCCTCAAGCATCGGTGGCAATGCCTTCTGCAGATGATCTCAACAGCTTCTGGACATAATCTCATCAAGTACATCCTTTAGGGATGCCACTCTTGCCCACCTGTAATTTCCATTTTCTCATCCTAGTGTTTCCTTTGCCCTTGACCACCTACCCTCCATCTCCTTCCTTACACAGACATATAAAAGGGACTGCCTTCTCCTCACTTCTCCATGTCTTTCATGATTCAGAGCTCCCGGCAGGTTTTCACCTTCCCGATACTATTCTTTTTTTTTTTTTTTTTTTTTTTTGAGATGTCACCCAGGCTGGAGTGCAGTGGTGTGATCTCGGCTCACTGCAACCTCTGCCTCCCGGGTTCAAGCAATTCTCCTGCCTCAGCCTCCCGAGTAGCTGGCACTACAGGCACCTACCACCAAGCCCAGCTAATTTTTTTGTATTGTTAGTAGAGACTGGGTGTCACCATGTTGGCCAGGCTGGTCTCGAACTCCTGACCTCAGGTGATCCACCTGCCTCGGCCTCCCAAAGTGCTGGGATTACAGGCCTAAGTCACCGCACCCAGCCCACCCCTCCCCCATACCATTCTTAAAGCTCTAGATGCTTTTCTGGTAGATGGCCTAGTTTCCTCTCTTTCCCTCTCAATGTGGTCTTTTTTCCTCATTTTGCTGACTGTCACACTCAGAATTCTGGGTTTGAGACTCAGTCTTTCAGATCTGCTTCCCTTTCAGCCTCAGACCACAAGATAATACTTGTTTGGAACTTCCTGAAAAATTTAGGGTATGTGTCTGACTCCTCCCAGCCTTCCTGACTTTCCTAAGTTTGAAGACAGCAAGCTTGTAGATCAAATCTGTGATCAAACCCATTATCTTGAAAAAAATGTGTTTGCCTTTTCTAGCTCCACCCCTCTTTCCAACTTGGTCGCAGAGAGTACCAGATCATCTAAACAACAGATTTTAAGACAAGTAGTCATCGTAGCGCCTAGTAAAGCAGGACACACCAGGTGACTAGAGAGCAAGAATCTCCTAGGCATGGAGATTCTTGAGTCTCGGGGCACAAAACCAAGTGGGGAATAACTGTCCATGAGCCTGAGAATCACTTGGTGCTATGGTCTGAGTGCCCTTCAAACTTCATGTGTTGGAATTTAATCCTCACTGCCGTAGCATTAAGAGGTGGGGTCTTTTGAGAAGTGATTAAGTGATGAGAGCTCCACCCTCAAAGCAAGCGCCTTTCCAATGCCTTCATACATGGTCTGAGCTCCCATCCACCTCCCAGCCAGGCCCTGCTGATCAGAACGGCTATGTGAAGCAGGAGGCAGCAAACAGGGCCCCAGGCTCAAATAGGCACTTCGTAGTGGTCTAGTTTTGCCCGACTAGTTACCCTTAGCCTTGATTAAGGTACTTAGTTTTACCAAAAAAATCATCAGAAATACTCTGGCTGCCATGGAATGTAACATGTCCTCATTACGAGTTTCACGTGGGGAAGGCCCTGAGGTGAGGAGAGGCCCAGCCTCTTCGTGCCACTTTTACCTGCTGTCCCTAGGTCAACACCCCGGACACAAAGAGTCCCCCATTCAGTCGCTCCCTTGTGAGCTGGACTCTGAAGGTCCTCTCCCAGAGGAGGGCAAGGCCTTACCGTTACATCTCACTCTCCATGCAAACAGACCGTGAGATAGTCATCTGTTTGCCTGAGAGTATGTGGTGTGTGAGGGTCTTCTGATATTTCAGGCAGCCCTCTCCTACTCTCCACGCTGCCTCTGGAGGTCAGGAGAAAACTATGTGGCTTCCCTAACACAGACAGGGCTTTGGGATCCAGGCCACAGACTGAGGAGGAATCAAAGTCACAGGGGGGAGACTGAGCCCACTGAGCTCGGTGTCCATGGCTAGCCCATGGCTCCTTTCACAGCACCTGCCCCCTCAACCCCCCACTCACAAGGACAGCAGCAAGGAAAAGCCAGCAATGTAGAGATTCCTCTGGGCACGGAAAAGCTTCATGTGGAAGTGCTCCATGGCCCCGGGATTGTTCTGGAGGTTCACCTTTTCCGTCACATCATCATACTTCCGAATTTCGCGCACGGCATCTGTGGTGGAGCAGAGAGGAGACACGGGCATTTAGCGGACACTAGGGCAAGATAAGGCCATACCAGGCAGACAGGCGGCATGAGACAGGTCAGACTCACTTCCCTCAAATCCGCCTCCCCAGTTCTTCCCACTTCTATGCACATACACCCCTCATGGGATGCTGTTATCAGAAGCTCCCACCCTCAGGCCAGGTGCAGTGGCTCACGCCTATAATCTCAGCACTTTGGGAGGCAGAGGCGGGCAGATCACCTGAGGTCAGGAGTTCGAGACAAGCCTGGCCAACATGGCAAAACCCCATCTCTACTAAAAATACAAAAAAAAAAAATTTAGCCCGGCGTGGTGGTGGGCGCCTGTAATCCCAGCTACTCGGGAGGCTGAGGCAAAAGAATCATTTGAACCCGGGAGGCGGAGGTTGCAGTGAGCCGAAATTGAGCCACTGCACTCCAGACCGGGGGACAAGAGCGAAACTCCATCTCAAAAAAAAAAAAAAGGAAGCTCCCACCCTCAGACCCACTCCTTCCTCCAGCTTTTCAATCCCTGGCCCCATTCTACACAGGCCCCAGGCTTGCTCTGCAGTTCACGATGCTAACCAAGCCTAAAGAGTTTCTGGAAATGGGGGTGGCTTCCTTTTCCCATGGTACCCTCACCGCGTCTTGTTCTGTTCATCTCAAGTTGGCCCATAGCCCCCCAACCCCCACAATGATAAGTTGAACCTGGAGATGGAAATGCCTGCTCCGGGGACCTAAGGTGCTTAAGAGTCAAGACCCAGGCCAGATGTGGTGGCTCACGCCTGTAATCCCAACACTTTGGGAGGCCAAGGCAGGAAGACTGCTTGAGGCCAACGAGTTCAAGACCAGCCTGGGCAACACAGGGAGACTCTCTCTCAACAAAAAAAAAAAAAAAAAAAAAAAAAATTTTAAATAGCTGGGCATGGTGCTGCACACCTGTAGTCCCAGCTACTCGGGAGGCTGAGACAGGAAGATCGCTTGAGCCCAAGAGGTCAAGGCTGCTGTGAGTTACGATCACACCACTGCATTCCAGCCTGGGCGACAGAGCGAGACTCTGTCTCGAAAAAGCCAAAACAAAACAAGCAAACAAACAAAAAAATAGGAGTCAAGACCTGCAGGATACCAGCTAGGAGTCAAGGGTTTCATTTCAAAGCTTTACAATGGGTTTTATTATCTATAATGTTTTATTCTGATTACGAAAGGAATTCACACTCATCGAAAGTTCAAACACACCCAAAATGTAGAAACGGAAAGGATCCCATAACATAATCACATCTAGCAGTATATACAATAAAAATGTGGTCACATCTAAAGTCATTTTTAGTCACATTACACTGTTACCTGCTTCGTAATAGACATCCATCTCTGAAATTCTCTTTAAACACATTTTTTGGGTCCATCTCTCCCAAAGTAGACTACAAACTTCATAAGAGCAGAAATCTTTTATACTATATTCCCAGGGCCTGGGATAGCTCTGGGTGCAGAGTGGGCACTGAAATAATTGCTGAGTCAGTGAGCAGCCTCTGCTCCTGAAAGAGCCGCTGTTAGACATATAGAGCTCCAGTTAAAAATATATTTATATTTGTCTCTAATGTAGAAATTGAGCCACGCCAAACCTACTGCTTTTCCCCATGCATCCTGAGACATCGTTTTAAGTCAATACACTAAGATGTACCCAAAGAATGCTCTTAATAGACTCCCATATGAGAGGAGCAAGGTATCACTGTATGGGTATCGAGGTTCTTTTTGTATGGTGGGTTACAGGGTCTCACTCTGTCACCCAGGCTTGAGTGCAGTGGCACGATCCCAGCTCACTGCAACCTCCACCTCTCAGCCTCCCCAGTAACTGGGACCACAAGTGTGTGCTACCACACTCAGTTAATTTTTTCTTTTTCTATTTTTGGTAGAGACGGGGTTTCGCCATGTTGCCCAGGCTAGTTTCAAACTCCTGAGCGCAAGCAACTGCCTCAGCCTCACAAAGTGTGGGGATTACAGGCGTGAGTCAGGGCACTGGCCTCATGGGGTTCTTAATTTCCGGTTTTAGGCTGCTTAGTTTTTATGTTGATCTTGCATTATAAAAATCTGCCCATCCCTCAGCACCACGAAGCGAGTACTCTCAAACGCTGTTAGCAGGGGTAAAAACAGCACACCTGTATAAAATGCAAAATGTTCATACCCTCGGGTTCAACAATTCACCTCTGAAATTATCCCACAGAAGTATTTGCATAAATTTGCAATGATTCGAAGATGCTTATAAAGAATGGATTACGGCACAACCACATGAGAGAATACTACATGATCTTTAAGAAGAATGAGATTGCTATAAAAAGATGTTGGCCGGACACAGTGGCTCATGCCTGTAATTTCAGCACTTTGGGAGGCCGAGGTGGGCGGATCACTTGAGGCCAGGAGTTCAAGACCAGCCTGGCCAACACGGTGAAACCTCGTCTCTACTAAAAATACAAAAAATTAGCCGGGCATGGTGGCGGGCGCCTGTAACCTGCAGCTACTCGGAAGCTGAGGCAGGGGAAATCGCTTGAACCTGGGAGGCGGAGGTTGCAGTGAGCCAAGATGGCGCCACTGCACTGCAGTCTGGGCAACAAAGTGAGATTCCATCTCAAAAAAAAAAAAAAAAAAAAAAGATGTCTAACGTGCAGCAGGTAGAAAAAGCACAATCCAAAGTATTGGCTAGGCTCTGCTATGGACAGCAGTCTTATCTCAGAGCTGTGCTACCAGCTCAGGCGTGGAATGCTCCTCCTGCCATGTCCCAGCAGGAATGTGGAAAGAAACATAAATACTTTGTGTGTATGATCCCACCGTTGTAGACATTTTATTAAAGATGTCAGCATACAAAACCCCTCTGGAAATGCACAACAAAATACTCATGATGGTTACCTGTGGGAAATGGGATTATGGGGAGTTTAACTTTCTAAATTCAACTTTTGAATTTTTAAGAATAATTACCCATTATTTTTGTAATCAGAAAAACAAGATAAACATGTTTCCTTACACTGTCACCTGCATCCAGGAACCCCACCATCCTAAGGACCACCTTGGCCAATGACCAATAGTGGGGATGGGGGACTGAGCAATACTAACCCAAGTCCCACAGTAGAAACCAGCCCTCCCTGTCTCGGGCCTCAGCCCAGGTGGGAAGATCCTGCACCCTCAGCAACTCCATCCTCCAGGAGGATCTGCTCAACCCTCCCCACCCCCAAGCAAGGCCACAGCTCTAGCTAGTTATGCCCCTTACCCTTCACTAGTACCTGTGACTAACACTTCTGTTTGAAGAAGGCTCTGCAGATCTTTCTAGATTATGCTTCTTAACATGGGAGTAGGAAGCAGCCAGTCATCATGGCCATATGTCCCCCTAGAACTTCCAAGCAGTTCCCCGATCCCAAAAAAGAATGAAGGCTTTGTCAACTACTGGATTCCGCAAAGGATCTCTCCAGCCCACTCAGCTGCTCTAGGAAAGAAACATACTCCTTCTGGTTTGGGGAAGGGGCAAGACCCTGAGGGAATCATCCTCAGCATGGTCCCTCCCCTCCCCAGTTATTACCCCCACCCCAGACCCAAAAGCCAAAACACACATGCTCAGTTCAAAAACTCAGTGGCCTGGGGATGACACATATATTACCTACCTACTCCTGGCTTGGAGGCTGCTCAGGGCGAGAACCCTGGTTAGAAAGAGCTACTACCTCTTGGGGCCTTGCCAAGTATTTCAAGAACACTGAGGTGCTCAGGCAGCTGGCACCTACCCTATGTGGTTGGAAGCTGTCAGGTAACACTTGGCCTGTTCAGAGGCAGTCCAGCCTGAACATATCCTATCAGGCTCTGAGACATCAGGAAGGAGAAATGCCTAATGCTGAAGCTGGTGGGTGAGGCTTTGCACATTCCCCTGAACCACAGCCCCCCACCCGCTCAGTGTTTCTGCTGGGACTCGGTGGGAGGAGTGTTCCACGCCTAGGCAGGCACCACAGCTCTGAGACAAGAGTGGTGTCCACAGCAGAGCCAAGCCAATACTTTGGAGCCCAAACAGGGGGACATATCGATCACTTACCACAGCAAAACAACAAACATCTACCAGTCAGACAAGAGCTTTATTGATTCTTGTCTCCAGATGGTCACCCTACCACCTCATTGCAAAATGTCTGCCTTTCATCTTACCACCACCTGGCCTGGCCTTATCCCAGAGCCTGCTTGCCCTTGGACCAGTTTATCTTTCAAGCACCTGCTAGTGTACACCTCAATGTCAGAGTTTACAGAACTACAGAGCTGGAACGACCTGGGAAAACCTCAAGTCTAGCCCAGATGCAGAGAGGTCTAGGATCTCTCCCCAAGATATGCTGCCACACATCTCTGTGTTCTCCTCCTACTACTACAGGGAATGGCAGGACTTCACTGTGTGCTTGGTTGCTCAGTCCCCCATTAGAGGCCCTGCTCCAGGCAATTCTGCTGTTTAAGTGACTGGTGAGCAGCACTACTCAGACCAAGGTCACAGGCCAGTTAGCTTCTCTTGGCTTCAGTTCTAGAGTGACCTGAGGAGCAGCCTCAGAAACCTTAGGCGTCCCTCCTTCCAAGGTCTTGAAAAAAAGCAATGTAAGGTGGCCGTCATAAGCTGCATACAAACTGCTTGGTATAAGCCCACGCCCACTGCTAGAGGGGCCTCTTTTTTTTTTTTTTGAGATGGAGTCTCCCTCTTGTTGCCCAGGCTGGAGTGCAATGGTGCGATTTAGGCTCACTGCAACCTCTGCCTCGTGGGTTCAAGCAATTCTCCTGCCTCAGTCTCCCAAGTAGCTGGGATTACAGGTGCCCGCCACCACGCCCAGCTAATTTTGTATTTTTCGTAGAGATGGGGTTTCACCACGTTGGCCAGGCTGATCTCGAACTCCTCATCTCAGGTGATCCACCGACCTCAGCCTCCCAAAGTGCTGGGATTACAGGCATGAGCCACCATGTACGGCCTAGAGGGGCCTCAAAGTGAAGAACCGACTAGCGGTCAGCAGCATGGGCAAAGGGAGCCTCTTCCCTCCCTCAAGAGAAAGACACAGCATTTCATTGGTCTGTCTCCTAGCAGCCAAAACTGGATGCTACACATCAAAAGTGGCAAAGGGTTTTGCAGCAGAGACCAGGGTCTAGGTCAGGTAGCTGCCCTCAGCCATAGCTCACTCACCGATGACCAACAGCACAAGGATGACAATGAGAACCACAAAGAAGGTGTTGCCATAGGACACTAACAACTCCACCAGCCGGGACTTGAAAATCTTCTGCCATCTGTGAAGAAGACAAAAAGGACAGGAGTTGAAGAGAAAGCACACACACGAGCTCTAGGGCCCTGAGCAAAATGGAAATCCAGCTTTGTACTCTTCTCCAATGGCCGAATAGCCCATGCAAAGTCAGCCTCAGTGGCTTGCAATTCTCTAATTTGACATCCATTCAAGACTATTGGAAAAAAGGCCAGGTGCAATGGCTCACACCTGTAATCTCAGCACTTTGGGAGACCAAGGTGGGTGGATCACTTGAGGTCAGGAGTGCAAGACCAAACTGGCCAACATGGCGAAACCCTGTCTCTACTAAAAGTACGAAAATTAGCCAGGCGTGGTGGTGGGCACCTGTAATCCCAGCTACTCAGGAGGGTGAGGCAGGAGAATCACTTGAACCTGGGAGGCGGAAGTTGCAGTGAGCCGAGATCGCGCCACTGCACTCCAGCCTGGGTGACAGAGCGAGACCTTGTCTCAAAAAAAAAAAAAAAAAAAGATGCTGGTCCACGTATAGATCAAAATGTCTGGAAAACTAATCTTTTTTTTTTTTTTTTGAGACAGAGTCTTGCTCTGTTGCCCAGGCTGGAGTGCAGAGGTGTAAGCCACCGCGCCCAGCCTGGAAAACTAATCTTAAACGTGGGCAGTTGGCTGGGCGCACTGGCTCACGTCTGTAAACCCAGCACTTTGGGAGGCTGAGATGGGCAGATCACCTGAGGTCAGAAGTTCAAGACCGGCCTGGCCAACATGGTGAACTCCCATCTCTACTAAAAATATATATATAAAAAAAAATTAGCTGGGCATGTTGGCAGGCACCTGTAGTCCCAGCTACTCGTGAGGCTGAGGCAGGAGAATTGCTTGAACCCGGGAGGTGGAGGCTGCTGTCAGCCGAGCACCACACCACTGCACTCCAGCCTGGGTGACAGAGCAAGACTCTGTCTCAAAATAAAAACAAAAACAAACAAAAAAACCACAACAACAAAAAGAAAACATACTGGTAGTCTCTGAAAAGGGAAACTTACTTTTCATTGTACTCCCCTTTGTAATATTCAAATGTTTGCCCCATACACGTTATTTCTTTAAACTGTCTTTCCACATGATAAACCTTGGTTTGTCTATATCCCCCGACCCTGTTATGATGAGATGGACCCCAGACCTCACATCATTTCCATCCACAAATGCTTTGGGATGCAGCTCTAAGAAGAGACTTCAGAAGTGTTTACATATTGTTCAAATCAACAAGAAGCCCTCATCATCAGGGCTAGAGTTGAATATGCCAATCACTGAAGGCAATGATATTTGTTTGAATCCGGACCCAACAAGGTACCGATTTGGCATTCGGTAGATAAACGTCTTAAATCCAGCTTATTCTGGAAGCTCCCCCTTCCCTCTCCCTCTTTCATTTGCTTTTCCAGTTTCCTTTGTGTAGAAATCAGATTGTCTGTCCTCTAAAGCTTCCCAGATTAAAGCTCCCCGGGGCCCTCTATCTCTGCACGTCTTGTCAACTGTACGAAGGTGTGGTTTTCTACAAGAATCCTCCTCAGACAGCACTGCATACTTTCTATGGTATCACATCAAAGATAATTTTTCACGAAAAAACGGCTTTTAAAAATACCTGTGGAGATTTGGCCTTATTTGTAATATCGTAATTTAAATAGGGATGTGTTCAGGTATTATACATAATTAAAATTAATCTCCAATTCACTTTTAACAGGTCCTCTGTTCATTAAAAGGGAATATGGCTTCATCCTCCACAGGCTGAGTAATGTTCATGCAGCCACTGCGCAATACCAGTGAGACTAGTTAGGAGGACAAGAGTCACCAAATCAGCAACAACGTGACCCAGTGGTGCAAGTCTTCCGAATCCCACGCTACCATCCCAGCACCCCGTGGACCAAGAGTGGGTGGGAGGGCATCATTTCCAGAACTGTAACATAGATCTTCCTGCCTCTCGGGGGCATTCTGAAGACCAGAAGGCAGGGGACACAGGAAAAGGAACTGAGCAAGTCATGACGAAGCAGAACCCTGGGAAGGGTTGGCAATAACAAACACAACCCCTGCCACCCCCACCCCAGACAGGTTCTACCTGTTCCATCGGGTCCCAATTCCAGGGTCCACCAGCTGCACACACCAGTCCCAGGGCTAGGGCACAGGCACCCTCCTGCCTAACTCGCCTGCTTGCTCCATAGGCCATACCTTTTAGGAGAAATGAAGGGAATGCAGAGAAGCAACACAACAAAGACCTCCGCATAGAGGAAGGTGGCAACTGCAGTCCACTGCAGACTCATCCTGTTGCTAGAAGGTTTCCCACAGGAAGATGTGAGCTTGTTTCCTGGCAGGGCACAAAAGGTACGGGACTTGTAAGCGCTGGGCAGCCAAGAACATCCAGTTCAGTTACCCTGCGAGGCTGGGGCCGCCACTCTCCACCCTGACCCCCTGCACTTTGCTTCAAAGTCTCTGATGCGCTGGCGGAAGCAGGGCTCCACTCGGCAGGGCCTCTTGGCCAGCAGCGTTCACAGGCCCCACAAACTTCCGTTCGCTGGTCAATTACCTGCCCCCTCCAGCACGTGTGTCAACACGTCCAGAGCGGCCTCTCCCGACGATCCCTGCCCCAGGAAGCCCGAGATTTCCGACGCCCGTTTAACTGAAAGGCGTTCTTCGGGAAGAGCAGTGCCAGGGCACCAAGAGGAGGACGCCTCGGCACCCATCGGGCGCTCCCTTCCCCGCCAGGCAGAACTCAGCCGCAGAGGCGGGCGCTCTGCGGGCCCAAATCCCCGCTACCAGGCAGGCCCAAGGCCGCACCTAGTCCAAGCGCTGCCGACGCCCCCGCCTCCCACCGTCCCCACGGCGCCCGCGGAGAGAAACCGGCACCTCCCTCGAGGATCCAGCGGCCTTCCGCCCGGGGCCGCTTCGCCTCCGGTGGGCTGGAGGCCCGCAAGAGCGACTCCTAGAGGGCAGGATTCGGGACCAAGCGCAAAGGCAGGTCTCGACCAAGCACCTCAAGGCCCCATACGGAGAAAGTTCTAGACGCAGTATCCTCAGAAGCCAGGGGTCCTTACAGTAGCCCTCGCGGGCCCCAGCGCCCACCCAGAGCGAGGGGCCTCCGACTTGGCCCCGGCCTGGCACACCGTCCCGGAGGCCCATCCCGGCCGCTCCTCCAGGTGGGGCTTCACCGCCCCCCGCCCCGCCCCCGAGACCAGCTTCTAGAGGCGCCGCCCGGTTTCCCCTCGCCCCTGCCTCTCACACGCAGGTAGGCTGCGGGCCCCGAGATTCCCCGGCCCCCGGGCCTCCCCGCGCCGCTCGCCTCTCTCCCTCGTCGATGGGCCGGGGAGCCTCCGCGGTCCCGGAGCCCAGCCCGGCGCGCGGAGCCCGCTCACCGAGTTTCCCACAGTCAACGTGCAGGCCCCGCCGCAGCAACAGAACTCTCCCACAGCAGCCCCGGCCCCGCCCCTCATACCGCGGCCGGAAACCGGAAGCGCCCGCCGGGCACCGCCCACCAGCCCTCGCGAGGCCCCGGAGGCTCCGCCCACCTCCGCTTCCCACCCCGCCCCGGAGCGGAGGGCCGGCGCTCCGAGCGGGAGAGGAAGAGGCGCCTCGGGCTCCGGGCGAGCAGGGCGGGGTGGAGCGAGCACGCGGGCGGGGCGGGGCGGGGCTTTGTCGGGCCGGCGAGGGCCGCTTCTCTAGTCCGCGCGGCCGTCCCACGTCTCTGTGGTGCGGGAGGGGCCCCGCCGAGGGGCGAGAACGGGAGGTGGGGGTGTGGGCGGGCCCCGCCGAGGGGCGAGAACAGGGTGGGGCTCCCGCGCCCGGACTCCGCCCCTCGCCCCTCCTCCGCCTCCTCCCCTTCCCCCGACTCGCCCCTGGGGAAGAGTGGGTGGGGATTCTGGGCCGGTGGAGGAGTCACTGTCGCTTCAGCCAGGCTGCGGAGCGGACGGACGCGCCTGGTGCCCCGGGGAGGGGCGCCACCGGGGGAGGAGGAGGAGGAGAAGGTGGAGAGGAAGAGACGCCCCCTCTGCCCGAGACCTCTCAAGGCCCTGACCTCAGGGGCCAGGGCACTGACAGGACAGGAGAGCCAAGTTCCTCCACTTGGGCTGCCCGAAGAGGCCGCGACCCTGGAGGGCCCTGAGCCCACCGCACCAGGGGCCCCAGCACCACCCCGGGGGCCTAAAGCGACAGTCTCAGGGGCCATCGCAAGGTTTCCAGTTGCCTAGACAACAGGCCCAGGGTCAGAGCAACAATCCTTCCAGCCACCTGCCTCAACTGCTGCCCCAGGCACCAGCCCCAGTCCCTACGCGGCAGCCAGCCCAGGTGACATGCCGGTGCTCTCCAGGCCCCGGCCCTGGCGGGGGAACACGCTGAAGCGCACGGCCGTGCTCCTGGCCCTCGCGGCCTATGGAGCCCACAAAGTCTACCCCTTGGTGCGCCAGTGCCTGGCCCCGGCCAGGGGTCTTCAGGCGCCCGCCGGGGAGCCCACGCAGGAGGCCTCCGGGGTCGCGGCGGCCAAAGCTGGCATGAACCGGGTATTCCTGCAGCGGCTCCTGTGGCTCCTGCGGCTGCTGTTCCCCCGGGTCCTGTGCCGGGAGACGGGGCTGCTGGCCCTGCACTCGGCCGCCTTGGTGAGCCGCACCTTCCTGTCGGTGTATGTGGCCCGCCTGGACGGAAGGCTGGCCCGCTGCATCGTCCGCAAGGACCCGCGGGCTTTTGGCTGGCAGCTGCTGCAGTGGCTCCTCATCGCCCTCCCTGCTACCTTCGTCAACAGTGCCATCCGTTACCTGGAGGGCCAACTGGCCCTGTCGTTCCGCAGCCGTCTGGTGGCCCACGCCTACCGCCTCTACTTCTCCCAGCAGACCTACTACCGGGTCAGCAACATGGACGGGCGGCTTCGCAACCCTGACCAGTCTCTGACGGAGGACGTGGTGGCCTTTGCGGCCTCTGTGGCCCACCTCTACTCCAACCTGACCAAGCCACTCCTGGACGTGGCTGTGACTTCCTACACCCTGCTTCGGGCGGCCCGCTCCCGTGGAGCCGGCACAGCCTGGCCCTCGGCCATCGCCGGCCTCGTGGTGTTCCTCACGGCCAACGTGCTGCGGGCCTTCTCGCCCAAGTTCGGGGAGCTGGTGGCAGAGGAGGCGCGGCGGAAGGGGGAGCTGCGCTACATGCACTCGCGTGTGGTGGCCAACTCGGAGGAGATCGCCTTCTATGGGGGCCATGAGGTGGGGCAGGTTGGGGTGCCGGGCACGGAGGGAAGCGTGTGGCAGGGAGGCCCGGGGGCAGGCAGCCGTGAGCGGTGGGGACAGTCTGGGGCGGGCCGGGGCTGATGCCAAAGGTGTGGGCAGGCCATGGGAGAGCCGGGCTGGGGTGGGCAGGGCCTTTGGGCAGCCGTGGACTCAGGCGCGGCAGTGGAGAGGCAGGAAGGCTGGGTGGGGACTGTCCTGTGCTGGTTGCCTGCACGCTCGAGGCCACTTCTGCTTCCTCTCCTCCTCAAGGAGGTTGTCCTGGCCTTAGAGCTGCGATCCTAGCGGTTTGAGCCTCGAGAGCTCCTGCCCGCCCCACTCCTGCAGCCAGCCAGGAGGAGACGCCTGCCATTCATGAGCGGGGACCGAGGGACGCAGCCTGCTGCCTAGCCCCTCCTGGGCCCTTGGGCCCTTTGAAGGCCGGCGTCCAGCAGAGCTGGCTGGCCAGGCAGGCCGGCATTATGGGCATGACTCAGCCCAAGCGGAGGTTAATGAGCAGCGCCCAGCACAGCAGTGGGACTTGGGGTCAAGGCCACCCCCGCCTGAGCCCACAGGCCTGCCTGGCTACCAACTGGCTCAGCTGCCTTCCCGGGCCCCCAGACCAGAGATGCCGGGCCCAGGCCGCCACTGCGGCGGGACACACTTCCTGCTCCTGGCGTGGCTGTCCTTCCAACCCTGTCTGTCTCCTGGCTCCCTGGTGGGCCGGGGCCGGCGGGCCAGACAGGCGCTGGGAAAGGTTACTCCAGGTCAATGCTCCCTTTATCTCGCCTCAGCCCCTCCCCTTCCTCGTGCCTGGGGTTGCAGCTGCCTTGGGCCCTGCTCTCTGCGACTCAGTTTCGGTTCCCCAGTGCTTCTTGGGAGGAGGGGCACAATGGCATCCATCCCCCGAAGGCCTGTGTGTGCTCCCTGGGTCAGGTGGCCTCTTGCCCTGGGACCTTGTCTCACTGGCTGTGCACCAGCAGAGAAGCAGGCTTGTCCCCGAATTCCACGGAGAGGGGCATCCCGGGTGTGGGCCAGACTGCAGATTCAGAGAAAAGGCCCCTGGACTTCAGCCACCACCCTGGCTTCCCTCTCCTCTTCTCCCGCATGCTGGGCTGCAGGGCCTTGGCAAGCAGCTGCAGCCTTGGGCGAGGCGCTTGGCACATTCCCCGCAGCTACATTGTCAGCCTTGGCTGGCACCCCTGCCAGCTCCCAGCACGAGTCTGGATTGCCAGGGTGCTTGCTTCAGGAATGGGAGATCGGGCTTGCAGGGAGCTCAGCTGTGCAGGCCGACCTGGGTGGCGGGGGCAGAAGAGAGATCACTGGTTCTTTGAAGGCCTTCGTCCGGGCTAGCTTCAGGAAGTAGAGAGATTACTGGTTCTTTGAAGGGCTAGCTTCAGGAAGTAGCACGTTGGCCAAGAGGGTTTGTTGGCCAGGGCAGGAGGGCCCGGTGTGCATTCACGGCCTGTCTGCATAGGCCTCGGCTGGAAAGCTGTGTGGGGTGAGAGGACCCTCGGGTAGCATGTGGCCCATGGCAGTCCCACTGGCTGATGTCCCCGTGGACACTGGCCTAGGCTCAGATCAGGGCAGAAGCAGCTGACTGGCTGGAGGGCACATAGCAGAGTATTCTGTCCTTTCTGGGATTGCCGCGAGGAGGCTTATTGAAACGCACATGCACACGATCTCTTGTTTGAGAACAAAGTAAAGCTCTCTTGATAAGTCTAAGCATCATTTACAAGAATGTGGTTCTTCTGGCAGCTCTGCCAGTGTGGTCCAAATTCCCACACTGGTTGCCACCATCAGGCTGTATGGGCTTGGGCAGGTCACTTTGCCTCCCTGGGCTTCAGTGTTCTGTGTACAGTGGGCACGTGAATACACATGCAGTGGGATGTGGGGAGAATCAAATGCAGAGACGTGAAAGCACTTGGCAAACAGTGGCAGGCTAGGCAGCTGTCATCAGACGGCTGTGGGGAGGCAAGGCTGGGGTGCGTGCCCCTGGACTGAGCCCAGAAATTCACAACCCCTTGGCTACCTTGCTGGGAGCACTTCCCAACACCTCCCATCTCCCCCGCCTGTCTGACTGCTGCTGCCACCTCTTCCCTGCGGCTGTCCCTTTCCCCACCTGCTGGTGTCCTGACATAGTGGTGGCCAGTGCAGGAAGGGGGACAGAAGGACAGGGGAGGCCTACCCACTGCTGAGGGAGCAAGGTCCAGGCTCAGCAGTGGGGACATCCACTGGGGCGAGTCCTGTAGGGCCCAGCTCAGGAGCGCATCCTCCTGGTTTCAGTGGGAAAATGCCATGCAAATTTCTCACCAAAAGGAAGTGTGGGAAAGTTGAGGGGAAAGAGGGCGTAAATAGGCCCAGACTGTTGAACCGAGTTTTTCAGAACCAAGAGACAGGGTTTCACTGTGCTGCCCAGGCTGGGGTGCAGTGGCGCCATCACTGCAGCTTCAAACTCCAGGGCTCCCGCGATCCTCCCACCTCAGCCTCCCGAGTAGCTGGGACTACAGGTGTGTGCCACCACACCTGGCTAATTTTTTTTTTTAATTATTTTTGGTAGAGACAGCATCTCGCCGTGTTGGCCAGGCTGGTCTCCAACTCCTGGGCTCAGGCAATCCTCCCACCTCAGCCTCTCAAAGTGCTGGGATTGCAGGTGTGAGCTACTGCACTCAGCCCAAGAGCACTGCCTTTTGCTGTCCTGCGCTGCTCTTTGCTTAGTTTAGGGGGGGAAATTAGAGCTGATGGATGATCTCTCCGAGCCAGGAGGAGGGGGCTGGCAGGGAGCCCAAAGAAATGGGCTCAGCAGAGGACAGAAACAAGGTGACTAGAGAGGGAGTGGAGAGGGGACGGGAGCCGCACTGTGACATCAGCCAGTCCCTTATACCCCCTTACACCTTGAGTTTGAGACCTGGCCCCACCCAATCGTAACCTCTGGCTCTCGGCCTTCTGATGGCCACCATGGCACAGCGTGTGTGAGTGGCACTGGGAGACCCTGACCATCGCCCCCACGGGAGCTGCCCCTGTGCATGGCCAGGAAGCCTCTCTGTGTCTGTCACCCCCCGCAGGTGGAGCTGGCCCTGCTACAGCGCTCCTACCAGGACCTGGCCTCGCAGATCAACCTCATCCTTCTGGAACGCCTGTGGTATGTTATGCTGGAGCAGTTCCTCATGAAGTATGTGTGGAGCGCCTCGGGCCTGCTCATGGTGGCTGTCCCCATCATCACTGCCACTGGCTACTCAGAGTCAGGTGAGACCCAGGGCTCCAAGAGGATCCAGGCCAGGGGCCTGTCCCCCATACCGCTGGGTGCTGAGCTCACGAGGGCCCAACTCAGCCAGCCCGCCGCCCACTTCTGCTGCCGGGGCCACCGAGGCCCTGCTGCCAGCCTTGATGCTTTCAGAGGTTGAGCTCGCCTTGCCCCTCCTTGTTGCCTTTTGCCCTGCGCGCACCTCACGCCCTTTGTTACCACTCAGACAAGCCCAGGACTGCAAGTCAGGAACACTACATGTCACTTCTCCAGGCACAGATACCCTCACCCACCTGTCCCTGTCCTCAACCCAACTGCGACTTAGAGGTGGGAGAATGTGCGGAGTACCTGGAGTGAGCCCCTTCATCACTCCAGCCTTGGTTTCCTCGCCCTGAAACAGCTCTTGCACCCTAAGGTGTTTTAGAGGAGTGGGAAGCCTGTTCTACCTGTTATTTTAGTGATAAGATTAAATGTTTAGGTTTCTGCATTCCTGTTGTTTTTGTTTGTTTGTTTTATTTTCTTTTTGGCTTTTGAAACAGGAGTCTGACTGTCGCCCAGGCTGGAGTGCAGTGGCGCGACCTTGGCTCACTGCAGCCTCAACTTCCCAGGCTCAAGTGGTCCTCCCACTTCAGTCTCCCCAGTCGCTGGGACTACAGGCACAAGCCGCCGTACCTGGCTAATTTTAATATTTTTGGTAGAGACAGGGTTTCGCCATGTTGCCCAGACTGGTCTCGAACTCCTGGTCAGGTGATCCTCCCGCCTCAGCCTCCCAAAGTGCTGGGATTACAGGTGTGAGCTGCCGCGCCCGGCCTGCATTCCTGTTTTGTTCCTCTGCCGGATTGCAACTTCTGCATTTGATTTTTAGTCCATTAGTGGTCACCCTTTAAAAGGTCAACACGCAGCCGGGCGCGGGGGCTCCCGCCTGGCATCCCAGCACTTTGGGAGGGTGAGGCGGGCAGATCACGAGGTCAGGAGGTCGAGACCATCCTGGCTAACAGGGTGAAACCCCATCTCTACTAAAAATACAAAAATTTAGCCGGGCGCGGTGGCGGGCGCCTATAGTCCCAGCTACTCGGGACGCTGAGGCAGAAGAATGGCGTGAACCCGGGAGGCGGAGCTGGCAGTGAGCCCAGATAGCGCCACTGCACTCCAGCCTGGGCGAAAGAACGAGACTTCGTCTCAAATAAAAATAAAAATAAAAAATAAAAGATCAACACGCATACTTGTTAGGTTAATCAATAGCTCCGCCTTCTCCTGGACCTTAGAACGCAGAAGCAGCCCCGTGGGGCATGGCATCATAGCCCAGCCAAGAGTTGGATTTGTACCTAGTTTTTCCTCTTTGCTATCGCCTTATCCACACGTGTTGAAACTCACTCGCATGTTTGCTGAGTTCTGTGCTCACCATTTCGTTCCTACATCTCAATTTCTCTTCTATGTTCTGTTATCTTCCTCCAGATAGACATGTTTTTAGTTTTTTGTTTGTTTGTTTTTTAACTCACAACTATGCTCAGGACAAACAGTCATCAGTGCTTCTAGTTGTGGTTGGTTTTTAAAAAAGGTTCTTTCAGCAAGGGTTTTGTCATGGGAAATTCTTGATTATTTTATTGTAATTCTTTGTGTTGTTTAGTTTTTTGTTTGTTTGTTTGTTTTTTGTAGAGGCAGGTTCTCGCTGTGTTGCCCAGGCTAGTGTGGAACTCCTGGGCTCAAGCGGTCCTCCCGCATTAGCCTCTCAAAGTGCTGGGATTACAGACGTGAGCCACCACACCCAGGCTGTTGTCATTCTTGATTATTTTTGTTGAAAATGTTTCTATTTCACCCTTATTCCCAAGCTAAAGTTGAGTTGCGCAATGGAGTCTAGGTGGACTGTTCTTTTCTCTCAGCCCTTTCACAATGTCTCATTGTCTCCCTGCTTCTTCTGTAGCTGCTGACAAATCTGTAGCTGCTAACAAATTGTCCTCCCTGAGTACCCTGTGTTTCTTTTTTTCTGGGTACTTTGATCACTTTCTTTCTTTTTGGCATTCTGCAGTTTCACTATGACATGTTTAGGTGTCAGTTTTTGTTGATTCTGCTTGAGACTTGTTATATGTCCTTTGAATATTTGAGTTTTTCAATCATTCTGGAAGATTCTCAGCTATTAGCTTTTCAGATATTGCCTGACTCTCATTCTTTTTTCCTGTTCTTCTAGAACTGGCAGCCAGTGCTGGACTTCTGACTCTCTTCGTTGTGTCTTTCGGTTTCTGTTTACTGTTTCCCATCTCACACTGTCTGTGCTGAATTCTGGGGATGCCCTGAGGCCTTCCTGTTTGCTCATTTTCCAGTTCACCAGTTTTCTCTTTGGCCATGTCTAATTGGAATTTTGTTCACATTTCAGTGGCTGTTTTGTAAGTTCTATTTCATTCTATTTCAAATAGGAATTTGAAAATGGACATTTCCTTTTTCAAGTAGAAATGTCAGGCTGTTTCTGTGTCTTATTTGCTCATCTTTTTGACTGCTCCTTTTATACTGTGTATCAGGTTAGTCATACTTACCCCACCGTCTCTATCTGATGGTTTGGTTAGCTTCAGTTCTTGGGAGTATCATTCGCCTGTCTTCTGTCTGCTGGTCTTCACTCATGGTGGATCATTTCCTTGTGGGTTTTGCAACAGAACTTCTATGGGGATTGGTGTGGCCTCAATGGAGGGTGTAAGTCCAAATGTCCTTCTGTTTTGGCCAAGCACTCCAGGGTAAGCAGTTGGAGGCCATTAGTTAGTGCGGAGGGGATGGTTCCTGAATTGAGAGGTGGTTTCATTTGAATTCATTTGAACTCCAGGCACATTGTTACAAATTTTCAGAGGAGGCTTTTTGTTCATTGGGCATAGAGCCCAGGCTAAGCAAGGAAAGCTTCCTGGTCTTTGCCCTGCCTGCCTCTGGGGCTATCAAAGGATCACCTGGCTGTCTGCTTCTCTTTGCTCCCAGAAGTTTCCCTTGCTTTCCGTCAAGCTTGGCTCTGCTCGAAATAGTGTCGTAGTTTACCCAGTTTGGTGGGAAGAGGGTTTTCGATTTATAAACAGAAGTCTGATTCTCTCCCTGTTCCTGTTTCCACCTCGGGGCTTCCATGCCCTCAACTGTCTGTGTCATCCTCTGGGTGACTCACCAAGAGGAAGGATCTAATTCGGGGACTGCACATCAAGGGCAGCCTTGATGCTGGCGTAGGTGCCCAGCCCAGTCAGCGCACCTAGCCCCGGGCACCGAGACAGCCCGCGAGACAGCACCTGCAGCCGCTTCGCTCCATGGCTGCCATTGGTCACATCGGGCTGCTCCCTGCCCTGAAGGCTTAGGACTTTTCTGAGCCTCTGCTGTGCCAGGCTTTGTGGGCTCCTGGCCCTGCTCTGGTGGTCCTCAGAGCCAGCAGCCTTTGAAGGCTGTGAAGCATTCCCTTTCCCCTGGCTTGATAGGCTCTGTCCTGTGGCCGTCTGTTTTTTTTTGGAGGGGGAGCTTTTGAGATGGAGTCTCACTCTGTCTCCCAGGCTGGAGTGCAGTGGCACGATCTTGGCTCACTGCAACCTCCATCTCCCGGGTTCAAGTGATTCTCCTGCCTCAGCCTCCCAAGTAGCTGGGACTACAGGTACACGCCACCATGCCTGGCTAATTTTTGTGTTTTTAGTAGAGATGGGGTTTCGCCATGTTGGTCAGGCTGGTCTTGAACTCCTGACCTCAAGTGATCCACCTGCCTCGGCCTCCCAAAGTGCTGGGATTATAGGTGTGAGCCACTGTGCCTGGTCCTGTGGCCTTCTTATTTCCCCAAATGCCAGGCCTGCTCTGTCTTGGGGCCTGTGCCAGGAGCACTCTTTCCTCTGCTGCCCCATGGCGCAGCCCCCCTAGGCAAGGCCCGGCCTGCCCACCGCCACCTTTCCTGTCTCCTTCCCTGCCCCACTGCTCTCCCAAGCACTCGACACCCCGTCAGTGGCGCTTTTCTCTCTCCCTGCCATGGACTGCAAGCTCCATGGGGTCAGGGATTTTTGTCTGTTTTGTCCCTGCTGTGTCCCCTGCATCGGGTGGCTAGTGAGGGCTCCAGGTGCTTCAAGGAGGTGGAGCGCACTGGGTGGGAAGGCAGGCTCTTACCGGTTGGAAGATTTAGATAAGCTTTGCTGGGCTGGTGTGCAAGGCAGGTGGGCTCAGGAGATGGGCAGGGCCTGTGGCTCCCACTCCAGCCCTGAGGCCTTGCTCTGTCCAGCTCTGGGGCCCTGGCCTTATTCACCCAAGGCTCCAAGAGAACCTGCAGAAGGCAGCTGGTTCTACGCCAGGATGCCCTGGGCACAAAGACTTGCAGACCCTTCCCTTTGTCCACAGCGACTGTCCAGCTCTCAGAACACCTGGGGAGGAGGGCTGTGTCCTTGAGAGCACCGTGGGAAGGAAGGTCCAAGGCCTTCGACCTTTAGGATTCACATCCCCGCCCCGCCAGCCCAATCTAGTTCCCTGGTTTCCCGGGCCAGGCCCCTTTCCACCCTGCATGGCCCTGAGCGGATACTGCGTTCCGTGTCTTCCCCCAGCCCCCAGCCAATGATCCCTGAGGCTTCCCCCTCAGGATCACACCCACC
This sequence comes from Homo sapiens, assembly GCF_000001405.40. Classification (NCBI taxonomy): domain Eukaryota; kingdom Metazoa; phylum Chordata; class Mammalia; order Primates; family Hominidae; genus Homo; species Homo sapiens. The sequence goes on from NC_000023.11 coordinate 153,733,988, forward strand.
CCTGGATACAGTCCTCGGGTCCTTCACAGGACATTCCCACCACTTCAGCCACACCCCAGCACCCTCAGAGGCGGCCTTCGCCCTTGCTCCCCACCTCTGCTCCTGTGGGGAATCTAAGGATCAAGAAACTGAGAGTCAAGGCCATTGATGAGGGTCAGGGGTGCTGCCACGGGGCCTAGAGTGTGACAGAAAAGCAAATTAAGACAGGAGCAGCTCCTGGGAGAAGCAGACACCAAACAATACGGCTGCTGGCCCAGAGGTCAAAAACCATGGCCTAGAGGGGGCGGTCAGGAAGTGGGACATTAGGCCGGGCGTGGTGGCCCATGCCTGCAATCCCAGCATCTTTGGAGGCCAAGGCAAGTGGATCACCTGAGTTCAGGAGTTTGAGACCAGCCTGGCCAACATGGTGAGACTTCGTCTCTACTAAAAATACAAAAAAAATTCGCTGGGCTTGGTGGCGGGTGCCTGTAATCCCAGCTACTCGGGAGGCTGAGGCACAAGAATCCCTTGAACCTGGGGAGGCAGAGGTTGCAGTGAGCCAAGATCACACCACTGCACTCCAGCCTGGGCAACAGAGCAAGACTCCATCTCAAAAAAAAGAAAAGAAAAAAAAAAGAAAGTTGGCGTTTCAAAGCCAAACAGCTCTGGGCGTTGGATGACAAAGTTCAGATGTGCCCCAGGAGGGGCGACATCAGTGGTGCAGGACAGAGGGCCGGTGGAAGGAGCTGGCTGTACGTAGAAACAAAACCAGATGCCTACTGGTGCATTTAAAAATCAACGTTATTGAGACGTAATTAACATACTATACAATTCTTCCTTTTCCATGTACAGTTTAAATTCATTCACAGAGTTGTGCAGCCATCATCACTAACTCCAGAATGTTTTATTTTTATTTTATCCCCCAAAGAAACCCCAGACCCATGAACAGTCACTCCTCATTCCCTCTCTCCAGCCCCTGGCACCCACTCATCTGCTTCCTGTCTCTGTGGATTTGCCTATCTGGACATGTCCTAGAAATGGAATCATGTGCTCTGTGGCATTTTGTGACTAGCTTCCTTCACTGAGCATCATGGTTTCAAGATTCGTCCATGTCATAAGATGAATCAGTCCTTCATTCCTTTTCATGGCTGAATAATATTCCATTGTGTGCATAGACCACAATTTCTTTATCCATTCATCCCTTGATGGACATTTTGGGTTTCTTCATGTTTTGGCTATTGTGAATAACACTGCTGTGAACATCCATGGACAAGTCTCTATGTGTGCAGATATTTTCGTTTCTCCTGGGTGTGTAGCTAGGAGTAGAATTGCCAGGTCACATGGTAACTGGACGTTTCACTTTTTGAGGAGCTGCGAGACTGTTCTCCACAGTGGCTGCCCCATTTTACCTTCCCGCCAGCAGTGTTGGAGGGTTCCACCTTTTCATCGTGGCTAGCACTGGTTATCATCTCCTTTGTATTCTAGCCACCTAGTGGGTGTGAGGCAGTATCTCTTGGTGGTTTTGATTTGCATTTCCCTGATGACTAATGACGCTGAGCCTCTTTTGATGTGTTGAGTGGCCATTTGTATGTCTTCTTTGGAGAAATGTCTGTTCACGTCCTTCGCCCATGTGTGATCGGGTTATCTCTGTCGCTGAGTTGTAAAAGCTCTTTGTATATTCTGGATACTGCACCCTCATCAGATGTGTGGTTCACCAGTCCAGAGTTTTCTCCCAGTCTGTAGGTTGTCTTTTTCACTGTCTCGATATTGTCCTTTGGTGCACAAAAGTGTTGAGTTGAATGAGGTTCAGTTGATCTGTTTTTCTCTTGTTGCTCATGCTTTTGGTGTCCTAGTGAAGGAACTATTGCCATATCCAAGGTCGTGAAGTTTTATCCCATTTTCTTCTGAGAGTTTCATACTTTGGGCCACACTACACATCAGCCTGTGATGTGCTCTGGGTTGGTTTGTCTGTATGGTGTGAGGGGTCCCTCTCCTGCACATAGAGAGAAAGAGAGAGAGAGCTGGTTGCCCCGGCACCATTTGCAGAAGAGCCTCGCCTTTCTCTCCAGCGGCTCATTTTTGACTTTCCGCTGTCTCTGCCCTGCCCCTCCCCGCCCCGCCACCCACCCCTCTGGGGCTTTGCAGATGCAGAGGCCGTGAAGAAGGCAGCCTTGGAAAAGAAGGAGGAGGAGCTGGTGAGCGAGCGCACAGAAGCCTTCACTATTGCCCGCAACCTCCTGACAGCGGCTGCAGATGCCATTGAGCGGATCATGTCGTCGTACAAGGAGGTACCCCTGGCCCAGCCCCACCCTTGCCATCCTTGCCATGCTTCTCTCCCTGCAACTGGCAGGGGCTGAGCCAGGGTCACCCTCCCTCAGGTGACGGAGCTGGCTGGCTACACAGCCCGGGTGCACGAGATGTTCCAGGTATTTGAAGATGTTCAGCGCTGTCACTTCAAGAGGCCCAGGGAGCTAGAGGACGCTCAGGCGGGGTCTGGGACCATAGGCCGGTCTGGTGTCCGTGTGGAGGGCCCCCTGAAGATCCGAGGTAAGGCTGTCCCCTCCCTATGAGTGACCCCGCCCCTGCTGCTGCTGCAGGTGCTGACCTGCTGCCCCAGCTCCTCCTATTCCCGCTCCCTCACTCAGGGACCTCCATGTGCTTCTGGCCCATCCCAGTCCACCCAGGACGGGAGGGCTGCCGGGCAGGGTCTTTGAGGACTTCGGCCTGGTCGAGCTGGGCCCCTGGAGGGTTTCCTGCAGAGAGGTGCTGGTCCGCCCGCCTTCCTTCCCAGACAGTAGCTGCCGGCCACCGTACTGACTCGCCCTTTGAGGGCCTCAGCCTGGATTATTCATTCAAAACAAGGGGGATGTGGTCCCCTCACCCATGCAGGACAGCAAGAGAAAGTTCCAGTCAGTGTGCCAGCTGCTGGCTGCCACGGGAGGCAGGTGCTGCAGAAGGGAGTGGCGGCCCAGGGCACTGTATTAGACACTGGGGGAAGAGTTCAGCTTGTTGGAAGACCTGGCTGTGTTCCCTAGGGACCCTGGACCACAGGCTGCTGGTCAGGAACCAGCTGGCATGCTGCCAGGGATGGGAATGAGGGCGTGCAGCCAGGGGCACGCAGACTCCCCAGAATGCAGAGGGGTCGCCACCACTCCCTCTCCACCCCAGCCCCGCTGTGCTGTCTCTGCAGGCCAGGTGGTGGATGTGGAACAGGGGATCATCTGCGAGAACATCCCCATCGTCACGCCCTCAGGAGAGGTGGTGGTGGCCAGCCTCAACATCAGGGTAGGTCCAGCGGGGAGGGCGCCAGCCACGCACATATGCAAGCCTCAGCCCTTGGCTTCCCGCCTGTCTGTGCTGGCAACAGCCATTGTCCCTAGATGTACGTGGCAGGTGGGCCAAGGTCAAGGTGAGAGACCAACGTGTCTCTGACTGTTCATCCTGGGGCAACAGAGGCAGGGCTCATAAAAGAGACTAGTGATACCAGGATTGACCAAGGTTCACCCCGGCGTTCCTGGCCCTATCATCTGATGCCAACTCCCCACACTCCTAAGAAAGCCAAGACCCGGGTGGGGGGGCTCTGGTTCAAACCTTGCCGCTCGACCTCCCTCGGAAGGCCACAGCAAGGAATCCACAGATCACCTGTGTCCCCAGCCAGGGGTTTGGACAGGGCTGGGGAGTAATGGAGTGAGGGGGAGACTGGGGTGGAGGGACAGGTAGAGAAGTGACAAGGAATCACTCATTCATTCACTCATTTAACCAATGTGCCCTGAACTCTGAGCCGGGCACCAGAAACCCGAGGTAAATCAGGAGACCTGCACTCAGGGAGTCTTCACTGTGGAGGGGCACTAAAGTGTTACAAAGGGTCTCCAGGTAGACAGCTGTTCAAGGGACAGTGGGGGTCACAAGAAGAGTGGTCAGAGTCCCTGGGGGTGGTGGGGGTGGGATGAAGCCTTGCCCAGGAGTTGCTGTGAGCGAGTGGGCAGGCAGCTGAGGGTAGAGGAGTGAGGGGCCGTGGGCCTGAGGGGCAGGTCACGCAGGAGGAAGCAGAGAGGAGGGGCATGCCAGGGAGGAGGGGGCCGGCACAGGTGGTTACCCCTCACCGCTCGCAGCGGCCCCTCCTAGGATGTCGGGGGAGCTGATCACCAGTGAGTCCAAGGAAGGTGGTTTCCAGGCTGGCCCCGGGCAGCACAAGCAGGCAGGGGCAGCGGGCAAGCTCATGGGGCCCCTGCGCGCAGGGCCACATATGCTCAGGGAGCCGGGTATGCGAGATGGGGCAAGGCCCAGGCCCCACCCTTCAGGAGGGGACAGTCAGGTGGCTTCATTAGCATCCTGTGGCTGCGGTCACAAAGCGTTACAAACTTTGAGTGGCTTTCCCAGCAGAGATGGCCTCTCTCCCGGCTCGGGGAATAGCAGTCCGAGAGGAAGGCGCAGGCAGGGCGGGCTTCTGCCAAGGACCGAGAAGGTGCCTCCGCTCGGGGCCTCTGTCCCAGCTTCTGCTCTGCTGCCCATCTGCGGGCTTCCCTGGCTTCTGCCACGGCAGGTCGGCCTCAGCCTCTGTCTCCACACGGCGCTCTCCCTCTGGGTGTGTCCGTGTCTCCGTCTCCCCTTTCTGTCAGGACACAGGTCACACTGCATTAGGGCCCACCCCTCTGCAGAATGACCTCATGCAGACCTAACTCATCACGTCCGCAATGACCCTGTTTCCAAATAAGCTCACACTCCGAGGTAGTGGGGATTAGGGTTCCCACATAGGAATTTCAGAGGACAGAGTTCCACCCATGACACTGCCTGAGGTAAGCTAAAGACCACGGCCTCAAGTCTTCCCAGGAGCCCCGTGTAGCATTGTTGTTGTTACCGTGAACTTCACTGACTCCAGGCCCCTGGCCTCCTCCCTGCACACAGCCCGCCTCCAGCCTGGCCGGCATTTTCCCAAAGTAGGCATTTCCTAGCTCCAGCGAGGACCATGGAGTCAGTGAATTGAGGAGCCTGAGGTCCATGATGCAGAGCCCAGGGGCCACTGTGGCATCTCTGGGCCACTCTGGCACCTGGGGAGGCAGTGGGGTCTGTACTGTCAGTCTAGAGACATAAAGAAAGTGCTTTTTGGGCCGGGCGTGGTCGCTCATGCCTGTCATCCCAGCACTTTGGGAGGCCGAGGTGGGCAGATCGCTTAAGCCCAGGAGTTCAAGACCAGCCTGGGCAACATGGCAAACCCCGTCTCTACAGAAATTTTTAAAAATACACAAATAAGCCAAGTGTGGTGGCGGTGCCTGTAGTTCTAGCCACTTGAAAAAAAAGGCTAAAGTGAGAGGGTCTCTTGAGCCCAGGAGGTTGAGCCTGCAGTGAGCCATGATCCCACCACTGCACTCCAGCCTGGGCAACAGAGCAAGGCCCCGTCTCAAAAAGAAAAGAAAGAAACTGCCTTTTGTCCCCAGTGACTCAGGAGGCCAAGGTGAGAGAGTCGCTTGAGGCCAAGAGTTTGAGACCAGCCTGAGTAACATAGCAAGACCCTGTCTCTAAAACAACATTTAAAAATTAGCCAGGCATGGTGGCGTGCATCTGTAGGCCCAGCTACTCAGGAGGCTGAGGTGGGAGGATCACTTGAGCCCAGGAGTTGGAGACTGCGGTGAGCTGTGATCATACCGCTGCACTCCAGCCTGGGCAACAGAGTGAGGTCTCGTCTCTTGAAAACAAAGTGCCTTTCAGGGCAGTTCCTTAAAGGGGGCTGACAGTTGACCCTGCACTTGGATTCCTGGTGAAGTGGGAGTCGGATGGGACTGAGGACGGCGCTGGCTGTGTTGGAACACACCTACTCATTCAGCTGTGGCAGAATAGGCCCTTCCTCTTGTGCTGGCACCATGTTCTCCAGGCGTGTCAGGGCCTGAGGACTGGGCCGGGGCTTGTCCATTCCTGTGTCCTGGGCCAGGCATTTAGCGAGAGCCAAATTTAGCTAGGGCTGTGGACGCTGGACCCCATCCCCCAGGCCCTGCTGTCCCTTATCAAGAGATCAAGAATGGCCTGCGTGCTGGCCTCGGGCATTGGGAGCCTCTCAAGGCTGGTCAGGAGGCCATAGGGTACGGGAAGGGGCCTGCGCTCTCTGGCGTCAGCGGCTGTTGCCCCTGCAGGTGGAGGAAGGCATGCATCTGCTCATCACAGGCCCCAATGGCTGCGGCAAGAGCTCCCTGTTCCGGATCCTGGGTGGGCTCTGGCCCACGTACGGTGGTGTGCTCTACAAGCCCCCACCCCAGCGCATGTTCTACATCCCGCAGAGGTAAGGAAGCCCGTGCGCCTCTCCTCCACCTCTTCCTGCCTGTGCGCTCACACATGGCTTCCTGCAGAGGCCCAGGAAGTGGTGAAGAGTCAGCACCTCAGGAGAGGACACTGAGGCACTGTCCCCAGAGCCAGAGACGGGCTGTGGTTCCTGCTCCCTCCAAACCCGCCCGATCCACTGCCCTGTTTTGGATCTGTGTGGGGTGTGTGCACGGGCGGCGATGTGAGCGTGTGGATGCGTGTGAGCGTGGCATGTGGACACTGCCTGGGAGGCGCAGAGTATCTTGGGGGAGGCAGAGCCGGCCCTTCCCTCCGTGGACACCCAGCTTTCCCACAGGCCCTACATGTCTGTGGGCTCCCTGCGTGACCAGGTGATCTACCCGGACTCAGTGGAGGACATGCAAAGGAAGGGCTACTCGGAGCAGGACCTGGAAGCCATCCTGGACGTCGTGCACCTGCACCACATCCTGCAGCGGGAGGGAGGTAGGAGGCCTGGGGCTGGCAGCCACCCTTTGTCCCACCCTGGCCTCTCCCTTGGCCTCCAGGGAGTGAAGATTACCTCAACATCCAGAGTCTAAAGTGCCAGGTGCCACGGGGCGGGGCAGAGGCTGCTACCAGGGAGGACCAACACCACACAGATGGCCCCAGGTGCTCTAGGGAAGGGGGCACCTAGCAGGGATGTGCACCTCACTGGGGGACCCAGGATACCCTCTCCCAGAGAAAAGAGGTCTGAGCTGAGCCCTGCAGAATGCTGAGTGGTTACCCCGTCCGGAAGCCAGGGGCAGCAGGGCGGAGTGCGTTCCGAAGGCTTGGTGGTGCGAGAGGCTGGCTCACAGAGGGCCCTCGGGACCAGGCGGGAGCCTAGGCTTTCCCTGAGCAGGATCAGACGCTCTTGGAAGGACCATGGGGTGGTGGGCAGGGGCAGCCTGGGAGGGGCAGGCACATGTGTGCAGTGATGGCTACTGTCAAGAGGTTTGTGCAGACGCTTGGAGGGGGCTGGGGCCAGCAGAGTCAGGTGGATTCAGAGATGAGTTCACTGAAAAGGAGGCCAGACTGAGCTGTTGTCTTGTCCTGGGCTTATCAAGGAATACTGCTTGTCCACAGTGTCTGTCGGGCCGGAAGAGCGGAGGAGGAGAGGGGGCTGCAGCTACAGGGACACAGTAGATGGAGTGTTCAGTTCTGTCTTTGAATTCTGAGCCTCTGGGTTCTGCTTCCAGCCTGCACTGCTGGGTGCGAGATGGCCCTGGGCAAGGACCTCGCCTTGCTGGGGCTCCCCTTCACGGTTCAAGGGCACGGGCACCAAGCCCTCCCTCGGTGGCAACATGAGAAGAAGTGGCTCCTGCAGGAAATGGCCGGGGTGTTGTCACCTGCCTGTGGAGGAAGCGGGGACACAGGTGGCAATGGCAGTGGAGCAGCCCCTGGCCCGGCCCTGCCTCTTGCTCCTGCTGCCCTCAGCCTGGGAGCACGTGGCCCCTCCCGCCTCTGTGGCAGCCTGAATGCCCAGGGCCTGTGGCCGGCCAGCATGAGCCATTAGGATGGAGTTGAGCTGCGAGGAACAGAACGGGCCTCCCCGCAATAGTGGCTAAGATCATCTGTGAGTTTATCCTACTGAGCTGTTAGGTCCCAAGAGAGCCAGGCCACGGTTGCCAGGGCTGGCCCTGCTCTGTGAAGGCCCCAGGGCTCGAGGATTTTCTACCAGGTCACTCTGCTGTGTTTGGCCTCCGTTCCCAAAGTCACCTCATGATCCAGGAGGGCTGCTGCAGCCCTCACATCATGTCCCAGGCTGTAGGATGGAGGAAGTAGAAGGGAAGGGGCAAAAGGTATGTGCCTTCTTTTAAGGAAGGTTCCAGAAGCCGCCATATTGAATACTTACAGTTATATCTCATTGGCCACAACTTAGTCTCATGCTCACACCTCATCACAAGGCCACCTGGGAAGCGTAATCTCTACTCTGGGTGGCCATATGCCCTGTTGCCACTTCTAGCCCTGGGCCGCTGGGGAAGGCAGCATGGGCGAGAAGACAGGAAGGGCCGCTTCTGCCGCAGCGCCCCGACCTAATGGAGCAGCCGGCTCACCTGCTCGTTCAAGCAGCCCACTCGAGCCTTGCCAAAGTGCTGACACGGGGCAGTGACAGGAGGCCCAACCCCTGTGGGTGACAAGCCCCCGGTCTGGGGAGAGCACTCAGGCCGCTCTGGAGCTCTGTGCCAAGGAACTGTATGGGTGCCCTGGGGCTGCCATAAACCGCAGGGATGGATTGTCTCCTAGATCCAGCAGTCCGAGATCCAGGTGCCAGCAGGGTGGGCTCCTTCCGGGTGCCATGACAGAAGGATGTGTTCCAGGCCTCTGTCCTCGGCTCGCAGATGGTCCACTTCTCCCTGTATATCTTCACCTCATGTTCCCCTGTGCATGTCTTCTGCCCACACACCCCCTTTTTATGAGGACACAGTCATATTGAATTAGGGTCCACTCTGATGACCTCATCTTAGTGTGATCACCTCTGCGAAGGCCCTGTCTCCAAATAAGGTCACACTGAAGTGTTGGGGCTTGGACTCCACCGTATCTCTTCTGGGGGAAGGCACGATTCCAGTCCCCACTCCTCCATGATTAATGCCTGTCAGACAGACAAGGACGCAGAGGCACAGGGGCCCTGTCGTCACAGCTAGCTCATTCCCGCAGCTCCCCCAGCTCCCCGGCTGGCCCCCGGGTCTGGGTGCTGGTGGAACTGAGCCAAGACCATTGCCCCCGCCTAGGTTGGGAGGCTATGTGTGACTGGAAGGACGTCCTGTCGGGTGGCGAGAAGCAGAGAATCGGCATGGCCCGCATGTTCTACCACAGGTGAGCACTCCGGGCCGGCAGGCTCCCTGGGGTCCCCTGGAAGGGGAAGTAGCAGCTGTGGGGAGGCCTGGGCTCAGTGGAGCCTGAGCCGGGCTGGGGTGTTGGGCCCTGGAGGGTGCACAGACTCTCCTCTCGGCCCGGACCCCCAGGCCCAAGTACGCCCTCCTGGATGAATGCACCAGCGCCGTGAGCATCGACGTGGAAGGCAAGATCTTCCAGGCGGCCAAGGACGCGGGCATTGCCCTGCTCTCCATCACCCACCGGCCCTCCCTGTGGTAGGTGCCCTGTCTCCCTGCCTGGGGTCGGTGGGAGTGGCTGCCTGAGGGGAGGAGGTGGCCTGGCGGGCCCGGCAGCAGCAGGCGGCTGTCATCAGCAGCCCCCGTGCCGTGCCCCTGACCCTGTCCCTCTCCTGGCCAGGAAATACCACACACACTTGCTACAGTTCGATGGGGAGGGCGGCTGGAAGTTCGAGAAGCTGGACTCAGCTGCCCGCCTGAGCCTGACGGAGGAGAAGCAGCGGCTGGAGCAGCAGCTGGCGGGCATTCCCAAGATGCAGCGGCGCCTCCAGGAGCTCTGCCAGATCCTGGGCGAGGCCGTGGCCCCAGCGCATGTGCCGGCACCTAGCCCGCAAGGCCCTGGTGGCCTCCAGGGTGCCTCCACCTGACACAACCGTCCCCGGCCCCTGCCCCGCCCCCAAGCTCGGATCACATGAAGGAGACAGCAGCACCCACCCATGCACGCACCCCGCCCCTGCATGCCTGGCCCCTCCTCCTAGAAAACCCTTCCCGCCCTCGGGAAAGTAGATGTGGAGGGTGGCGCCCTGCGTAACCCTCGCCCTGTCCCTCCCACTCCCTGGGGGCGCTGTTCCACAGTGACTGGGCCCTGTCCAGGGCAGTGAGTCCTCTACTTTGCTCCGTGGAGGAAGCTGGGGTACAAGGGGCCCAGTGCTGGCCACACAGCAGCGCAGCCGAGCCCCAGGAGCCCGTCAGGCCACAGCCCCTGGCACTGCAGGTGGCCTCCCTCCAGAGACTCGAGTCCCCATGATTCCCTCCTCGTCAGTCTCTCAAAGACCCCATGGTCCATCCCCTGAGGGTGGTCAGCCAAGGCTCCCGTTCCGTGGGATGCCATAAAAGCCGCCCAGTGGGACCCACAGTCACACAGAGCGCCTCACCTGCATCCTCTCCCCCACAAGAGCCCCAAAGATCCCACGGGAGAGGGGAGAGGGACGCACAGCACTGCCTGCCAAGCGAGAATGCAGGCCCCGCCCCCTCGGCCCCTCACCACCTCTTTCTACAGCCTAATTTATTGGATTCCCTATTCGTAGCCATCTCCGTGGCCAATGTGACTACCGTGCCAGCAGCGGGGGCGGCCCAGCCTCTGAGTCCCGTGGGGCCCCGGCTCCCACCGGTGCCAAACCCAGCCCCTGCGGCCGTCACCCCGCCAGCCTACACTGCCAGCCGCCACCGGGGCACACGGGCCTCTGCTTGCCAGCCAGGAGTGCGGACACCATGTTCCCAGCTCAGTGCCAAAGAGGGGTCACCAGGGGGAGCTGTCTGCGGAGCCAGCGCCTGCCCGAGAGAGACCCCACCGCCACCGTGTGCCTTTCCCGGGCCCTCAGCCCTCGGGCCGGGCACCACCCCCAGTCCCCCCAGTAAAAGCCTCCACTGGCAAATGCAGTCCTTCCTCCCTGCCTCAGAGCCTGGTGGTGTCTGCTGTGGGTCTCGAGGAGAGATGGAGGAGAGGGAGTGGGTTGCCTGTGGGGGAAAGAGTGAGTTTGGGAAAGGAGTGGGCCTGACCCCCAAGCCCCTCCGAGGGGGAAAGTCACCAGAAGACATGGTCCAGCATGCCCTCCGCCGAGCCTCACGCCAATGCTCTTAGGATTCCTGTGACGGTGGCGGGGCGGAACCTGCAACAACATTGCACAGAAATACTGGCTGAGCCCAAATAGGACTAGGGGAGGGGATCATGCTGGTCCCTGTGGGAGGAGCACGAAGGCAAGAGAAGGGATGTCTAAGCTGCCACACAGGGTGCTGCTGGCCCTTCTAGGGAGAGGCGGCCACTTGTGCAGGGGCCTGGGGGGAACTGGGAGCACAGCGCAGGGTGTTCGTGCTGCATGCAGGGGAAGGGAGGGCAGGGGAAGGGAGGGCTGCGGCCGGCGGGCCTTGGAGGCCACACTACAGAGACAGGACTTAGCCCAGAGGCCACCGAGGAGCTTTCAGCAACAGGGAAGCAGTGTCGAGTACTGCAGGCCACGTGGCTGCATGTGAGGGTGGCTGGTGGGAATAGGGTGCGGCAGCCCATCTGGCCTCAGAGGCACGAGAACTGAGAACAGCTGTGCGGCCATACCTTTATGCATGGATGGCCACAGCCTCCCAAAGGTGGGGCAGCCTGAGTGTTCATCAACAGACAAATGGACAAACAGCCTGTCCATAAGGCACAGTGCCATTCTGCCATAACACGACAGATAGACCTCAAAGAGTTCGTGCTGGGTGAAAGAAGCCAGACACAAATGTCCAGAATAGGCTCATCGGGACAGAAAGCAGACAAGTGGGTGTCAGGGGCTGGGGCAGGGGAAGGAAAATGTGGCGGGGGGAGTCCTTTTTAAAAAATTTTGTATTTATTTTTTATTTTTTAATGAGACAGACAGGGTCTCACCCTGTCACCCAGGCTGGAGTGCAGTGGCGCAGTCATAACTCACTGCAGCCTTGATCTCCCGGGCTCAAGCAATCCCGCCCCAGCCTCCTGAGTAGCTGGAACCACAGGCGTGTGCCACCATACCCTGCTAATTTTGTGATTTTTTTTTTTTGGAGACAGGATCTCACTATGTTGCCCAGGCTGGTCTCAAACTGCTGAACTCAAGCGATCGTCCTGCCTCAGCCTCCCACAGTGCTGGATTACAGGCATGAGCCACCACACCCAGCCTCGGGTTTCTTTTTATTTCGAAGAAAATGTTCTCGAACTATAGAGCATACTAAATGCCACTGAATTATGCACTTTAAAGGGATTGATTGTATATTTTGTGAATATCGCCTCAAAAACAGATGATTGATGGATAAATTGATACATAGATATATAGATATATAGACATGATTGATATAGATGATTGATTGATAGATGATGGATGATTCATAGGTGATAAGTGATAGATAAAATACATGATAGATACATGGATAGACAGATGAATAGAGAGAGATGATAGATGGTTTTAAAAGTTTTTTTAGAGACAAGATCTCACTATCTTGCCCAGTCTGGACTCGATCTGCTAGCATCAAGCAGCCCTCCTACCTCAGCCTCCTGAGTTACTGGGACTACAGGCACATGCTACTGTGCCTGGTGATAGATAAATGATTGAAAGATAGACATGATAGAGGCATAAATGATAGATAGATGGATAGACATGATAAAAGGAAGATACATGGGATAGATCAATGATTGATTATATAAGTAAATGATATAAATTGATAGATTATTGATTATAGATTAATAGGCGGATAGTTGATTGATAGATGATTGATCGATTGATTGATTGATTGATGGAGAGAGACAGAGAAGCAAGCACAGCCATTGCAGCCACCCAGACAAGACATGCTGAGGCCTGAAGTTCCAGAAGGTTCGAGCAGTTGGAAGAACTCAACAGGCATGGGGGCAGCTTCTTCAGGGAGTGGAGGGGGCAGCAAGGTACCACTGGGTTCTGGCTTGGAAGGTTAGGTGAGCGACAGCACCCTTGGTGGACAGAGGCAGCTCCAAAGGAGGGGCAGGCCTGGGGAGCAGGTGCAGCCCGAGGGGATGGTGTGTAGGCAGTTGGTTCAGAGCTTGGGGCTCCTCAGTGGGACGTGGGTCAGCAGGGAGGCCAGTGGTCATTGAAGTTTGGATGGAGACAGCCTGGCTGAGGGGAGGGGCATGCTTGGCATCTCATTTAGGGGACAAGAGGTAGACTGTTTACCTGCATTTTGAGATTAGGATTTATTCCTGATCCCAGGAGGTGGCCGATTCGGAGGGCTGAGAGTTGTTCCTCCATTTCTTTTGACGATTGTGTAAGTCGCCCATGCTTGATCATAAACCCCGTTTGTTTATTTCTGACACATAGCTGGAATGGCTCTAATTACTACAGATAGAAGGAGACACATCTGGCAAAGACCATCCAAAAGGAAGCTAGTGGAGAGAAGCTCATATTGCACAAATAGGCTCCAGGGCAAAATCATTATTAGGATTAAAAGTGGTTGCAGCATACTGATAAGTATTCATTCCAAAGCATTCACTGGCGGGGGAGGGGTGGGGGAAAAAGAATAAATACATAAATAAGTTAATTATTTTAAAAGAAGTATTAGCGGCCAGGCGCGGTGGCTCACGCCTGTAATCCCAGCATTTTGGGAGGCCAAGGCGGGCAGATCACCTGAGGTCAGGAGTTCGAGACCAGCCTGAACAACATGGTGAAACCCCATCTCTACTGCAGTACAAAATTAGCCAGGCATGGTGGCTCATGCCTGTAGTCCCAGCTACTTGGGAGGCTGAGACAGAACTGCTTGAACCCGGGACGCGAAGGTTGCAGTGTGCCAAGATCACGCCATTGCACTCCAGCCTGGGCGACAGGAAAACAAAAAACAAAAAAAAGAAGCATTAGCCATTCTGATCTTGTGTGCACCTGCATAATGATAGAGCCCCAAATGACTACAAAACAAAAAAGTGTCAAGAAAAGGAAAAATGAATAAATGAGCACATTCTCCACGCAGGAAATTATACCACTTCTCACTGGAACTGCTGGTTTAAGCAGACTCAATGAGTAAGAATATAGAAAAATTGGGCCAGGCATAGTGTCTCATGCTTGTAATCCCAACACTTTGGGAGGCGAAGGCAGGCGGATTACTTGAGGTCGGGAGTTTGAGACCAGCTTGGCCAACGTGCTGAAACTAAAATAAAAAATACAAAAATGAGCCAGATGTGGTGGCTCATGCCTGTAATCCCAGCTACTCGGGTGGCTAAGGCAGGAGAATCACTTGAACTTGAGGTTTCAGTGAGCTGAGATTGTGCCCCTGCACTCCAGCCTGGGCAACAGAGTGAGACTCTGTCAAAAAATAAAAATAAAATAAAAAAATATGGAAAAGTTGAACAAACTTGATTTAGTGGACACCCAAAAACTACAGACCACACATTGTTTTCAAGTTCACCTTGGACATTTACTAACACCATGTCCTAGGCTGCAAAGCAAGACTCAACAAATAGCAAAAGAACTTGCATCACACCAGCCATGTTCTTGATGCAACAGAATAAAGGCATAAATTGGCAACCAAACTAAAATTAAGGGCTCCCCTATGTTTGGAAATTTAAAGATACACTACTGGCCAGGCACGGTGGCTCACACCTATAATCCCAGAACTTCGGGAGGCCAAGGCAGGAGGATCCCTGGAGCCCAGGAGTTCAAGACCAGCCTGAGCAACATAGTGAGACCCCCCATCTCTATAAAACTAAATTAAATTATTTTTTAAATTAAAAAAATAAAAAATAATGCACTGGTCCGAGAAGAATTAGAATGAAAATCTAAAAGCATTTAGAACCGAACAATGAAAACTATGTACAAAAGCTTAAGCCATGTAGCCCAAGCAGTACTATGAGGAAATTAAAAAAGAAAAAAAAAGTGTGGCCAGGCGCGGTGGCTCACGCCTGTAATCCCAGCACCTCGGGAGGCCAAGGTGAGCGGATCACCTGAGGTCAGGAGTTAGAGACCATCCTGGCCAACATGACGAAACCCCATCTCTACTAAAAATACAAAAATTAGCTGGGCGTGGTGGCGGGCACCTGTAATCCCAGCCACCTGGGAGGCTGAGGCAGGAGAATTGCTTGAAACTGGAAGGCGGGGGTCGCATTGAGCCAAGATTGTACCGCTGCACTCCAGCCTGGGCGAGAAGAGCAAAACTCCATCTCAAAAAAAAAAAGTGTAAAAAATAAAAATAATATTATGAAGTACAGAGGGATCTCCCTGCAGGCACCACTGAGAGCTGAAACATCGGGGCACCTGGGGGCGAAAGACATGAGTGGGAACAACTTCAGCTAAAAGGAATGCAAAGGGATTGCAGATGTAAAAGGGAGAGTTCACAGCAGAGAGTGAGAGGAGCGCCTGCCAGGAACATCACAGAAGCTGGAAAACAAGTGGGGGAGTGATAACTGATTCAAGGGATCAGCGTGAACTTGGAAAAAAGTGGTGGGAGGCACCAAGGGCACGTGCCCACAGAGGAAAGGCCACATGAGGCCACCACCCAGATGAGAGGCCTTGGAAGAAACCAACCCTGCTGGCACCGTGATCCTGGGCTTCCAGCCTGCAGGGCTGTCAGACCATTACGGTGTTGGACCGACACTGTAAAGAAAGAAGCAGTGATAGCACACATGGTTGTCTCGCTCCAGTTCTAAAAGCGGGAAGGATGCTGGGCGCGGTGGTCTCCAGAAGGCCCCTCCATGTTTCTCTGTGGCACCCGCAGCACCTGGATGTCAGCACTGGGAGAAACCGCCTCCACATTCATCTGTAAAATCCGAGCATCAGTGAGCTCAACTCTCCCGCTTTCTCAGCTCTCTGTTTCCATTAGGTTTGGTTGATCTGGGCCAGGGCCAGCATCAGAGGCAAACCCAAAGCTGTTCTCTGTGGGCTGACCTCTTCTGCCTTCTCTTACGTGTCTGCCATGTCCACTAGCCTGTGAGCTTCAGGAGACAAAGGAGCATGTTTCTTCTTCCTGATACCCCCGAAACTTGCACAGTACATGCTATCAAATGCAGATTCAATGAGGGCTCTTTGCATTACAATTTTGAAAAAGAATCATGCACTATGATTTAGCGTCTCTTCCCATCAAAACCCAGGCCCATAGAGCAATTGCCTTTGCCTGTGATGCACACCTCCTACCTGTTCTCCCCCCAACCCGGCATCTCTGTCTTGCAGACCAAACACAAAACTCATTGCCATCCCTCTTCAACCTGGCTTCCTTTCTGACTTCCCTTCAGGTTCCCCAGGCAGAACCATGGGGATCATCTGACCCTCTGTCTCCCTCATCCTTCCCTAACCCACCAGCCCGTGTCCTACTGACTCAGTCCCCAAAGTCCCTCTCGCTCCCCACTGGATCCTCAGTGTCTGGTAGTACAGTGCCTGACGTGGGAGGTACACAGCGACCACTAGGTGAATACAAGAATGATGTGATTGAGGGTGTTTTCGGTCTCATATGCTGCCCATGCTCGGTGATGCAGTAAATCATCATCTGTTTGGAACGGTCTAAGTCTCCAGCCAGAAAGGAGGGAGAAGGCACCATGTGACCCTGCATCTCCCTTGCCAGTGCTCTGATTTGACGTTCTAGAAGAGTAGTCTTTATGCCGGGGCACATGCTCCCCTGAGGATTATGAAGCCTGTCCAGGAGGGGCTCAGCATGGATGGTCCCAAGGAGCCAATGTCCCGCCTCAGCTTGCACAGGGGCTCTAACCTAACCTGCCTTTCCCAGAAACCTGACCCCAGTTGACAAGAGCAGGATGTTGCACCATGATACGTCGTGGGGTCAAAGGCTACCAGGCACCAGGAAAAGAAGCCATTTGAAATACCGCCTCCTTTCACCAACCTGACATCTCCACCTCTGCATTTCAGGAAAAGAAATACATCCAAAAGAATTTTCCCTTCACATTTAATAATTACAAAAATTGTGTTATTTTCCTCAATTACATGCTAGGAAAACTTGTAGGAATTTTGCCATCTCGAATAAATGTTTTAACACTTAGGGGAAAAAAAGTAGTGGGAGGCAGCCAGTGGCAAAGTTGGGTTTGCACAAGAATCGGAGGCACCAGATAACTCAGAAACAATGTGTGTGTATGTGTTGGGGAGTGCAGAACAAGATGATTTATTGGAAGTCTCTATAAGAAGCTGCTGTCCTTGCACTGGCTATGCAGATTAAAAAAAAAGAAGAAGAAAACAAAGAAGATGCTAGATGCCCATATCTCTGCCCCACTTTGTACAGAAGACCAGAGATAGAACAGAAGGTCTGTGGAGATGCAAATTTAAGCCACAGTAAAATACCCTTTTTTTTTTTTGAGACGGAGTCTCACTCTATCACCCAGGCTAGAGTGCAATGGCACAATCTCAGCTCACTGCAACCTCTGCCCCCCAGGTTCAAGCAATTCTCCTGCTTCAGCTTCCCAAGTAGCTGGAATTACAGGTGCACGCCACCACACCTGGCTAATTTTTGTATTTTTAGTAGAGACAGGGTTTTATCACGTTGGTCAGGCTGGTCTCAAACTCCTGACCTCAGGTGACCCACCCACGTTGGCCTCCCAAAGTGCTGAGATTACAGGCATGAGCCCCCGCACCCGGCCCACAGTGAAGTATCTTTTTGCATCCACTGATTGGCAGAAATGTAAAGTCTGACAATACCAAGTGTTAGCAGTACTACAGAGCAGCAGGAACTCACACTTCCCCGGGGCAGGCAAACTGGGACAACCACTTTGGAAAACAGTGAGCATTATTCAGTATAGTTGAAGATGTGCACATTTAGAAGCTAACAATTTCACTCCTAGACACCAGATTGCATGTACAAAATCGCTCACAGCATCATTGTTTATAATGCTTAAAATAATGTTTAAATGTTTTTTAATAGGCAAAAGCCAGAAGCAACCCAAGTGTCCATTAGCAGAAGAACAGATAAAAGATCTATGTTAGAGTCATACAATGAAACAGTATACAGCAATAGAAATGTCCCAGAGTCAGACCATAGAAGTCTAAAAAAATAAATAAATGAATAAACTACGGTTATGTGCATCAACTTGGATGTCTGTCACAAATGTCATGTGGAGTGAAAACAGCAGGTTATAGAAAAATATATCCAGTATGATTCCACTTATAGGGAAGTTAAAAAAAAATAATGCTGCAGGATTTGAACAACACTCTAGACCAGGGGTCCCCAACCCCAGGCCACTGACCAGTACTAGTCTGTGGCCTGTTAGGAACCGGGCTGCAGAGCAGGAGGTGACTGGTGGGCAAGTGAGCATTCCCGCCTGAGCTCCATCTCCTGGCAGATCAGCAGCGGCATCAGATTCTCATAGGAGCACGAACCCTATCATGAACTGCGAATGTGTGGGATCGAGGTTGTGCCTGATGATCTGAGGTGGAACAGTTTCATCCTGAAACCATACCCCCCAACCCTCCATCCATGGAAAAATTATCTTCCACGAAACTGGTCCTTGGTGCCAAAAAGATTGGGGACCACTGCTCTAGAGCAAATGGACCTAGCAGACATACACAGAACATTCCATCCACCAGCAGCAGAATTCGCTTTCTTCTCAGCTGCACATGGGGTAGTCTCCAGGATAGACCATATGTCAGGCCACAAAACAAGTCTTAACAAATTCAAGAAGATCAAATCACATTAAGCATCTTTCCCAACCGCAAACAAGAGATCACTAAGAGAAAGCAAACTGGAAAACTCACAGATTTGTGGAAATACACAACACCCTCCTGAACAACCAATGGGTCAAAGAAGAAATCAAAAGGGAAACAAAAAAAAAAATCTCTTGAGACAAATGAACATGGAAACACAACATACAAAATGCAGTGTGCAGCAAAGCAATTCCGAGAGGGAAGTTTAGAGCCTTAAATGCCTCCATTAAGAAATAAGAAAGAGGCTGGGCATGGTGGCTCACGTCTATAATCCCAGCACATTGGGAGGCCAAGGTTGGTGGGTCACTTGAGGCCAGAAGTTCAAGACCAGCCTGAGCAACATGGCGAAAACCCGTCTCTACTAAAAATACAAAAATTAGTGGGCGTGGTGGCACATGCCTGTAGTCCCAGCTACTTGGGAGGCTGAGGCACGAGAGTCACTGGAAAAAAAAAAAAAAGAAAAAAGAAGTAAGAAAGATCTCAAATAAACAACCTAACTTTACACACCAAGGAACTAGAAAAGGAAGAACAAAATAAGCCCAAAGTCAGCAGAAAGAAGGAAAGAACAAAGATCAAAGCAGAAATACATGAAATAGAGACTAGAAAAATAACAGAAAAGATGAATGAAACTAAGAGTTGGGATTTTTTTAAGATAAAATCAACAAACCTCTAGCTAGACCAACTAAGAAGAGATAAGACTCAAATAAATCAATCAGAAATGAGACATTACAACTGATACCACAGAAATGCAAAGGATTGTAAGAAACTACTATGAATAGGCCGGGCACGGTGGCTCAAGCCTGTAATCCCAGCACTTTGGGAGGCCGAGGCGGGTGGATCATGAAGTCAGGAGATCAAGACCAGCCTGGCTAACACGGTGAAACCCCGTCCCCGCTAAAAATACAAAAAATTAGCCGGGCGTGGTGGCGGGCGCCTGTAGTCCCAGCTACTCGGGAGGCTGAGGCAGGAGAATGGCATGAACCCGGGAGGCAGAGCTTGCAGTGAGCTGAGATCGTGCCACTGCACTCCAGCCTGGGCAACAGAGTGAGACTCCGTCTCAAAAAAAAAAAAAAAAGAAAAAAAAAAAAGAAACTACTATGAATAATTATACTCCAACAAATTGGGTATCCTAGAAAAAATGGATACATTCCTAGGCACATCCAACCTACCAAGACTGACTTAAGAAGAAATAGAAAATCTGAACAGACCAATAATGAGTAAGGAGATTGGACAAGTAATAGAGTCTCTCATCAAAGAAAAGCTCAGGCCTGATGGCTTCATTGGTAAATTCTACCAAACAGTTAAATAACTAATACCTATCCTTCTCAAACTCTTCCAAAAAACTAAAGAGGAGGGAACGCTTCCAAACTCATTTAATAAGGTCAGAAAATTCCCTGATATCAAAGCTGGACAAGAACACTAAAAGAAAAAAAGCTACAGGCCAATATCCCTGATGAACACAGGTGCAAAAATCTTCAACAAAATACTAGCAAACCGAATTCAATAGCACATTAAAAGGCTCATTCACCATGAGCAAGTAGAATTTATCCCTGGGATACAAGGGTGATTGAATATATGCAAACCAATAAATGTGATGCACCACGTTAACAGAATGGAGAATAAAATCATTTCTCAATTGATGCAGAAAAAGCATTTGACAAAATTTAACATTCTTTCATGATGTAAAAAAAAAAAAATTAGCTCTTGGCCAGGTGCAGTGGCTCATGCCTGTAATCCCAGCACTTTGGGATGCCGAGGCAGGAGGATCTCTTGAGCCCAGGAGTTCAGACCAGCCTGGGCAACATAGCAAGACACCTCTACAAAAAAAAATTTTTTTAAATTAACCAATCATGGTGGTGTGTGCCTGTAGTCCCAGCTACTCTGGAGGCTTGAGCCCTGGAGTTCGAGGCTACTGTGAGCCAGGATCATACCACTGCACTCCAGTCTGGGTGACAGAGCAAGACCCTGTCTCAAACAAACAAACAAATACAAATTAGCCAGGTACATTGGTGCGTGCCTGTAGTTCCAGCACTTTGGGAGGCCAAGGCAGGAGGATCACTTGGGCCCAGGAGTTTAAGACCAGCCTGGGCAACATAGGCCCTGTCTCTACCAAAAAAACAAAATTAAAAAGAAACTCTCAACAAATTAGGTATAGAAGGAATATACCTCAACATCATAAAGGCCATATATGACAAGCCCACAGCTAACATCATACTGAATGGTGAAAAGCTGAAAGCTCTTCCTTTAAGATCAGGAGCAAGACAAGGATGCCCACTCTCACCACTTCTACTCAGCATAGTCCTGGAAGGCCTAGCCACAGCAATGAGAAAAGAAAAAAAAAAACATTTAAAAACCCAAATTAGGCCAGGCTCGGTGGCTCACACATATAATCCCAGCACTTTCGGAGGCCGAGGTAGGCAGATCACCTGAGGTCAGGAGTTCGAGACCAGCCTGGCTAACATGGTGAAACCCCATCTCTACTAAAAAGACAGTAATTAGCCAGGTGTGGTGGTGCATGCCTGTAATCCCAGCTACTTGGGAGGCTGAGGCAGGAGAATCACTTGAACTTGAGAGGCTGAGGTTGCAGTGAGCCGAGATCACACTACTGCACTCCAGCCTGGACAACAGAGTGACACTTCGTAAAAAAAAAAAAAAAAAAAAGAGAGAGAGAGAGATTAAATTGTCTCTGTTTGCAGATCACACAATCCTGTATGCAGAAAACCCTAAAGACTCCACCGAAAAATTGTTAGAATTCAGTCAAGGTACAGGATACAAAATCAGCATACAAAACAATAGCTTTTATTTTTTATTTTATTTTTTTTTTTTTGAGACAGAATCTTGCTCTATCACCCCACCTGGAGTACAGTGGCTCAATCACAGTTCACTGCAGCCTTGACCTCCTGGGCTTCTCCCACCTCAGCTTCCTGAGTAGCTGAGACTACAAATGTGCACCATCATGCCTGACTAATTAGTATTAATATTATTGCTATTATTGAGACAGGGTCTTGTTTAGTTGCCTGGGCTGGTCTTGAATTTCTGGGCTCAAGTGATCCTCCTGCCTTGGCCTCTCAAAGTGCTGGAATTACAGGTGTGAGCCATCATGCCTCACCTAGTAGCATTTCTATATGCTATATGCTAACAATGCACTTTCTTTTTTTTTTTTTTTTTTTTGAGACAGAGTCTCTGTTGCCCAGGCTGGAGTGCAGTGGCACTATCTCGGCTCACTGCAAGCTCCGCCTCCCGGGTTCACGCCATTCTCCTGTCTCAGCCTCTCCGAGTAGCTGGGACTACAGGCGCCCGCCACCATGCCCAGCTAATTTTTTGTATTTTTAGTAGAGACAGGGTTTCACCGTGGTCTCGATTCCTGACCTTGTGATCCGCCCACCTCGGCCTCCCAAAGTGCTGGGATTACAAGCGTGAGCCACTGCGCCCAGCCAATGCACTTTCTAAAAAAGAAATCATCAAAGAAGATTTATTTTGTTATCCAAAAAGGAAATCAAGCCAACAATCTCATTTATAATAGCTATAAAAAATAAAATACTTAGGAATAAGTTTAACCAAGGAGGTGAAAGACCTATACACCGAAAACTGTAAACCACAGATGAAAGAAACTGAAGAAAACACAAATAAATGGAAAGATACCCTGTGTTCATGGATTGGGATAGTTAATATTGTTAAAATGTCTATACTACCCAAAGTGATCTACACATTCAATGTAATCCCTATCAATATTCCCATGAGATTTTTCACAGAAATAGAGAAAGCAATTCTAAAATGTATGTTAAACCACAAAAGACCCCAAATAGCCAAAGCAATCTTGAACAAAAAGAACAAAACTGGAAGACTCATGCTATCTGATCTCAAAATATGTTACAAAGCTATAGTAACCAAAACAGCATGGTTCTGGCATAAAAACAGACACATACACCAACGTAACAGAATAGTGAACCCAGAAATAAATCTATGCATTTACAGTTGATTGATCTTCGACAAAGGTGCCAATAATACATGATAGACAAAAGACAGTCTTGTCAATAAATGGTGTTGGGAAAATTGGATATTCACTTGCAGTAGAATGAAATTAGACCCTTATCTCACACAATGCACAAAGATCAACTCAAAACGGACTGAAGATTCAAATGTGAGACCTGAAATTAGAAAACTACTAGAAGAAACTTACGTGAAAAGCTGCTTGGCACTGGTCTGGGCAATAAGTTTTTCAATATGACACCAAAAGCACAGGCAACAAAACAAAAACAGACAAATGAGTTTGCATCAAACTAAAAAGCTTCTGCACAGCAGAGGAAGCAATCAACAGAGTGAAGGAGACAGCCTATGGAATGGAAGAACATAGTTGTAAACCATCCATCTGATACAAGGTTAATACACAGAACACACAAGGAACTCATACAACTCAATAGCAAGCAAATGTATTTTCTAACCCAGTTAAAATAACCCAGTTACACCTACTATGTACTCCTAAAAATTAAAAATTGAAAATTGAAAAAATAAATAACCCAATTTAAATGGGCAAGGACCTGAACAGGCATTTCTCAAAAGAAGACATACAAACGGCCAATAGGTCTATTAAAAAAAAATGCTCAACATCAGCCGGGTGCAGTGCTCACGCCTGTAATCCTAGCACTTTGGGAAGCCGAGGTGAGTGGATCACCTGAGGTCAAGAGTTCAGGACCTGCCTGGCCAACATGGTGAAACCCTGTCTCTACTAAAAATACAAAACTTAGCCAGGTGTGGTGGCATACGCCTGTAATCCCAGCTACTCCAGAGGCTGAGGCAGGAGAATCACTTGAATCCGGGGGGCAGAGGTTGCAGTAAGCCAAGATCGCGCCACTTCACTCCAGCCTGGGCGAAAGAACAAAACTCCATCTTAAAAAAAGAAAAAAATGCTCGACATCACCAATCATCAGGGAAATGCAACTCAAAACCACAATGAGACACCACCTCACTCAAATTAGAATGATCGTTTTCAAAAAGACAAAAGAAAACAAACTTTGGCGAGGGTGTGGAGAAAAGGGAACATTTTGGAACAGTATGGAAAATGGTATGCATGGTGGTTCCTCAAAATATTTAAAGTGAGAATGACCATACAATCCAGCAATCCCATTTCTGGGTATGTATCTAAAGGAAATGAAATCGGTATGTCGAGGCAATATCCACACTCGCATGTCCATTGAAGCACTACTCACAATCGCCAAGATATGGAATCAAACGAAATGCCCACCAACAGATGAATGGATAAAGAAAATGTGGTACAGATACACAATGGATCACTACTCAGCCTTTAAAAAGAAGGCAATCCTGCCATTTGCAACATGGAGGAACCTGGAGGACATTACATTAAGTGAAGTAAGCCGGGCACAGAAAGGCAAATACTGCATGACGCTGCTCACGTGGAAAGTAAAAATGTCAGCCTCATGGAAACAGAGCAGAACAGTGGCCGCCAGGACTGGGGTAGGGGAAATGGGAAAATGCTGGTCAAAGGGTACCAAGTTTCAGTTATGCAGGATGGAGACGTTCCAGAGATCTGATGTACAGCATGGTGATTCTAGTTAACACATTTAAAAAAATAAAACCAAAAAATTTGTTGCAAAAGTAAATAATTTATTGTTTAAGGCTAATTCATATTTGGGACAAGTATAAAGAAAACCAAGGAAAGGCTAGGACTAACTGCGAAGGGAAAAAGAAGGGTCCATGATGGCTGTCAGTGGGGATGATTCATCTAAGCAGCATATGCTCTTCCGTGTGTATTAGATTGAACAAGATGAAACTGCAATTTTTGTAGGTTAACAATAAATGAACATTAAGCAACGTCATCTGGTTTTGACCCAAGACATTTATTAATAATAAATCAATGATAAAATAAAACCAAAACACTTTATGCTAATAAACTTGAAAACTTAAACAAAATGGGCATGTTCCAGCCAGGCGCGGTGGCTCACGCTTGTAATCCCAGCACTTTGGGAGACCGACGCAGGTGGATCACCTGAGGTCAGGAGTTCAAGACCAGCCTGGCCAACACAGTGAAACTCCGTCTCTGCTAAAAATACAAAAATCAGCTGGGCGTGGTAGCGGGCACCTGTAATCCCAGCTACTCGAGAGGCTGAGGCAGGAGGATTGCTTGAACCCAGGAGGCAAAGGTTGCAGTGAGCCAAGATCATGCCACTGCACTCCAGCCCGGGCGACAGAGCTAGATTCTGTCTAAAAAAAAAAAAAAAAAAGCATGTTCCTAGAAAAATATTGTTTATCAAAAATTGACTCAAAATAGAATGATTCATCCTAAATTCAGATAGAATCTCAAGGGGCTCCAAATAACCAAAACAATTCTGAAAAAGGAGAACAAAGTTCGAGGACTCACACTTCCTGATTTACAAAATAAAACATATTACAGTGTGGTCCTGGCATAAAGACAGAGACAGAATATAATCCAGAGCCCAGAAAGAAACTCTCAAGTATATGGTCAGATGATTTTTGACAAGGGTATCAAGGCTACAAATTGGGAAAAGGGCAGTCTTTTCAACAAATGGTATAGGGGAAACTTGATATCCACATGCAAAAGAATAAAGTTGGAGGCTGGGCATGGTGGCTCACACCTGTAATCCCAGTGCTTTGGGAAGCCAAGGTAGGAGGATTGATTGAGTCTGGGAATGGGAGACCAGCCTGGGCAAAGTAACAAGATCCCATCTCTACCAAAAACATTAAAAATTTGAGGCTGAAGCACAAAAATTGCTTGAACCCGGGAGGCAGAGGTTGCAGTGAGCTGAGATCACGCCACTGTACTCCAGCCTGGGTGACAAAGTGAGATCTGTCTCAAAAAAAAAAATTAAATTAAAAATTAGCTGGGCATGGTGGTGAATGCCTATAGTCCCAGCTACCCAGGAGGCTGAGGCAGGAGAATTGCTTGAGACCAGGAGTTTGAGGTTACAATGATTATGCCACTGCACCCCAGCCTGGGCAACAGAGCAAGACCTGTCTCAAAAAAAAAAAAAAAAAAGATGGCAAATTTTGTGTTATGTATTTTTTCCCACAATAAAAAAATTACTCAAGAAGAAACAGAAAACCTAAATGGTCCCATAATTATTACAGAAGTTGGATTCATTGTTTAAAATCTATAGGGGGACAGGCAGGAAGCTACAAAAACAAGGAAGGCCAGGCCAGATGCGGTGGCTCATGCCTGTAATCCCAGCACTTTGTGAGGCCGAGGCAGGCAGATCACCTGAGGTCAGGAGTTCAAGACCAGACTGGCCAACATGGCGAAACACCGTCTCTACTAAAAATACAAAACTTAGCTGGACGTGGTGGTGCATGCCTGCAGTCCCAGCTACTCGGGAGGCTGAGGCAGGAGAATCGCTTGCACCCAGGAGGCAGAGGTTGCAGTAAGCCAAGACTGTACCACTGCACTCCAGCCTGGGCAACAGAGTGAGACTCTGTCTCAAAACAACAACAAAACAAAACAAAACAAAACAAAAAAAACAAAGAAGAGAAAAGAAAAGAAACAAAACAAAAAACAGAAAATAAAAAACAAGGAAGGCCTAGATGGTTTTACAGATGATCTCCAGCAAACATGGAAGTAACTGATCATCTCCATCTTAGACTAACTGTTCCAGTGAACAGCTGAAAAAGGAAATACTGCCTCAACTCACTTTACGATGTCTTGATACCAAAACCAGACGAGGATAATAATACGAGGCTAAAAAAAAAAAAAAAAACCACCCAATCCAGAATTGTATATGAAAAAAATACATCACGCAAAGTTGAGTTTAGTCCAGAAAATACAAGAGTGGTTTAACATTTAAAAATGAATTAATGTAATTTGCCACATTAACAGATTAGAGGAGGAAAACCCTGTGATCATATTAATGCATTCAGAAAAAGCATTTTATAAAAATTCAACATATAGCACACTAGGAATGGGAGGGAGCTTTCTAAATCTGATAAACATATCTACCGAATGCTCCCTGCAAACATCATACTTAATAATGGAACACTGAGAATGCCTCCTATGCTTTTTTTTTTTTTTTTTTTTTTTTTTTGAGACAGAGTTTCGCTTTTGTTGCCCAGGCTGGAGTGCAATGGCTCGATCTTGGCTCACCGCAACCTCGGCCTCCTGGGTTCAAGCGAGTCTCCTGCCTCAGCCTCCCAAGTAGCTGGGATTACAAGCATGGGCCACCATGCTCGGCTAATTTTTTTGTATTTTTAGTAGAGACAGAGTTTCTCCATGTTGGTCAGGCTGGTCTCGAACTCCTGACCTCAGGTGATCCACCCACCTCGGCCTCCCAAAGTGCTGGGATTACAGGCGTGAGCCACCATGCCCAGCGCCTCCTATGCTTTCATTCAAAGGAAGTAAAAGCAAGAGAAAGCAAGTCCAGGGAAGTAAAGCAAGGAAACGAAATCAGCCGGGCACAGTGGCTCACGCCTGTAATCCTAGCACTTTGGGAGGCCAAGGCAGGTGGATCAGGAGTTCCAGATCAGCCTGGCCAACATGGTGAAACCCTGTGTCTGGTAAAGATACAAAAATTAGTCAGGCGTGGTGGTGGGTGCCTGTAGTCCCAGCTTCTTGGGAGGCTGAGGCAGGAGAACTGCTTGAACCAGGGAGGCGGAGGTTGCAGTGAGCCAAGATTGTGCCACTATACTCCAGCCTGGGTGACAGAGCCAGACTCTGCCTCAAAAAAAGAAATCAAAGCTAAAAAGACTGGAATAGAAGAAACAAAATGGTCATTACTTGCAGATGATAGGATTGTGTACGCAGAAAATCAAAAAGAATCCACAAAGAGAACCCAAACATAATTATTAGACTTAATATGAGAGTTTACAAGGTTACTTGATACATAGAAATCCATTGTTTTTCTATGTACCAGCAACACACAGTCTGAATGGGAATTCAAAAGAAGGTAGCCAGGC
This sequence comes from Homo sapiens, assembly GCF_000001405.40. Taxonomy (NCBI): domain Eukaryota; kingdom Metazoa; phylum Chordata; class Mammalia; order Primates; family Hominidae; genus Homo; species Homo sapiens. The sequence goes on from NC_000023.11 coordinate 153,761,385, forward strand.
GCAGTGGCTCACAGGCTCACGGGCCAGCACTTTGGGAAGCCAAGGCGGGAGGGCCGCTTGAGTCCAGGAGTTTGAGACCAGCCTGGGCAACATAGCGAGACCCTGTCTCTACAAAAAAATTACAAAATTAGCCAGGCACTGTGGCGCCTGCCTGTAGTCCCAGGTGTTTGGGAGGCTAAGGTGGGAGGATCACTTGAGCCCAGGAGGCTTCAGTGAGCCATGATTGCGCCAATGCACCCCAGCCTGCACGACAGAGCGAGACCCCGTCTCAAAAAAAGAAATCAGATTGATAAATGCTATGATATTAAAATTAAGACTTTCTGTTTATCACATGATACATCAGCAAACTGAGAAGACAAGTAACAGGTAGGCCGAAGACATACACCCCAGGGATTGGTGTGGAAAATACAGAACACCTGCAAAGTGTAAGCCAAGACATGCACGGGCATTTGACAGAAGAAATGAAAAGTGCTGCAATATGGCCGGTGGTCAAGGAATGCCGATTCAAAACCCAGCAGGGCACCATTTCACACCCACTGTATGCGCAGAAACTCTCAAGTCTGCTCTCTGGTGTACGTGAAGACGTGGTGCAGCAGTGGCAGTGGGGGTGTCCGCTGGGATGCCAGCATGGAGAGCTACGTCTTCAGCCCAGCAAACGTGAAGCCCACGTCCCACTGACCCAACGAGTCCCCTTCCAGCATTGAGAAGCCTGGCACACAGCAAGGAGACGACACCAGATCAGTTGACGCTGCCTTCCCATCCCTTGGTGAGGGGACCCGGCCATTGCAGGATAAATCCAGCACGACTCCCCTGACATAAGATGTTCCGGTTCCCCAAACCAGCCTAGATCCTTTCTGGTTACACCAGCTTCAGACCAGGGGCTGCCATAGCCACGCCTCTTATCTGCTCAGAAAGCGTAGAAGGTGCATATGCAGGCCATATACACACATATTTATGAAAATGGTGCTGCCTGTGGATGGATTTATTTTCTTTTTTCTTTCTTTCTTTTCTTTTTTTTTTAAAGACAGAGTCTTGCACTGTCACCCAGGCTAGAGTGCAATGGCACCATCACGGCTCACTGCAGGCACCAACTCCCAGGCTCAGGCGATCCTCCCACTTCAGCCTCCCAAGTAGCTGGGACTACAGGCTCGCACCACCATGCCTGGCTAATTTTTAAATTTTTTTATAGAGATGGGGGTCTCACTATGTTGCCCATGCTGGTCTAGAACTCCTGGGCCCAAGTGATCCTGCTGCCTTAGGCTCCCAAAGTGCTGGGATTACAGGCGGGAGCCACGACGCCCAGCCTGATTTATTTTCTTCTGTGGAAAGGAAGGAGAAACCCATTCCCCATGCCAGATTGCAGGCGTCTGTCTCATCCGGGGCCAGCAAGGACATGTGTGTGTGTGTTGGGGTAGGCATGGGGGGAAGGACAGGGAGAGGGAGAGAGGCCAGCTGGCTCCCCCAAGCCTCCCCTCCTGGAGCTTCTAAATCCCTCCCTGGCTCCTTCAAGGCTGCCTGGCCTTCCTGTTGGGGAGAGACCCCTCGCCGGCTGCTCACTCGCTTTTTGGTGGTCCTTCCCACGGGCCTGCCTGGTCTGCCTCCACATCCTCAGCGGCTGCAGGTGAGAAGCTGTGGATCTGGGGCCCAGTGGTCCAGAGCGTGGCCCGTGCCAGAATGCCCAGGTTCAAATCCCATCTCTGTGGAATGCACTCTGAAGAAACGACGTCAGGTCATGGCCCTGGGCAAGTTACCCACCTCTGTGCCCCATTTCTCTCCATGCAGGTTGGAAAGAATGACACAGCTGCTCAGGGAAGCACCCATACCCCGAGTCTGCTGGGCCTTTGAGCTCCAGGGCCAACACCTGGCCCTATACCCTGGCCGCCCCCAGGGCTCCAGCCACCTGAGCCAAGCTTCTCACCCCCAGGCCTCCCCAGCCCCATCACCATTTCCTCCTCCCTCATGGGCCCCTCAGTCTTACCGTCCTCCCACTTCCGCCAGCCCCTCTGTGGATGGCCCTGCCACAGGGGGAACAGTGCCCCAGCAGAAAAGCCCCAGGGTCGCCTGGATTCTCCTGCCTTCGCCTCCTGCCCTGGGTCCAACGCACAGTCTTCAGAATGCTGCCTCCCCAGAGCGCCTCTAGAACGCGCCCGCCTCTCTCCATGCCCATGACCACCACTGGACCAGGCCTCCCCACATTCTCTGCCCCAGTGCCACCAGCTTGCAGTTGCCCATGGCGAGACAAGTTCAAGTTCTCAAGCCTGGCCACAAAGACCCCACCTGATTTGCTGACCTCCGCCACACCCTGGGAGACGGCCCTTGACCAACCTTGTGTTCCAGTCGGTGGGAAACACTGGTTTTTCCTCAACGCCACGTGGGCATGTCACGTCCAGGCCTGGCCTGGGGTAGGCCTCAGCTCCATCTCCTGCCCAACGCCTGCCAAGGTTCATGGTTCAAGGTCATGTAGCCTGACGGTTAAGTGAAGGGGCCCTGTGATTGACTCAGCCTTGCCACATACTAGCTGTGTGACTTTATTCAAGTTTCCTAACCTCCTGTGCCTCAGTTTCCCAACCTGTGTTTGTTTCTGGATGGTGCCAGTGCCAAGCCCAAGCCTGGCATCCAGTAGGTGCTTCGTGCCAGGTTATGGAATGCCCACCCAATAGGAGGGCGCTGCCGTCTCTCACCTGCCAGGTGCCCACGGTCAGTACTCCATCATGCCCGCTGCGGCCAGCAGAGGGCAGCAACATCCTGCCCTGTGCCATTGGGCAAAGGGGCGGGCGGAGAGAGGCTGGGCTGCCTGGCCGGGCTTGTTGGGATGAGTCGGACTGGGCACGATTGCATTGTGGGGAGGGAGGCTGGGGCTCTGTGAGACGTGCTCCTGGCACCGCCAGCTGCTACTTGGCCCTCGCCGGTGGCCCACCAGGTAGGCAAGAGCTGGGGCAGGCTTGGGCTTGGGCTTGGGGTGCAGGGGCTACCAGCCTCAGGGCAAGGCATCAGGGTCTCAGGGCCAACTGGCTGGGGTCAGGCAAGAGCGCTCGGGTGTCGGCCCAGCCTGACGACGGCACTAGGTGTCTGGGAGCACGGTGTCCCCCAAGTGGTAGCCCTGGGGTTAGGAGGTGGGGAACCATGTTTCTTCCCCGAAATGGGAAAGCCAACGCCAGCCTCGGGCAGGGTACAGGGTAGAGAGGCTGCCCGCCTGGCTCCCCACCCCCACAGCCACCCAACTGGCCCAGCCAGGTGACAGCAGCCCACTGCCACCTTGCCCTGGAGCCTACTGCTGCCGTGCTGTGGGGGAGGCAGAGACCCCATCCCCAGTGCACCTGCTCCTGTGCCACTGGCCAGGGTGGCCTGTGAGGGTGACAGGGGGTCTAGCTGCTAGGTGCCCCTCCCTTCCCCATCCCCTGCATGGATGGCATCTAGGCCAGCAGGACGGTGCTTCAGAGGGTGGGGTGGACAGCCCCGGCCTGTGGACCCTCTGCCTCAGCCCATCTCAAGCAGCCTCCTCCCGTGGTCCTGCTCGCTGCCACCATGCTGTACCTGGCACCACTTCACCAGTCCCCAGGGGCAGGGCTGGGCTGGGGGTGTGGAGGAAGATCTTTTGGACAAAGGCAGGCATTGAGGGCCAGGACTGGCACTTCACCCAGGCCCCAAGGCTACCAGCCGGCATTTGCAGGGGCTCCAAGGTCCACCCCGTGCCCTTCACAGGGACCCGGGGAGCCAGGGAGGGGCATGCTTAGTGACACAGGGGTTGCAGGGCCAGAGGGGGAGGGCTGGCTGGAGGAAACCCCGGCCCTTTGTCCCCGGATCCCGGGGGTGGCTCCCTGAGGGTGGGAAGTGGCAAGGAGCCCCCTGTCCAGAACAGCCCAGTGGGGGTGACAGCACTAGCGAGTGGGGCCCTGGCCTGGCCTCTGGACAGAGGGAACATTGTTGTGGTGGAGGCAGGGCTGCCTTGGCCTGGCCACTATTGACAAAGCTGCCAGCTGTGAGGGAGCCCGGTCGCTAGGCCCTGGGCGCCACCCCCACCGCCGCCCCTCCTTCCCCAGGCCAGCTCGAATGGGGCTGAGCCTCGACTGTCTCCCTCCCACTCAGGACAATGCCCCCCCGCAGCCATCTCATGCCCATCGCCACTGCCCTGGGGCAGCTGAACTGAGCGTATGTGCCACGCCGCCCAGGAGACCCCTCTGCTGCACCACTTCATGGTAAGTGCCCAGGCCCGGTGTCCCCAGAAATGTTCCTGGGAGGGGCAGGGTAGGGCAGGATGGCTGTGGCCAGGCCCAGGACATACAGGCTGCAGCCTCCCTCATGGCAGACACTGCCCCAGATAGCCCGGGGTCCGCAGGAAGTGTCCGTGCTCTTCCTGCCTGTGTTCCTGAGATAAGCGGCTCCTGGGCCTTCCTCCAGGCGCTGCTCTGCCCTGAGTCGCAGCGGCCCCACTCCTGGTCGGCATGTGACCACACACCCAGGGCAGCATCTCTCTGTGGAGGGCAGGAGGGGCCAGAGAAGGGGCTGCTCCCACCTCTCACCCTCGGGGGCTCACCCCGGGGTCCCACCAGGCACACCCAGGAACCATCTCCAGTCTGGCACCCCTCCCTGCCCCTTCCCTGACCCCTCCCCCAGCCAGCTCTCCTGGTCTGCTCTTCTCCTGGGACACTCCTACACTGAGGCCCCCTGTGCCAGGCCCTGAGAGACCCAAACTGCTGGGGCCCATGGGGCAGGAGCAGGCCTCCCCGCACCCCTGAAGCCTGTGTTGTCTCTTGACACCCCTGGCTTCTCCCAGCACCCCCGCTGCCTTGCCCCAGTGCTTCCTCGCCCTGGAGCTGGGCGCCAGCATGGAGCTCACCCCTGCCTCTTCGCTGACTTGCTCCTTGCTCAGCCCGCGGCTGCCTGGCTCTTTCCCCCAGCTGCGGAGGGTTCCTCCTTGCAGCCGGCCCTGGCTGCCCAAGGCAGGTTTTCTCTCCCTGTCTGGTCCCTTGGGGCACACGGTGGCCTCACTCCTCTCACCTGACTTAGATCTCTCTTGTCTGGGTGGTGGGCGCAGGGGCGCGCTGTGACACAGCTTCCGCCAGCCTTCCAGCTCCCGCGGCCTCCCTCCCTCCCCTGCCCTCTCTCCATCCCTGCCCCCTCTGTGACTCACAGTCCCTCTGTTAGCGCTCTTGCGGCTTTCCAGGACCTGCCCCCCTTCAACAATCTACATGCATATAAAGTAGGAGATGAAAGAATTCTGTCCTTGTGTGCTTGTGCGTGCGTGCATGCACCCCTCCCTGCCTCTTGCTCCAGCTCTTGGACACTGTCTTTGTCCCTCCTTATGTCCCCCTCTCTCTGTGCCCCCTCTGTCTCCTTGTCTCCGCTCACTCTCTCTCATTCTCCATCTCTCTGCCTCCCTCCCTCCCTGGCCCTGAGCACCCTGGCCTCTGTCCACCCCACCTTCCACCTTCCTCTGGTCCTCTATCTGCCTTGCGCTCCCACTGCCCTGACCTGTGCCCTCTCACAGGCCCCCGTGATGGCTCGCTGGCCTCCCTTCGGCCTCTGCCTCCTCCTGCTGCTGCTGTCCCCACCGCCACTGCCCTTGACAGGGGCCCATCGCTTCTCCGCACCTAATACCACTCTCAACCACTTGGCACTGGCACCTGGCCGAGGCACACTCTATGTCGGCGCAGTGAACCGCCTCTTCCAGCTCAGCCCCGAGCTGCAGCTCGAGGCCGTGGCTGTCACTGGCCCTGTAATCGACAGCCCTGACTGCGTGCCCTTCCGTGACCCAGCCGAGTGCCCACAGGCCCAGCTCACTGACAATGCCAACCAGCTGCTGCTGGTGAGCAGCCGCGCCCAGGAGCTGGTGGCCTGCGGGCAGGTGCGGCAGGGCGTGTGTGAGACACGGCGCCTTGGGGATGTGGCCGAGGTGCTGTACCAGGCTGAGGACCCTGGTGACGGGCAGTTTGTGGCTGCCAATACCCCGGGAGTGGCAACGGTGGGGCTGGTGGTGCCCTTGCCCGGCCGGGACCTCCTGCTTGTGGCCAGAGGCCTGGCGGGCAAGCTGTCGGCAGGGGTGCCACCCCTGGCCATCCGCCAGCTGGCCGGGTCTCAGCCCTTCTCCAGCGAGGGCCTGGGCCGCCTGGTGGTGGGCGACTTCTCCGACTACAACAACAGCTACGTCGGGGCCTTTGCCGACGCCCGCTCCGCCTACTTCGTGTTCCGCCGCCGCGGGGCCCGGGCCCAGGCTGAGTACCGCTCCTACGTGGCCCGCGTCTGCCTGGGGGACACCAACCTGTACTCCTACGTGGAGGTCCCCCTCGCCTGCCAGGGCCAGGGCCTCATCCAGGCCGCCTTCCTTGCCCCGGGCACCTTGCTAGGGGTGTTTGCCGCGGGCCCAAGGGGCACCCAGGCGGCGCTCTGTGCCTTCCCCATGGTGGAGCTGGGTGCCAGCATGGAGCAGGCCCGGAGACTCTGCTACACGGCGGGCGGCCGGGGCCCCAGCGGCGCAGAGGAAGCCACCGTGGAGTACGGCGTCACGTCGCGCTGCGTCACCCTGCCCCTTGTGAGTGGCATGCCCTTCCATCCCCCCTCTCTGTGGATGGCTGGCATCTTTCAGCACTGGACAGGGGTGCCTGCCCATGGGAAGTGCCAGCCAACCTCTCAGCCAGGGGTCAGCTGAGTCTCCAGGTCTCCTGCCTGCTCTCCACCCATTTCTTTCCACCTTTCTCCCTCTGGATGCTATGAGCTTGCCAGGTGCCCTGGCCCTTCGGCCCTGATTGCTGGGCCTTGGGGTCATCCCAGGGTGCCTGGCTCTCCTCCCGCTGGCAGCCTGGGTACCCCCCCTGACTGCCTCTCTGCTCTCTTCCGGGGGCTGATTCTCCACTTCCTGCCACGTAGGATTCCCCCGAGTCGTACCCCTGTGGCGACGAGCACACCCCCAGCCCCATTGCTGGCCGCCAGCCCCTGGAGGTCCAGCCTCTGCTGAAGCTCGGGCAGCCGGTCAGCGCCGTGGCAGCTCTCCAGGCAGATGGGCACATGATAGCCTTCCTGGGGGACACCCAGGGCCAGCTGTACAAGGTGAGGGCCCGGCCTTGCTGTCCGGCTGGGTGTGCCCCTGGCCACGGAGGCTCAGGAAAGCCCCCAGCAACTTCCACCTCTTAGCCCGCATCCCACGGTTGGGTCAGGGGACTTTGCCACACAGTGACTGCTGGCTGAGCACTGCCCCCTGCAGCCCGGCCTTCACCAGCTGGTGGTGGCTCACGGTGAAGGTGGCTGGGGTGGCTGGGTGAGGTGGGCAGGGTGTGGTGCCTCCTGGTGACCTTCCTGTCTCCCCATAGCTGCCCTCCCACCTGGCAGAACTGTCCCTGGTACACGGGGCCTCACCCAGGGTGCCGCTGCTGCCCCGGTGTCATGGTTCCCTGGAGAGTGTCCTAGGCCTGAGGGTGCTGAGTGGGGGAAGTGATGTGTCCTCCCTCGATGGCCCGGCAGGAAGGGGAACTGGCTCTAAAAAGGAGCCCCCACTAGGAGGAGGGCGTGTCCCTGGAACAGGCAACCTTTGGCCATCTGGCCCAGCCTCGTCCTTGTCCCCCCACTCAGGTCTTTCTCCACGGCTCCCAGGGCCAGGTTTACCACTCCCAGCAAGTGGGGCCTCCAGGCTCAGCCATCAGCCCAGACCTGCTGCTGGACAGCAGTGGCAGTCACCTCTATGTCCTGACTGCCCACCAGGTGAGGGCCATCCTGGGGCTGAAGGGGCCAGCACACGCGGCCCAAGTCTCGTGCCCATTGCCTCTCTGCTCTGCTGCCCCTCCAGGTGGACCGGATACCTGTGGCAGCCTGCCCCCAGTTCCCTGACTGTGCCAGCTGCCTCCAGGCCCAGGACCCGCTGTGTGGCTGGTGTGTCCTCCAGGGCAGGTGAGCACGGGGCCTGTGCCTAGGCTAGGGCCAACGGGTGGTGTGTGCCACGAGGCTGCCCCTGGAAGTAGCCCTAGGCGTGCCGGGAGGCCAACCCTGCCTGTTGGAGAGACTCAGGGCCACCACGGAGGTCACCCATCCTGCCCCATCTCACTGAGCCGTCAATCTGGTTGGCACCCCCCTTTTCCGACACCACCCGGCCTGTGGACTCCTCATCCCAGCAGCCCCAGCCAGGGTCCAGAACCCCACACAGCTGTCCTCCAGCCGGTGCTCCACACGGCAGCCCCTGGAATCCTTTAAGGCAGCCCTGAGTCACTGTGCGTCCCTCAGCCCAGCCGCACCTGCCTCTCAGGGCTGGAGCCCACGCCTTGGCCATGAGGCCCTGCCTGCTTGGCCCCTTTCTCTCTGGACACAGTCCCCTTCACGCCTCCTGCTCATTGCACCCCACTGCACTCCAGCTGGGCCGGCCTCCCCAGGCCCCTGTTGCCGGTCATCCTTGGAGTCTAGGACCCCCACGGTGACCTGATGGACCCCTGCCTGGCAGGTGTACCCGGAAGGGCCAGTGCGGGCGGGCAGGCCAGCTGAACCAGTGGCTGTGGAGTTATGAGGAGGACAGCCACTGCCTGCACATCCAGAGCCTGCTGCCGGGCCACCACCCCCGCCAGGAGCAGGGCCAGGTAAGCCGCCCACCACCACTGGGCCCTCTGGGCAGCATGACCACTGCCTGGAGCATGAACCCCGCCTGCCTCCCGTCCTCCTTCCTCTCCCATGGCCTCTGCTGCCCCCTCTCTCTGGCTACATCTCCCGGTTTCTCCCCGCTGCATCCCAGGTCACTTTGTCTGTCCCCCGGCTGCCCATCCTGGATGCAGATGAATACTTCCATTGTGCGTTCGGGGACTATGACAGCTTGGCTCATGTGGAAGGGCCCCACGTGGCCTGTGTCACCCCTCCCCAAGACCAGGTGCCACTTAACCCTCCAGGCACAGGTGAGTGGCCCATGGGGTAGGGGGCTGGGATGGAGGCTGGAGGGGTAATGAGCCACCTGACCTGTCCTGCCCCCACTGTCCCCTCCCAGACCACGTCACTGTGCCCCTGGCCCTGATGTTCGAGGACGTGACTGTGGCTGCCACCAACTTCTCCTTTTATGACTGCAGTGCCGTCCAGGCCTTGGAGGCGGCTGCCCCGTGAGTCCCTGGGCCTGCCTCCTGGGGTAGGGGTGGCGACCCCAGAGGGCACTCAGTTGAGCAGCCACCCTGCCCCTCTAGGTGTCGCGCTTGCGTGGGCAGCATCTGGCGGTGTCACTGGTGCCCGCAGAGTAGCCACTGCGTGTACGGAGAGCACTGCCCAGAGGGCGAGAGGACCATCTACAGCGCCCAGGAGGTGGGTGGGCCCGAACTTCGGGCAGAGACAGGGCTGTCCCTTCTCCACCCTTCCCAGACCCGCCCAGCAGTAGGCCCTTTGAGTTCTGAAGGGCTGAGGGCTCTTGTTTTCCCAGGTGGACATCCAGGTGCGTGGCCCAGGGGCTTGCCCACAGGTCGAAGGCCTGGCAGGTCCCCACCTGGTGCCTGTGGGCTGGGAGAGCCATTTGGCCCTACGCGTGCGGAACCTTCAACATTTCCGAGTGAGCCATCAGGAGGGAAGGGGACAGGGCAGTGAGGTCTGCCAACAGCGTGTCCACACTCCTGACAGCGTCCTTCCCCAGGGCCTGCCTGCCTCCTTCCACTGCTGGCTGGAGCTGCCTGGAGAACTTCGGGGACTGCCGGCCACCCTGGAGGAGACAGCAGGGGATTCAGGCCTCATCCACTGCCAGGCCCACCAGGTGAGTGGCTGCCTTCCAAACCCTCTTGCCCCCAAGCTTCCGTAGACCCTCAGGGGTCTGCCATCTTTGTGGAGAGCCTGCTTGGGGCCCATAACCTCTGTCTGTGGGCCCCAGTCTTGGGGGAGAGGCAGGGAACAATCACATTCATTCTGGGGGGTGGCCCAGAGGAGACAAGAGTCAGAGGTGCCCTGAGTGGGCACCCAGCCTGACCCCACACTCTGCCCACAGTTTTATCCCTCCATGTCCCAGCGGGAGCTCCCAGTGCCCATCTACGTCACCCAGGGTGAAGCCCAGAGGCTGGACAACACCCATGCTCTTTATGGTGAGCCTGAGGGCAGCCAGGCAGGCGGGGCAGGGTGGGTGGCAGACAGGAGGCGCTCAGCACACTGCCTGACCCTCCCTAGTGATCCTGTACGACTGCGCCATGGGCCACCCGGACTGCAGCCACTGCCAAGCGGCCAACAGGAGCCTGGGCTGCCTGTGGTGTGCTGACGGCCAGCCTGCCTGTCGCTATGGGCCCTTGTGCCCGCCGGGGGCTGTGGAGCTGCTGTGTCCTGCGCCCAGCATTGATGCAGTGAGTCTCCTGCCGGGCCCCCACAGCCCAGTGGCCCACTTCTCCTGCCCCGCACTGTCCTGTCCTCCGTGATCAGACCAGCCCTGCCCCAGGCCCCCAAACCCCAGCAGCTCGGCCTGGCTGGGCTGGTTGGCTGGCCGGGCACCCAGCACTGCAGAGTGGAGCGTGGGTGCGGGGGACCCCATCTGCCATCATTTGCCTGCTGCAGGTCGAGCCCCTGACCGGTCCCCCTGAGGGAGGCTTGGCCCTCACCATCCTGGGCTCCAACCTGGGCCGGGCCTTCGCCGATGTGCAGTACGCCGTGAGCGTGGCCAGCCGGCCCTGCAACCCTGAGCCCTCTCTCTACCGCACGTCGGCCCGGTGAGGCACTTGGAGGGTGAAGATGGGTGGGGAGGCCCTCAGAGATGGCCACCCAGAGATAAGGAAGGCCTGTGGCCAAGAAACCTGGGGCACTCGGGTCAGGGGAGGGGTGGGCTGTCCCCTCCGTCCCTGAGCCCTGAGCAGCTCCCAGGCCTCGGCTTTCCAGGATTGTGTGTGTGACATCTCCTGCCCCCAATGGCACCACTGGGCCCGTCCGGGTGGCCATTAAGAGCCAGCCACCAGGCATCTCAAGCCAGCACTTCACCTACCAGGTCAGTGGCCTCCCAGGTGTGCCCTACGCAGGGGAGGGTAGGAGGGAGGGCCAGGAAGGACAGGCGCCTAGTAAGGATGTCAAGCTGGGTCTGCGGGGAGCAGGAAGCACCGCTGCATGTCTAGGAGGGAAGCCATGGCATGTGAGTGGAGGTGGGCAGCCAGGCCAGTCTGAGGCACGAAGCTCTCAGGATCTGTTGCCCTGGGCACTTGGTGGCACCGTTTCCTGGGTGGGAAGCCTGGGACAGGAGCAGTGAGGGCAGGGGTGGGTTCTGCCCAAAGAGGCAACTGGATTTGAGAGTTTAGAGCTCCAGGTCTGGGGGCTGTAAGCTGTGGTGGGGAGGAGGCTGTCCCAAGGGGGACAGAGTGGCAGTGAGGATGAAAGAGCCCCACTTCTACTCCCCATGCGGCAGGGGTGGGTGGGAGGAAGCTGGCCAGTGTGCAGTGGCCTCGGGAAGGAGGGCGTGGTCCACTTTGGCCCCAGGAGGTGAAGTCCAGAGATGACCTGCGCTTCAGAACCGGAGGGCCTTGGGCATGGCCCAGGGGGGTGAAAGGGCCAGGCTGGGCTGCCGTGCCTACCCAGCCTGCGCTGTTCGCCAGGACCCTGTCCTGCTGAGCCTGAGTCCTCGCTGGGGCCCCCAGGCAGGGGGCACCCAGCTCACCATCCGAGGTCAGCACCTCCAGACAGGTGGCAACACCAGTGCCTTCGTGGGTGGCCAACCCTGTCCCATGTGAGTCCCGGCCTGGCTGCCGTCGGGTGGTGGGCACTCCCATAGGCCTCAGTGGGGGTGGTACATTTAGAGAAGTGGTTGCTGTGGCCACCCCCAGTGGTCCCTGCCCTTGTCAAGGCAGGCAAAGCAGGGCTTCTCCTACGGGGGTTGGGCCAGGGCTGGGGTAGAGGGGTGGTAGAGCCGAGATGAGAGACCCCACTACCCATCCTGCAGCCTGGAGCCAGTGTGTCCGGAGGCCATCGTGTGCCGTACCAGGCCCCAGGCTGCCCCAGGAGAAGCAGCGGTCCTTGTGGTCTTTGGCCATGCCCAGCGCACACTGCTCGCCAGCCCCTTCCGCTACACCGCCAACCCCCAGCTTGTAGCGGCGGAGCCCAGTGCCAGCTTCCGGGGGTGAGGGTCAGCCCGCAGGCCAGCCTGTGCACCACGCAGGAGGGAAGGTGGGATGCGGGCTGGGCTATGTTGCCCACCGCCCGCCCACACCCGACTGCCATCCTGGTACAGGGGTGGGCGACTGATCCGTGTCAGGGGCACCGGCCTAGACGTGGTGCAGCGGCCCCTACTGTCTGTGTGGCTGGAGGCTGACGCAGAGGTGCAGGCTTCCAGGGCCCAGCCCCAGGACCCACAGCCAAGGAGGAGCTGTGGAGCCCCTGCTGCGGACCCCCAGGCTTGTATCCAGCTCGGTGGGGGGCTGCTGCAGGTGAGCCCCTCACCAGCAGGCGACAAGGCTGTCCCCGACCATGCCCATGCCCAGTGGGGAGGAGGAGGGTAGGCCGCCATGCCCCTAGCAGCGCACAGCAGAGCCCAGCTCACTCCACCTGTGGTCGGCCCTGAATGCCCCACAGTGCTCCACCGTCTGCTCCGTCAACTCGTCCAGCCTCCTCCTGTGCCGGAGCCCTGCTGTACCAGACAGAGCCCACCCGCAGCGGGTCTTCTTCACCCTAGACAACGTGCAAGTGGACTTCGCCAGTGCCAGTGGGGGCCAGGGCTTCCTGTACCAGCCCAACCCCCGCCTGGCACCCCTCAGCCGCGAGGGGCCTGCCCGCCCCTACCGCCTCAAGCCAGGCCATGTCCTGGATGTGGAGGTGAGGGCCACCTTCAACCCTGCCCCGCCACGGTGCTCAGGCCGCCTCTGTGGGGGCCAGCGGCTTAGGCTCCCATGTGTGTCCCAGGGCGAGGGCCTCAACCTGGGCATCAGCAAGGAGGAGGTGCGCGTGCACATCGGCCGCGGCGAGTGCCTGGTGAAGACGCTCACGCGCACCCACCTGTACTGCGAGCCGCCTGCGCACGCCCCGCAGCCTGCCAATGGCTCCGGCCTGCCACAGTTCGTGGTGAGTCCGTGCCCTGGGTGGGCAGGTGGACCGGGTGCCGCCAGCATGCACTCAGGAACCCTGCCCGCCCCCCAGGTGCAGATGGGCAATGTGCAGCTGGCCCTGGGCCCTGTGCAGTACGAGGCTGAACCCCCGCTGTCTGCCTTTCCCGTGGAGGCCCAGGCAGGCGTGGGCATGGGTGCTGCAGTGCTGATTGCCGCCGTGCTCCTCCTCACCCTCATGTACAGGTGAGACCCGCCCACCCCCAGCACACTTCCCTCCTCGCCATTGGCAAGGGCGCCCTGGCAGGCGGCTGGCCTGGCCCCGGCCCTGGCTGATGCTGGCCCCGGCCCTGGCTGATGAAGCTGGCCCCGGGCTGCAGGCACAAGAGCAAGCAGGCCCTGCGGGACTACCAGAAGGTGCTAGTGCAGCTGGAGAGCCTGGAGACCGGCGTGGGAGACCAGTGCCGCAAGGAGTTCACAGGTGGGTGCGGAGGCGGGGGGACAGGGTACCCACGAGGCCTGAACTCACACCTCGGCGCCTCCTGGCCCCGCAGACCTCATGACGGAGATGACCGACCTCAGCAGCGACCTGGAGGGCAGCGGGATCCCCTTCCTGGACTACCGCACCTACGCCGAGCGCGCCTTCTTCCCTGGCCATGGCGGTTGCCCGCTGCAGCCCAAGCCTGAGGGGCCAGGGGAGGACGGCCACTGTGCCACTGTGCGCCAGGGCCTCACGCAGCTCTCCAACCTGCTCAACAGCAAGCTCTTCCTCCTCACGGTGAGGGCCGTGTGGCGGGAGTGCCCAGTGGGCAAGGAGGTGGGGCTGGGGAACTACTGGCCTGAGACAAAGGTGGGGGAGGAGTGGGGCTTCCCAGGATGAGCCTCCGACCCCTGCTCAGCTCATCCACACCCTGGAGGAGCAGCCCAGCTTTTCCCAGAGGGATCGCTGCCATGTGGCTTCGCTGCTGTCGCTAGCGCTACACGGCAAGCTGGAGTACCTGACGGACATCATGAGGACCCTGCTGGGTGACCTGGCGGCCCATTACGTGCACAGGAACCCCAAGCTCATGCTACGCAGGTTGGCCTTGACCTGGACCCGGTGGCGGGGGTGAGGGCTTGCCACAGACCTGCCCCCATCGCACCCTGGGCGGGCTCTGTCCAGGGGCGGGTGGGGCCAGGAAGCCCCAGCAGGTGGGGGGAAGGAAAGTGAGATGTCCTCAGCAGGGACACAGGCACAAAGGCCTGACCCTGTGGCCGGCTCCCCGCAGGACAGAGACCATGGTGGAGAAACTGCTCACCAACTGGCTGTCCATCTGCCTGTACGCCTTCCTGAGGGTGAGGGGCACTGTCCCGCCTGCTCCCAGCCCTGAGTGGCAGACTCCTCCCCTCTTGCCATGAGGGGGCTACTGCCTGCGCCCTACGTGACGAAGGCCCGGCAAGGGGGGCTTTGGAAAGGGAAGGACTTTGAACCCTCTCCGGGGCTGGAGACGAGGCAGAGGCGAGAAGGGCTATCATCAATCCTCCCTCGCTTGGCTGATGCCGGCTCATCTTGGCAGTGCAGGAGGTGGCTGGTGAACCACTGTACATGCTCTTCCGGGCCATCCAGTACCAGGTGGACAAAGGCCCCGTGGACGCCGTGACAGGCAAGGCCAAACGGACCCTGAATGATAGCCGCTTGCTGCGGGAGGACGTGGAGTTCCAGCCCCTGACGCTGATGGTGCTGGTGGGGCCCGGGGCTGGCGGGGCCGCAGGCAGCAGCGAGATGCAGCGCGTGCCAGCCCGGGTGCTCGACACGGACACCATCACCCAGGTCAAGGAGAAGGTGTTGGACCAAGTCTACAAGGGCACCCCCTTCTCCCAGAGGCCCTCAGTGCATGCCCTAGACCTTGGTGAGAGAGCCAGCCCTGCCCACCCACCCCAGGGACCCTTCCCTACCCCTCCGGCACCTGGAGCCCCTCAACTGTGTCTTACTATGAGTGTGGGGCGTGGAGAGCAGGCTGTAGACTATCTGCTTCCCTGACTCCCTCCAGAGTGGCGCTCAGGCCTGGCTGGTCACCTGACCCTATCGGACGAAGACTTGACCTCCGTGACCCAAAACCACTGGAAGAGACTCAACACCTTGCAACACTACAAGGTGTGAGCAGGGACGGGGCGAGGCAGGGCGGGGCTGGGGCGGGGCAGGGCGAGGCAGGGCAGGGCGGGGCTGGGGCGGGGCGAGGCAGGGCGGGGCTGGGGCGGGGCGAGGCAGGGCGGGGCTGGGGCGAGGCGGGGCAGGGCGGGGCTGGGGTGGGGAGGGGCGAGGCAGAGCAGGGCAGGGCTGGGGCGGGGCGAGGCACGGCAGGGCGAGGATGGGGCGGGGCGAGGCAGGGCGGGGCTGGGGCGGGGATGGGGGGCGGGGCGGGGCGAGGCAAGGCAGGGAAGGGCAGGGATGGGGTGGGGCAGGGTGAGGCGAGGCAGGGCAGGGCGGGTCTGGGGCGGGGAAGGGCGAGGCAGGGCAGGATGTGGGCGGTGTAGGCGCCTGGCTAGGGGTCAGCACAGCCTCCGCTCCCCATCTCTGCCAGGTCCCAGATGGAGCAACAGTGGGGCTCGTCCCTCAGCTGCACCGTGGCAGCACCATCTCCCAGAGCCTGGCCCAGAGGTGCCCCTTGGGAGAGAGTGAGTCCCTCGGCCCTGACCTGGGGCCACTGGAGTCCAGGCTGGGCAGGCAGAACTCCTGGCCATGCATCTGCCTCAACTTCATCCCCCACCCCACCGAGATCTTCTGCCCATCTCCTTCCTTTCTTCCAGTCCCCACACTGCCCCACCTTGTCGGGGGAGTGGACTGGGCATCCCAGGCCAGGGGCAGGGGGTATAGCCCTGAAGCCAGGCTCCTGTGCCCTCAGACATACCCACGCTGGAGGATGGCGAGGAGGGGGGGGTGTGCCTCTGGCACCTGGTGAAAGCCACCGAGGAGCCAGAAGGGGCCAAGGTGCGGTGCAGCAGCCTGCGGGAGCGCGAGCCAGCAAGGGCCAAGGCCATTCCGGAAATCTACCTCACCCGTCTGCTGTCCATGAAGGTTGGTGCGGCCTGGGTGGCTGGGCCTGAGAGGAGGCTCAGCCAGGGACCCCGACCGAGCCAGGGTGTGGGAGGGGCAGGGGCAGCCTCAGCCGTGGATGGCCCCCACACCCTGCCCTCCACACAGCCCTTATCCCCTGCCTCGCAGGGCACGCTGCAGAAGTTTGTGGACGACACCTTCCAGGCCATTCTCAGCGTGAACCGGCCCATCCCCATCGCCGTCAAGTACCTGTTTGACCTTCTGGATGAGCTAGCAGAGAAGCACGGCATCGAGGACCCAGGGACCCTGCACATCTGGAAGACCAACAGGTGCCTTTCCTGCTGCCCCACCCCTGCTGTGCATATGGTCCACTGAGTCCCAGAGAGACCAGGACATTCCCAGGGTGGATGCGCCCACCTGGGGTTTCTGGAACTTACAGGAAGATCTAGGGCCCAGGTCACCTAGGCCACCAGGCCAGCTTCCAGCGGCCCCTGGCTCCGAGTGTGTTGCCAGTAGGCTGGAGTACATGGGGCGGAGATCACGATGGCAGGCCAGG
This sequence comes from Homo sapiens, assembly GCF_000001405.40. NCBI lineage: Eukaryota > Metazoa > Chordata > Mammalia > Primates > Hominidae > Homo > Homo sapiens. The sequence continues at coordinate 153,777,916 of NC_000023.11, forward strand.
GCCTCACGCCCACGCCTGCCCTGCGCCCCCAGTCTGCTGCTGCGGTTCTGGGTGAATGCCTTGAAGAACCCACAGCTCATCTTTGATGTACGGGTGTCGGACAATGTGGACGCCATCCTTGCTGTCATCGCCCAGACCTTCATTGACTCCTGTACCACCTCGGAGCATAAAGTGGGCCGGGTGAGAGCAGTGCCAGCAGCAGCAGCTGGCAGGGGCTTGAGGAGGAAAGGCTTATGGGGGAAGCCTAGAGGGCTGTGCACAGAGCTCTGGGTGGGCAGTGGCAGCATCATGGGGGCACCTTCACCTCCGAGCTCATGCCTAGCGCCTCCCCTCCCTCCGGAGCAGGATTCCCCAGTGAACAAACTGCTCTACGCCCGGGAGATCCCACGCTACAAGCAGATGGTGGAGAGGTGGGTGTCAGAGGCATCGGGGCTGCGGGGAAGGGGGCTGCCCCACCCCTAACGAAGTCTGCTCCTCCAGGTACTATGCGGACATTCGCCAGAGCTCTCCGGCGAGCTACCAGGAGATGAACTCTGCTTTGGCTGAGCTCTCCGGGGTGAGGCATGGCCCGGGGGGTGCGCCTGTCCACACGTGGGTGGAAAGACTAGCAGAGCAGAGGGGGGAGACTTGGGGCTTGAGGACCAGGCTGGGACCTCACTGCCCCCCTCCACGTGGTGCCCCCAGAACTACACTTCTGCTCCCCACTGTCTGGAGGCTCTGCAAGAACTCTACAACCACATCCACAGGTACTATGATCAGGTGAGGCCCAGGGCACTCCGGAGGGGAGGCACAGTGGAGCGGGAGGCCCGTGGACCCTCCCGGGGGAGCAGGGGTGCCAGCCCATGCTGGCGGGGCCCAGGCTGGGGAAGGGACTCGGCTTTCATTCTGATTCCCCAGGGAGACGCCAGGCAGCCCCTGCTGGATCCCCAGGCTCCTGCGGTGATGGAAGCAGGGTGGGTGGCCCTGGGCCAGCAGGCAGAGGGGCAGGCTCAGACAGGCACCCTCCTCTGCCCGGGCAGATTATCAGTGCCCTGGAGGAGGACCCTGTGGGCCAGAAGCTGCAGCTGGCCTGCCGCCTGCAGCAGGTCGCCGCCCTGGTGGAAAACAAAGTGACTGACCTGTGAGCTCTGGCTCAGACAGCAGCAAGCCGGATCCACCAACACCGCAGCGCCTTATGACCCCGGAACCGAGCCAGCCACTGAGGGGAGCTGGCAGAGCCTGGGGGCACAGGGTGCAAAGCCAGGCACTGTGCCCAGCAGTGGGCTCCCTGCCTGCCACCTCCCCTGCCAGCCCACCCACCTTCCCCCCACCTGAGATTGTTTCTAATTTATAAGGATCCCCCTCCTTCCCCCTCTCCCCATTGTATTTATTTGCCTGCTGGAAAATCACATCCGGAAATAAAATAGAAATATGTCTTTTTATTTTATTTTGAGACGGAGTCTCGCTCTCTCTCCCAGGCTGGAGTGCAGTGGCGCAATCTCGGCTCACTGCAACCTCTTTTTCCCGGAGTTCAAGCAATTCTCCTGCCTCAGCCTCCCGAGTAGCTGGGACTACAGGCGTGTGCCACCACACCCGACTAATTTTGGTATTTTTAGTAAAGACAGGGTTTCCCCATGTCGGACAGGCTGGTCTCAAAACTCCTGACTTCAGGTGATCTGCCCGCCTCAGCCTCCCAAAGTGCTGGGATCACAGGCATGAGCCACCGCGCCTGGCCAGAAATGTCTTTTGACAAAGGGCCCAATCCCCAGCCCCTGCTGTTCCCTGCAGGAGCTGACTCAGTGCTCTCCTGACTGAGAGTCCCTCAGCCCCATGCCTATAACCTGCTACCCACAGACAAAGAGAGGCCATCAGGTACCCGGGCTTCACTTTCCCTCCCACTCTCTGACCTCGCTGGCCCCTCCAGCAATGCCTGGCCCACCCCTACCAGTTCACGGACCCTGGTACAGGGACACTGCACCAATATCTTGGGACAAACACCCTCTCTGCCGAGCCCCCTCCCTTTCATTGGGACTCCTCTGTCAGGCCCCAGCTGGCCTCCCGGCTCCACCCTCGCCTCTCCATTCCCTTGTCCTTGAAGTGGCCAGAGTGATCTTTTGCTGAGCAGAAGCTCAGTGACCACCCCCCAACCCCATATCACCCAAGCTCCACATTAAGCCTACAGACACCAGGCCTCTAGTCCTCGCCCTCGAACCATGCGGCAGCCGTGGCCAGCACGTGAAGGGCTGGAACGCGTCTTGGCCGCAGGCCTTGCCCCACTGTGCCCTGTGCTGCCCTGGATGCTTCTGGGGACCCAATTTCTCCTGGTCTCTCATGATGCAGCCCCTGGGTCACAGGCCCCTCAGTCACCACCGCACTCATGGGGAAGTGGCTATGGGCTTGCTTGTCCCCAGCAGTGAGCAGCTTCCTGCTGCCTCCCTCATGTCTGGCTATGGAGCAGCCCACGACAGGCACCTTGCAAATGGTGGAGAGGAAGAGCAGGCGCTGGGAGCCAGAGCGCCAGGCAGCGTCGCAGGAGCAGGTTCTGGGCTGGCAAGCTCCCAGGCCTCCCCTCAGCAGGCCTGTTGCCTCTGGTAGGGGAAATGAGGGGTCCCCAGTGACGCCACATTCAGAGGGCACTGGACTCCCAGTTGTCCTAGGGGCTGATGAAACATAGAAGAAGCAGGAAGTGGCTGGGAGCAGCCAGGGACAGGGTTCCCATGGGAATGAGAAGGGCACCTCCAGGAGGATGCCCACAGGGGCACAGGTGGTGGGGGCTTGGCCTAAGGACCAGGTTGCCAAGTGGAGCACATCCCCACAGTCCGCACCGGAGAACGGGAGCCCGACCTGGGGTACGGGCTGCTTCACCCCCGCGTGGACCTCCCCCTCAGCTGGGGTGCGGAGGCTCAGCCTGGGGGCCCAGTTGCCCCTGGTCCCCAAGCAGCAGCCCCCTCTGCCTCCAGGGTGGGCCTGGAGCAGGAGGGGGGCCTCTGCCCGGGGGCCGGGCTCTCTGGGGCCGCCGTCGCGCCGCCCCCTCCCCGCACCGCATACCTTGCCCACAGCCGAGCAGCTGGGAGGCTATTTATAAAGGCGGGTGAGATCAGCGGCCGGCCAAGGCTATAAATTCGCAGGCCGCGGCCGGGCCCCACAGGAGCAGCCGCCCGGGGCACCGGAGCTGCGGGCTGCGTGGCCGGGATGAGCGCCAGCACGGGCGGTGGTGGGGACAGCGGCGGCAGCGGCGGCAGTAGCAGCAGGTAGGGCTCGGCTGGGGCACCCGGAGCCCCTGGCGTCTCTCATGCCCACTGCCACTCACCCCACCCGCAGCTCACAGGCCTCCTGCGGGCCCGAGTCCTCGGGCTCCGAACTAGCCCTGGCCACACCGGTGCCTCAGATGCTGCAGGGCCTTCTGGGCTCCGACGACGAGGAACAGGAAGACCCCAAAGACTACTGCAAGGGTGAGACTTGGCCTTGGGGACATGCGGCCTCACGGCCACTGCAGGGACCCAGGGCAGTCCTGGGCCCACATGGGCCAGATGGTCAATGGGGCCGAGGTGTTCGGGGGCCCAGGGGAGTGAGAACCCCCTCCACCCCAATCTACATCTCCCCTGGGCAGGCGGCTACCACCCTGTGAAGATCGGCGACGTGTTCAATGGGCGGTACCACGTGGTGCGCAAACTGGGCTGGGGCCACTTCTCCACCGTCTGGCTCTGCTGGGACATCCAGTGAGTGCCTCCTTCGCCTCCGGGGCCCAGCACTGGCTGGGATCCTGTCCCTGGGCTTGCTTGGGGCCACCCTGATCCCCGCCGTGGGTCCTGCCAGGGCCACAGCCTACAAGGGTCTCGGTATTGCAGGCGCAAGCGCTTTGTGGCCCTCAAAGTGGTGAAGAGTGCGGGGCATTACACGGAGACAGCTGTGGATGAGATCAAGCTCCTGAAATGTGTGAGGCACCTCCCTACCCCACTCCCAGCTCCCCTGGAGCTGCCTGGGGCCTGGCAATGCGGGTGCAAGGCCTGCCGGGGCTCTGTGGGGCAGGGCGGGGCTCCCTGAGGGGCAGCCTCCAGCTGGCTGTGCCCAAGGGGGAGGATCTGGAGGAACAGGCGAGGGACAGGAGGGGTTGGCGGCCTTTCTTCCAGCAGGGCCCAGCTGGAGCAGGAGAAGGGTACACTGAAGGGAGCTGTGGGCTTCAGGGCAGGGTGGAACCATCTGTGGCCCCTTGGCTTTTGCTCCAGGTCCGGGACAGCGACCCCAGTGACCCCAAAAGAGAGACCATTGTCCAGCTCATTGATGACTTCAGGATCTCAGGAGTCAATGGAGTCCGTATCCTTTGCAGGAAGAGCAAAGCAGTGTGGCAGCCAAGGGCCGGCAAATGGGGGGGCCCTCGCTGCTAGAGCCTGTCTGCAGACCCGCACAATGGGCTTGCATCCCTCCCAGTAACGGGAGCCTCTGGCACGACCCCGCCCCCAGGTAACTGTGTTTACGTGGAGGCAGTAACAAGCTAGCGTTGATTGTCCATGGACGTTGCTATTATCCCCAAACGGCAGGTGCTGTCTCTGTGGCACTGCCTTCCCTTTGGGGGACTGCCAAGAGGCCCTATGGCATAACTAGCATGGGAGTGGGCTGGCCCGAGAGGCCTCTGTGCCTGCTCCTCCAGCGCCACCTCTAGGATGACCACAAAATGCACCATCCCAACTGGCATACCTGTTGAGACTGACAGGGACACTATCGATGATGACACCAGCATAATGGTGACCAGGACTGCCCAGGGGAGGCCCTGCCTCCCCACCTCCACACGGCCCAAGCCTTGCTGCTCCCCTAGCTGAGGGTGGGTGGGGCCTGTGCCGCAGCTGGTGTCCACTGGCCGCCCTTCACTCCCAGCCCAGATGTGTGCATGGTGCTGGAGGTGCTGGGCCACCAGCTCCTCAAATGGATCATCAAGTCCAACTACCAGGGCCTGCCCGTGCCCTGCGTGAAGAGCATCGTGAGGCAGGTGAGTGCCACCCACTGGGCTGCCCAGCCTGGCCTGGGCGGGAGTTGGAGGAGGTCAGGTGCGACTCTCTGCAGGTGCTGCACGGCCTGGACTACCTCCACACCAAGTGCAAGATCATCCACACGGACATCAAGCCCGAGAACATCTTGCTGTGTGTGGGGGACGCTTACATCAGGCGCCTGGCTGCCGAGGCCACGGAGTGGCAACAGGCAGGGGCGCCGCCCCCCTCCCGCTCCATAGGTACCAAGGGCCCACATGGGGCTGGGTCGGGGCCTCTGGGCCTGAACCCCTGCCTGAGTCTCTGTTCCTCCCTGTCCCCCCCCACCGCTCCCCACCTGCACTCCCAGTCAGCACTGCCCCCCAGGAGGTCTTGGTAAGTTGGGGGGCCCCTCTCTCCCATGCCTCCTCTCCCATCTGAGCCAACTGGAGGCCATCTCTGGAGCCACAGTGGCTCCACCCCCCACCTTCACGCACTCCCACGGTGGTAATCCCGAAAGGCTGGGTGGCTGGGCTGACGGTAATTCCCGGGGGGGGTCAAGTGCCCCAAACTGCTCTTGGTGAAAGGATGCTGTCTTCCCCGAATGGCCACTTCCGCCTGCCTTAGCTTGGGCTGAGAGGGGACAGAGAGCACCCTGAGGCGGGCCGGCCAGGTCTTCCCACTCCTAATGGAGCTGTGGGGAGTGGGGCCACAGGCGGGGAGGCAGGGAGAGTAGTGAGTAGCTGGTGCCAAGGGGCGCTGGCGCCACATTCTGGTGTCCATGGGAGCCCTGGGGCCCGGAGAGGCCTCTTCCCTGGCGGCTGTGCAGGGAAACCTCCACTTCATGCTGACTGGGGCGGGCGACAGGAACCCTGGGGTGACCCTGGCTCTGACAGCAGACCGGTAAGCTGTCCAAAAACAAGAGGAAGAAGATGAGGCGCAAACGGAAACAGCAGAAGCGGCTGCTGGAGGAGCGGCTGCGGGACCTGCAGAGGCTGGAGGCCATGGAGGCTGCCACCCAGGCTGAGGGTGAGGGGCCACAGAGGGTGATGGGCCGTGGAGCGCAGCAAAGGCTGCAAGACATCTGCTCAGCAGCTGCCTCCACCCCGTCTCCCCAGACTCTGGCTTGAGACTAGACGGGGGCAGCGGCTCCACATCCTCTTCAGGCTGTCACCCCGGGGGCGCCAGAGCAGGTCCCTCCCCAGCCTCTTCCTCCCCCGCCCCAGGGGGCGGCCGTAGCCTCAGCGCGGGCTCACAGACCTCAGGCTTCTCCGGCTCCCTCTTCTCTCCTGCCTCCTGCTCCATCCTCTCCGGCTCGTCCAATCAGCGAGAGACCGGGGGCCTCCTGTCGCCTAGCAGTAAGTTGGGTGGCAAGTGGTGGGCAGGCAGGGCTGGCAGTAGTCGGACCACTTCAGTCTCCCTGCTCTGCCTTCCCCAGCACCATTCGGTGCCTCGAACCTCCTGGTGAACCCCCTGGAGCCCCAAAATGCAGATAAGATCAAGATCAAGATCGCAGACCTGGGCAACGCCTGCTGGGTGGTATGAGCAAGTGTGGGAGAGCAGAGTGGGGGGCCCTGCTCCAAGGGTGGAGGCACAGGGCCGCTCTTGGGGAGCCCTACCCCAGTCTGCAGTGCACGTGAACCGTCGGCTGGGTGGGCACTGGTCCTGCCCAGTCAACAGCACTGGGGCCATGGCCAAGGGCAGGGGCCACTAGGAAGGGATCAGCCTCAGCCTCACATCACTGGGCCTGTCCCTCTTGGAGGACCTGGGGACCCCGAGGCTCACAGCAAACCCCACTGAGCTCCTCGGGTAGGCGGATCGGGGTGGGGCAGGAGTCCGTGGGGGCAGGACAGCCTTGGCCCCAGCCCGTCCCCAGGGCTCCCCTTGCTTCCAGCACAAGCACTTCACGGAAGACATCCAGACTCGGCAGTACCGGGCCGTCGAGGTGCTGATCGGCGCCGAATACGGCCCCCCGGCAGACATCTGGAGCACAGCCTGCATGGTACGCCCGCCCGGGCTGCCCTGTGCCCAGGGCCAGCAGCCCACCAGCCAGCAGCCTCACCTCCTCCCCCTTCCAGGCCTTCGAGCTGGCCACTGGTGACTACCTGTTCGAGCCGCATTCTGGAGAAGACTACAGTCGTGATGAGGGTAAGGGGTGAGGGCTCTGGGCTCAGCCTCCCGGCCTCCCGGCCTGCCTGCCCCCAACCTCCTCTTTCTGCCCACAGACCACATCGCTCACATAGTGGAGCTTCTGGGGGACATCCCCCCAGCCTTCGCCCTCTCAGGCCGCTATTCCCGGGAGTTCTTCAACCGGAGAGGTGAGGGCCCGGGCAGCCTCAGGCCATGTGGCTGCAGGGAGGGTGGGACGGGGACCTTGGATTCTGCAACAGAGGGAACACTGGGTCCCAGGAGCCAGGGCCTAAGCAGAAGGCAGGTCCAGAGACAGGGACAGAGCCTGACGCCCGCTGGCCTGCCCGCAGGAGAGCTGCGGCACATCCACAATCTCAAGCACTGGGGCCTGTACGAGGTACTCATGGAAAAGTACGAGTGGCCCCTAGAGCAGGCCACACAGTTCAGCGCCTTTCTGCTGCCCATGATGGAGTACATCCCCGAAAAGCGGGCCAGTGCCGCTGACTGCCTCCAGCACCCCTGGCTCAACCCCTAGGCCCGGCTGTGGCTCCACCTCCAGCTCTCCGTGCCTTAAGGGAAAAGCGGGACAGCTCCCACCACCCTGCTGGGCGCCAGTTCTCCACAACCACAGGGCAGAGAGACGCTGGAGCCAGGCCCGGCTCTCAGAGCGTGTTCTGCCTGAGACCCCCGTGAGGGCTCTCGGAGAAAGTGTGTGTATTCCTTTCTTAATAAAGTGTGGACTGAACATCGGTGCCTGGAGTGAGGGAGGCCCACGCCAAGTCTAGGGAGAAGGTGCTTTATTCTGGGATCTGCGTACCAGGCTGGCTGGGGTGCTGGAGTGGGAAGGGGAATCCAAGGAGCAAACCAAGAAGGTCCTAGGGCCAGCCTAGGCCTCCACGGCCCGGCCGTTGATGACGCGGATGTGGCGGATGACGTCCTGGATGGCTTCAGATGTTGTGCCCTGGCCCCCGATGTCCGGAGTGTGCATCTGTAGGACACAGGCAGGCTCGGCACACACCAGGCCCTGCCACCCCCCGCTGTCTCCTGTGACGTGCAGGACTGGGATTGCCACAGGAGGGAAGTGGCACCAGCTAAGGGCCAGAAGATGGGGCCAGATCCAGTACCATCCTCCCCTGGGGGCTGTGGTCAGTGCATGAGGCGGGCTACAGGAGGCTGCAGGGGGAGACTGGGCGGGGCAGCAGGGTAGGGTGCGAGGGGAACCTCACATTCTCATTGTCCATGGATGCCAGGACAGCCTTACGGATGGAGGTGGCATAGGAGTGCAGCCTAGAGGATGGGACAGCCAGCCTTCAGTCCCTGGGGCCCGGAGGGCTGGCCAGGGGCTTGCGGGGCACTGGGAGCCACTCACTTGAGGTGGTCCAGCATCATGCAGCTGGCCAGCAGGGTGGCCGTGGGGTTGGCGATGTTCTTATTGGCGATACTCTTGCCGGTGTTCCTCGTAGCCTGGGGAGGCAAGACGAAGGAGAGTGGGTGGAGGGCAGAAGGATGCCGGGCAGTGACTCTGCTCCTGTGACACGTCCAGAAGAAGCCACTCCACAGGGACAAAAGCCCACCAGCGGGTGCCAGGGGTTGGGGGAAGGTGTGGGGACAGATAGCTTATGGGGACAGGCTTTCCTCGTGGGGTGGTGAAAATGTTCTGGAATGACCTGGTGGTGACGGCAGTACAACCCTGGATATCCAAAAAACTACTAAATCATGCATTTTGAACGGGCTAACCGGATGGGATGAGTGTGCCTCACTAAGTCTGTGAACAGGAGAAAGGCGGCAAGCCGCGGCACTGCCACCGGCACTCACTGTTTCAAACACCGCGTACACATGGCCATAGTTGGCCCCAGCCACAAGGCCTGGGCCCCCGACCAGTCCCGCGCAGACATTGTTGACGATGTTGCCATAGAGATTGGGCATCACCATGACATCAAACTGCTGGGGCCGGGACACCAGCTGCGGGACAAGGAGGGGGCTGGCTGAGGAGCAGATTCGGAAGCATGGGTGAGAGAAGCCCAGGGCACTCAGGGCAGGGGGACAGCACTGGGCAGGCTAATACCTGCATGGTGGTGTTATCCACAATCATGTTCTCGAAGGTGATCTGAGGGTAGCGGGCTGCCACCTCCCTGCAGCACTGGAGGAAAAGCCCATCGCCCAGTTTCCTGGTGGGGGGTTAGGAATAGGACACCAGCTTGGCCATCGCAACAGTCAGCCAGAGGGACGGGGCGTGCAGAGGGCCCCAGGAGGCTGGGGTCTGAATTCTAACCTGTCCCTCACCAGCAAAATGGACAGAATCCCACCCCACCTCCCCTAAGTGTGGGTTCTGGCAAGGCCTCGAGGGCAACAGGGCACTCGCCTAGGGTGGCACCTCGGTGGGTAGCTGGGCTTTTGGACCACAAATCCCTCAGAGCAGGCCCAAGCAGGCCACTGCAGCTGCTTCTGGACTGCTCGCAGAGAGGTCAGGGGACATACATGATGTTGGCCTTGTGCACGGCCGTCACTTTCTTGCGCCCGCTCTCCTGCGCCAGCTTGAAGGCATACTCGGCAATGCGCAGGGACTTGGCCTTGGTGATGATCTTCAGGCTCTCCACCACTCCCGCCACACTCTGAGGAGGGCATGGGGAGAAGAGACCCATGTGCTACTGAAGAGCAGCACTGGCCAAACAAGCTGGCGCGACCGGGCCACCGTGGGAAGCAACCCTGTCTGCCTATTTCTGGCTTCTCCCTCGGGCACAGCCCCTGCCCTCTAAGGGTACACCTGTCCCTGGTTCCTTAAGCTCTCCCCTTAATCTTGACGCTGGGGGGGCTCATCTCGGGCCCCCCATGCACACCTCATGCTCCAGGCTGCTGTACTCGCCCTCTGTGTTCTCCCGGACAATGAGGATGTCTATGTCCTTGTGCCGGGTCACCACGCCTGGAAGGCTCTTACAGTGGATGACGTTGGCATAGAGGTCCAGGCTGGTGCTGGGAGGGGACGGAGAAAGAGGCTGCTAGGCCTGACAGGTGGCTGACTGGAGCCAGACTCCACTGGCTCACCCCACCTTAGCCCCACCAAGCCCCCAGCCCGCACACCCGGATCTCACCGAAGGATGTTGTTTCGAGATTTGTGCGACGGTGGCAGGTTATGGTTGGTTTCGATGTTGCCTACAAAACACAACACAGGCTTAGTGGCACTGCCCATCCCCGCCCCACCTCAGCAGGGCAGCTGAAGGCTGCCGGGGTCAGAAGACTTGGGGAGCAAAAATGTTTCCTGAACACTAGAATGCTAGAATGCAACTTCCAGCCTAAGCCCCACGAGGCTACACGCTCAGGGATCTCGAAGGGCACCTGGTGCAGCAGGTGCTCCATGAATAACCCCTGAACGACGGAATGAACAAGTCAATAAATGAATAAAGGCTGGCAACCAGCCAGGCAGCCATGCCATTCTCCATCCAGGCTCTGGAGCAACAGAAAGTGACCACTCTTTACTAACAGGTTGGCCGGCCAGGCTGGAGCTAGCAAGGTGGCCTTGGCGGTGTTACTGCCAAGCCCCCGCATCAAGGCACCACACTCAGAGGCAGGCGGGGGCTGCCTGGAGAAGGCCACGGATTGGCCGGACCCTACCCTACGACCCAGGACACCTGGAGGAAGGGAAGCAGAGGCCAGTGGCCGCTGGAGACAGCAGTCAGAGGGCGCCAAGCAGAGGCCGCCTGCTGGTGAGCGGTACCCCACCCAGACTGCTCCACTCACAGCGCGGGGGTCCCCTGTGGCTGGCACAAAGGCCCCTCTACTTGACTGCCAGGGCCTGGGGCTCCCCCTGGGTTCATCTTTGCTCACACGCTCCTCACACAGTGCAAGTAATGGGCTGAGTGTGCAAAATGAGCAATGGAAGTAGTTTAAGGACCTCAAGTGAAGCCCCAAGAATCCCTGCCTGGGCTGTGCCATCCACCTCCAGGCTGGCTGCAGCCGAGGAGCCAGGCAGAGGGTCGGAACTGCATCTCTGTGATACCTGGTTTGTGAAGAAAGATGCTGAGGGTCAAAGCTGACCCCAGCAGAGAGGACTGTCTCAGGAGGGAAGGAGGGGTGGGAGGGAACCCATCAGGGAGCCCGTCACTGGACAGGCTCACACACAGCTGCTCTCACTCGAATCCCAGCATCGCAGCGCAAACAGGCCCGAGGAGGCGTCCACCCAGTCTCCAAGCACGAGGGTCCTCTCTAGCCAGACAAGCCCTGAAATCAGAGCCGTGGGGCCCCACAAGAGTCAGCTCAGAGGGAGGTAAAAGAAATCACAGGGGCTGGGCACGACGGCTCACGCCTGTAATCCCAACACTTTGAGAGGCTGAGGCGGGCAGATCACGAGGTCAGGAGTTCAAGACCAGCCTGGCCAACATGGTGAAACCCACTCTCTACTGAAAATACAAAAATCAGCTGGGCGTGGTGGCGGGCGCCTGTAATCTCAGCTACTCGGGAGGCTGAGGCAGGAGAATCGCTTGAAACTGGAAGGCAGAGGTTGCACTGAGCCGAGATCACACCGCTGCACTCTAGCCTGGGCGACAGAGCGAGACCCCATCTCAGAAAGAACGCAAGAAAGAAAGCAAGAAAGCAAAAAAGCAAGCAAGCAAGAAAGCAGGAAAGCAAGCAAGAAAGCAAGCAAGCGAGCAAGTAAGCAAGAAACGAAGGAAGAAAGCAAGAAAGAAATCACACCTAGGGCCCCATCCTGGCCCCTGGCCCTGGAGCTCACCCTTCAGGGCCACGCGGTTCCGGCGGATGGCCATGATGGCATTGCGAATGTCCTCTTCATCAGCATTGGAACTCACGTGCACCTCTTCAAAGTCCACTGGTACACATGCGTGCCTGAGGCACGGCAGGGTCAGGGAGGCTGGCCCAGACCCCCCCGCACCTCCTCCAGGAAGCCTGCCCAGGCTACCTCTCTCCTGTTGCTACCTGCCCTGACCTGGCTCTGACTGAGAAGGGACTGGGCCCACCTTCACTGACTGATGGGGACACGCTTGAACTCCACAATGCACACTGTGGCAGGACTGGTGCCACCTTCCCCGAGCCCAGGCCAGTCTGGCGGGATCACAGGCCATGGGACGCAAGGCCTGGGCTTACAGGTCGTCTTGCCATGGCCTCACCGAGTGCTTCTGGGCGCAATGCCCCTCTTGGCACAAAGTCCTCAGGGCCCCCTGGCTGAGGACAAGGCGGGGACCCAGGAGCTCCATACCTGAAGACGGACTTGACATGCAGCATGAGCTCTGGCCCGATGCCATCCCCTGGGATCATGGTCACCGTGTGCCGCCCGCCATACTTAGCGGACGGAGGCTGTGGGAGGCAGAGGGTGAAGGTGGGCCTTCGGGGATCCCACATGCCCCCAGCTCGGCCCCCATGGGCTCAAGCCAATTCCCTTCTTCCCACTGGCGCTGACCCCACAGGCTGCCCCGTCACAAGGTGCCAACTTGGGGCAGCCCCGTCCCAGACAGGGCTGCTCATCCAGGGCTCCTGGGTCAGCAGCAGCCCACCCCCACCTGGAATTTAGTTAACCCCAAAGCAACTAAGAGCCCCCCAAACCTAACAGGCAGAGAAGAATACTCACAATTGTTTGTTCCTAGAAAGGATGAGAAAGGAAGAAGACACAATCAGCCAAGGTTCCAAGAGCAAGGCCGTGACCAGGAAAGTGGGACCTTTTCCCAGGGGGATGCTGGCTAGTACAACTCCCAGAAGAGGGGTGGGTAGCCCCTGGAGACCACGTCTCAGAGGACAGGACACAGGCCGTGCACACACGCGCACAATTGCGGCCACATGGAGAAAGACACATGCGTGGGCACGGGCAGGTACTTACTGAAAAGATGTTCCTCGAGGGGACCTCGTGGGCGCCTAGAACCTGGCAGAGACCAAATGCCAGCGGTTGGTTTGATGTCTAACCCAGAAAGCCAAGTTGGAAGGAAAAACGGACCGTCCCCACTGTGCCCAGGCAGGTCCCCTGTCTGTGCAGCATGGCCCACTGCCAGGGGCACAATAGATAATTAGCTCCAAAGCCTCAGTCCCCAGGGCCGGCCCGCTGGAGCACCTGGAAAGTAGAAGGCGCTCCAGCCTCCTGCCTCCTTCCGCTCTTCAGAAAATTTCTTAAAAGGCGTGTCCCTGCCCTCCCTCCTCTTTTTTGCTTCTGATTATTTTTTTGGCCAGTTATTCCCGCTCAGCGATGTTTGTAACATGCAAAAACTGGCAAACTAACCCTGGTACAGCAGGGAAATCATTACAACAAACCACAGATCCATGACAACAGTCACGTTATCACTTCGCCGATCACTTTTTCTTATTACAAAAGCAGCATGTGGTCGCTACAGAAAAAGCAGAATAGGGAGATAAGAAGGTAGCACCCAGCCTCCGGCCTCCCTGAGACAAGCACTGCTGGCCCCCTGGGGAATGGCCCTTCGGCATTAGAAATCGAAAACAAATGTGTAGGGACATCCAGCCATTTCTGGAAGGTTGATAACAGAAACCCAACTCTAGGAAGGCCTTCGGAAAGGACTGCTGGATGCCGAATGTCCCCAACGCCCTGACTGGAAATGCCGGACAGCTTCAGAGCCAAAGCTGCCTGAGCCAAATGTGCCAGGTGCCAAGTGACCTGCTGTCCTGGAAGAAGCCCCACCTAGAACACACCTGAGACGGTGGCAGAGCCAAGGTCTTCCCTGTCACTTGGGGATGCCCTGCCACTTGACCACCAGGCAGCAGCAAAGTGTTCCAGCCAATGGCAGAAGCATCATAGCCATTGGCCAAAGAGCCATGCCTTCCAGCTAGAAGTCCAGAAAGGCTCGGGCGGAGTCTGACCTCTCCCTGTCTGTGTGTCCCTGGCCGGCACTCATCAGTCCAAGCCAGGGGCTAGGAGAGGGTGCCCACAAGGACCAGAGCCCCGAGGATAGCTCAGCTGATCTGTGTGGCACCTGGATCTGCAAGCACAGGCACGGTCGGGACTTTTCTGTCTTCTCTCTAGCGCTTATCAACGGGTCGGGACTTTTCTGTCTTCTCTCTAGCGCTTATCAACATCTGAAATCATCTTATTTGGGGGCTCTTGTAAGCACGCAGAAAGCGGCTTCGATGGACCTTCCTCCAGGGAGCTTTCCCTGATGCCCTAAGGCTACTGAGCTGGGACCCTAAGGCCCTACTTACCCCCTTCCCTAGGTTATCACTGCATTGCTCCCTCCTCAACCCCTGAGCCCGAGAGGAGGGGCCAAGTCAGTGTGGTCCAATACTGTCACCCTAGGACCCAGCACAGTACCTGGCCCAGAGCTGGCACATAAGGAACATTTCCTGAGTGAACAAGCACATCAGAAAATGAAAAAAGATCTGGAGACTAGGGAGGCCTCGGTCCAAATCCACCATCCACTCTTCTTGAGATGGCTTCATGGCCTCATCTGAAATTCACAGAACGGAGGTACCTACTTTCCGTGACTGTTGGAAAGATTAGGGGACAGGAGGTGTGTGAGCTGCTCACAGTAGCTAGTGCCACACAGCACGCCTGCCCCTTCACCCCACTGGCCCCTCAGGTCAGAGTTCAAGGCTGGTGTCCCTGGGAGGTCACGGGTGGACCCCTGCAGCTCCCAGCAGTAGTTCCTCCTGGGCTTCAGCTGTGGCAGCAAGCCAATCTCCTGAGAGCATGGACCTCCCTCACAGATGGCAACATCACCACCAGGGCTGAGCTGAACCTCTCTGCCACCCGGTCCCTGTGCCAGGTGTTCCTTTGGGCTTTGGCAAAAGACCCAGAGAGCGCTCCAGATGGACTTCCCTGACCTTACTGTACAGATGCAGGCACCTTCCTTCAGGAGGTCGCAAAGGCTCTGCCTTGTGCCCTGACTTCCCTGTGAAGCCACCAATCAAAGGAGCCAAGTGTGAGGCAGGATGCAATATGTACACGCCTCCCGCTCTCCCATCACCCTTTCATGGTTCCATGGAAAGAAAGAACATCCACACCCCACATCTTATGCCTGCTGAGGCTTCTGTCTTTGGCATATTTCTGTTGGACCATGTGTCAATGGTGGCTGCATGTTTTCCTATGGCGTCCAAATCAGTGGGATTCAAGACCTGGGGTTCCTCTGTAAGGGTTCTCACACCCAGGACGGTCAGTCTCAGGGCAAGGCACTGCCCAGCTACCCACCGTTCACTGTCCCCTACTCCCACCCCAACGCACACACAGGCACACACACAGGGGAGGTCAGGGAGGAGGCACACATGTCTTCACCAAGAGCCTACAGGAGCCCAGTTGCTGGAGCCATCAGAGCCTCTGGAAAGCCACTATATACTGCCGTCCTTTCAGCAGCAAGGTGGGAGAAGTCAGCATCGTCAAGAGAATTTCATTAGGCACAAGCAGTCTCCCCCAGAGGTCAGAAGGAGAAAACATGGCAAGTAGAGATGTCCCTGGGGAGTGGCCGCAAAGTCACGGAGTTCTGGAAGGTCAGAGTTGACAGGATCCTTTGAGAACATGAAGTCTCCTCCCCTCTGGGTTCCAAAGGGGAAACTAGAACCCAGAGAGAGGAGGAAATGGCCTAAGGCCACGCAGTGGCTCAGTGTGGGAGCATGGCCTAGAGGTCAAACCTCTTACCCATCAGGGCCAGGTGCTGGCTGGCAGCTGCTTCAGATGGTTTCCAGCCCACCTAGGACCTAAATTAACCTCTTCTTAAATAAGTGTAAGGAAAGAAGACTCGGACCTGAATACGCAAGACCGCACACGGAGAAGAGCAGAAGCAAAACCCCCGCAGCCTCAGAAACCCTAGCTCCTTCCCATTCCAGGCGCCTCGAGGGGAAGGCATCTGGGGCTCTAAGACTGGGGGACTATGGGGGATGACTGGCAAAGTCCGGTTCTTTGCCACCGGGATAGGTGGCAAAGCGGTCCACGAGAGAGGAAACCGTGGAGAAATTTGAGTCCCGGAACCGGATTCCCGAAGCGGTTTGAGAAAGGCGGGCCGGGATACGTGAGTGACTGCCTCAGAAGGGCTCCTTCAAGGACACTAAGGAGGTGACAGCCGCCGTGGCCCACTCTCCCGGCCCGTCCGGAGGGCCCCCCGCCACCCGATGCAGACCCCCTGGGGGAGCCGGTCCAGGGCCAACTTCGGCCAATCCCCTCAGTGACAGCGGAGGCGGCCAATCAACCCCGGCGCGAAGCCCTTTCCCCGCCCCTGGTGGGGCCCCTAGCCAATCGGACTCCAGACTGCTTCGGGTGCGGCTACCCCACCGCTCCCCTGCGACCGCTGCCGCGGTCCCGTGGCTCTTTCCCTGCTCACCTCCCAGGGACGGCAGAGAAGGGCTGGCCCGAGCACCGCCTTCGCGGCGCTGCCGGCGACGGTCGCTACCTTCAGCGCCATGACGGAAAGTGAGAGCCTCCGCACGTCCCGACACGCAGATACCGCTCTCGCGAGAGTTCGACGGGGTGCGAAGTTTCGGGGACAGGCGCGGACCCGGTACTGCGCACGCGCGCGGTCGCACCGATTCACGCCCCCTTCCGGCGCCTAGAGCACCGCTGCCGCCATGTTGAGGGGGGGACCGCGACCAGCTGGGCCCCTGGCTCAGGGAGGGGCCACGTCAGTGCTGCCAGAGACGTCACAATGCCGGCCCAGCCGTTCGGTGCGCGATTGGCTGCCGCTGCCACTTACGCGTCGCTCTTCCTCGTTTGCCCCTCGTGTTCATGGGAGCTCGTTTTCTTTTCCTCTAGGCAGAGAAGAGGCGATGGCGGCGATGGCATCTCTCGGCGCCCTGGCGCTGCTCCTGCTGTCCAGCCTCTCCCGCTGCTCAGGTAGCGGCCCAGCCGGGGCTTCTTTCTTGCGAGCCTCTGACCCACGGCAGGTGGTGTTGGGGGCAGGAGGGATGCGGGGGTCCGGCCTTTCAGGGTCCGTCGCTGCGGGCCGGGCCTTCCCCCGAGAGGCAGGCGGCCTTGGGACGGGGGGACCAAAGCACCTCGCGCACGTTTACCGGCAGCCAGGCTTTTCCTTGTCTGCCCATACGAAGAGGAGTCCCCGAGCCTCCATGGTGCGCCCGGCCCCCAAGCTGCAGCACGGAACGTGACACATGTCCCGGCTCCCGCTCCCTGCGGGGTCGGACCGGAGCGAAGCTCTGTAGCGCTGAGCGATCGCGGCCAAAAACGGGGCTGGAGGAGCCACATAAGCTAGGAAGGGACCTCAGTGAGGAGAGGGAGCAAGAGCGGGGCGAGTTAGATGGGGAGCCAAAGGTGCGCAGGGCCTTGAGTGCCAGGCCGAAGACTGGCTTTTCCGGAGGGCCCTGCCTTACCCTTACCAGAGTTTTCGGCAGAGCCGACCAGGGGTCCCGTCGATTTGCATTCGTGAGGGGCTGAGGTCTGAACTCCAGAGTGTGTTTAGGAGGTGGCTGCAGCAGCCAGCCCCGGGCCCGGGGGCCAGGACTGGACAGGGGCGGCTTTCTCCACATTCCCTTTTCTGCCGTCCTTCAGGCCAGTAGCCTTGCTGCCTGCAACGTTTTGGCAGCCTAACTGGCCTCCCTTTCCGCACACTCCTCATCTGCCCCTCAGGAATTCCCTGAACTATAGTCAGGGACGTATCCAGAGGACAAGCCTGGCCATAAAACCCTTCGGGGGCTCCCCTGCGCCACAGGAAGCAGGCCCAACTTAGGCAGGACACAGAAGGGCTGGCGGGATCTAGCCCCTGAGAACTGCCTCCACGCTGTTCCTAGGGATCTGCCTCCTGTGGTCCAGACCCAGAGCCTTCTCTGACGTCCTCTGCTGAAGCCATCGTTCTGCCAGGGCACCACATTTGGACAGCGGGTGGCTGAGAACATTCCCACTTTGGGGAGCCTTTGTTTCACACCCTCTGATGTAGGCGGCAGCCTTCCTTTCCTTTGGGCCTCTGGTTATGGAGAAGGCTAAGGCAAGGTCCTTTCTCTCACAGCTAACAAGTTGTGCTTCTGGAACCAGAGTCTCTCCCGTTTACTTCTTCAGGAAACGCTGGGGCCAGTCTTCACCTTCTGTCAACTGGCCGGGGGCAGAGACCCTTTCTCTCATCTTGAAAGCCCCAGTGCATTGCCTGCCTGCAGCCCCCACCCCCGATGTCTCTGCTGAGGATGCCTTCAGTAACTCGTCCAGGCCGTTTGTGGCTCTGAATTGAGGCTGGCGTGGCCCCCGGGCCTCCGTGTCATAGGTCCAAGTGTTGGCATGTATTGTCCAGTGAATCCAGCCCCCACCTGTCCCCAGTTCGCTCTTCCTGCACACCTCCAGAAAGCCGGCCTTGCCCCTCCCCAGCCTTCCTTCACAGCCATCCCGCCTACGTTGCCATTGCATTTGTGACCGAGCACTTGGATCTGTCTCGCATATCCCACCTGGAAGGGGCAGGAAGAGCGCATGGGTCCCCAGCTGATCCGTGCTATGAGGCAGGGCCGGGCCATCCTGCCCTCAGACCGGGATACTCGAGCTGGCCTTACCCAGGCATCTCTCCCTCTTCCCCGCAGCCGAGGCCTGCCTGGAGCCCCAGATCACCCCTTCCTACTACACCACTTCTGACGCTGTCATTTCCACTGAGACCGTCTTCATTGTGGAGATCTCCCTGACATGCAAGAACAGGGTCCAGGTGAGACAGTGGGGTTTCAGACAGGAGGGCGGGTGGGGGGTGCTCCTCACTGCTAGTTGATGGGGGACCTGTGTCGATAGAGGGAGAATCAAGATTCCAACTCTTGGGGTGCCGGAGAGATCAGGGCACGGTGATGCCAGATCCTAGCCAGTGTTGACAGGTCACCTTCCTCACCTGCTTTGTGTGCTGTGCCTACACGAGGTAACCCTGGGCTCACCACCCGCTGTTTCCTGAATGAGTATCTGGACCGGGAGAAAGGGCCAGGAGTCAGCCCACCCCGGTTGCCATTGGCCAGTTTGTCTGTGTGGGTGTTTTGTTTTTGTTTTTGTTTTTTGTTTGTTTTTTTGAGATAGGGTCTCACTCTGTTGCCTCAGCTGGAGTGCATTGGCACGATCTTGGCTCACTGCAGCCTCCACCTCCCGGGTTCAAGCGATTCTCCTCTCAGTCTCCTAAGTAGCTGGGATGACAGGTGCTCGCCACCATGCCCAGCTAAGTTCCCATAAGTCCAAAGAAGGAAATGGGGCCTTTTTTGGGTATGGCCCTCTTAGGGTAAAGCACCCCTTGGGCAGCCCACTGGGCACCCCTGACCCCAGCACCTCCCTTGTAGACTCAGGAAATCACTCAGCCCTTTTGATCATCCCGCCCCTGCTCACAGTCAACAGGGTTCCTATGCGTCCAGTTAGGCCCGGCCATGGGGATCTGGCCTTGTGCCCCCGTAGGGAAGACCAATGCAGAGGGCCAGTCACGGGATTGGTGAGTGTTACTTGGTACCTCCTGCCAGGGACACTGCAGCCCCCAACTGGGCCTAGCCTGCCCACCTGCAGGCCGTGTGAGCAGCGCACAGGGCTCCTCTGCCCACACCCAGAGGGGGCAGAAGGTGACCCTGCCTTTGTTCCCTCACCCAGAACATGGCTCTCTATGCTGACGTCGGTGGAAAACAATTCCCTGTCACTCGAGGCCAGGATGTGGGGCGTTATCAGGTGAGGGGCCAATGGTTCCCTTGCTAGGGGGCTCCCTGCTCCCGGGTGTGACCTGAAGCCCCAGGGGTGGCCGGTCAACCAGGGCCAGGGGCCGTGGGCTCTGGCTGCCGGAGTGCTGCAGTGTCGGCACTGGTGGTCAGGGTGGCCCCTCCGTGTCCACTCTGCCCACACTCTGCTCAACACCCAACCCAGGTGTCCTGGAGCCTGGACCACAAGAGCGCCCACGCAGGCACCTATGAGGTTAGATTCTTCGACGAGGAGTCCTACAGCCTCCTCAGGAAGGTGAGGACTCCTGTAGCCCACTGTGCTCCCCTGTCCCTGGGGAGCAGGATGGGCTGGGTTGGGAGGTGCTGGCAGCAAGTCCTGAGCTGGGTGGCCTTTCTGTGATCCTGTCCCTTCCTCAGTGTCTCTTGCCCATTTCTCTCCTTTCCTTTTCTGGGGCTTGGGCCGGTGTTCCTACCTGTCTTTCCCCTCCCCTCCCCACCCCCACACGCCAGGCACCCCTGACCCCAGCACCTCCCTTGCACCTCCCTTGCAGGCTCAGAGGAATAACGAGGACATTTCCATCATCCCGCCTCTGTTTACAGTCAGCGTGGACCATCGGGTGAGTGGCCTGGTCCCTCCTCCTTTTTGGGGTTGTTGGGCTGAGTGAAGGTTATCCTCTCCACAGCCCCAGCTCTGCTGCTGGGCCGTGATTGGCCAGCATGTCTTGGTTCCCCTGGCGGAAGGTGACCAGGGCTGGCTGGTCTGCTCACCTGTACTCCCCTGAGCTGGCTTGTGATCTCCTTTTTTTCAGGGCACTTGGAACGGGCCCTGGGTGTCCACTGAGGTGCTGGCTGCGGCGATCGGCCTTGTGATCTACTACTTGGCCTTCAGTGCGAAGAGCCACATCCAGGCCTGAGGGCGGCACCCCAGCCCTGCCCTTGCTTCCTTCAATAAACATCACAGGACCTGGGACTGCACAGGACCTGGGGCTGCTGGCTTGCGTTATTGTGCCTTCCCCCGACTGGGAGAGCTGGGGGCCCAGCGTCCTCTTGTCTGCCTGGCCAGCAGAGGCACCAGGCAGGAAAGGGGTGGGCTTTGGTCTAGAACTCCCGTCCCTCCTCCCAATGAAGCCCCCCGTCTGGTCCCCACAAAACCCTGTATCCACCTTCCCAGTGACTCTCTCCTGGTTCTGGTGAGGGCAGTGGGCTTGGCCACCTCCTCCCCAGGTGGCCCCACAGGCTCCATGGGGAAACAGCCAGCCTGGTCTTCATCACAGCTCCTGTGTTGGAAGCCCCGGGCCCATTCCGCACGCAGAGGGGTTTCCCTGCACTGCTTTCGGGCACAGCAAGTGCCCCCACCCTGCCCATGCGGCGTGCAGCTGTCTGGGCTTGGCCCCTCCATACTCCACACCCTGACCATGCCACCTGGCTTCCCGTGTGCTGTGCCTTCATGGGATATTGAGAAAATACACACCCATGGCCAGGTGTGGTGGCACACACCTGTAATCCCCACACTTTGGGAGGCCGAGGTGGGAGGATCACCTGAAGTCAGGAGTCTGAGACCAACCTGGGCAACATGGTGAGACCCTGTCTCTACAGAAAAAATAGAAAAATTAGCTGGGTGTGGTGGCATGCGCCTGTAGTTCAGCTACTTGACCTGGAGAGGTCAAGGATACAGTGAGTCGTGATCACAGCAGTGTGCTCCAGCCCGGGTGACAGAGTGTGAGACCTTGTCTCAAGAAAAAAACAAAACCCCACCTGTGAGGGGTACATCACTTCCTCCTAGAGACACCTCTCCCAAGAGCACCCGCGCCCTCAGGACACCAGGCAGGCATCCCGGCCTGGCACCACGCCTGGAGTTCATCCTGCACCTCTCCCATCAGCCTGATTTTCAGCTTGGCACATGCTGGCTCCTGACCAGCTAATGGTATTCCTTAGTGGCACTGAGGGCCCATGAGGCAGTGAGGGTCTTGGAGTCCAAAGGGACTGGGTGGAAATCCCAGGTGAGCCCTTCCCAGCCATGGGACCCAAGTCGGTTTGCTCAGCTGCGAGGCAGTGACAGTGCCTACTCCAAGGTGTCAGGGAGTCCACTGGGACCAGCCACCAAAGTCCTGACATCTGGGTCACCCATTGGCTGTTACTGGAGAGAAATGGAATTCTCCAGAGAGGCTGCCTTTTTCTTGTTTGTTTGTTTTTGAGACAGAGTTTCGCTCTTGTTGCCCAGGCTGGAGTGCAATGGCGCAATCTCAGCTCACTGCAACCTCCACCTCCCAGGTTCAAACAATTCTCCTGCCTCAGCCTCCCGAGTAGCTGGGATTACAGGCACCTGCCACCACACCCGGCTAATGTTTCGTATTGTTGGTAGAGACGGGGTTTCACTATGTTGGCCAGGCTGGTCTCGAACTCCTGACCTCAGGTGATCCATCCATCTCGGCCTCCCAAAGTTCTGGGATTATAGGCATGAGCCACCGCGCTCAGCCAAGGCTGAAAAGGAGGGAAGGCCCAAAACTTGCCTGGGAGGTAGGGGCTCCTCAGTACTTCAGCTCGGTGGCTAGAGAGAGCAGCACTGAGGGGCCGGGGGTGTCAGGAGCAGGTGAGGACTGCCTGTGACCTGGGTCTGTCAGAGTCTCGGGGAGGGGGTCATCTATATAAGCAGGGAGCCCTCTTCCCACCCCCAGGCCTTGGGAGGGGGGTTGGGAGGGGCCGGCTGCCAAGAATAGGTGGGCTTCTAGGAAGAGCTGGGCGCTCACCCCAGGACAGTGCAGCAGGAGCGTTGGGGCTGAGGGGCCACACCAGCTTTGCCAGCAGATGCAGTTTCTAGATTCCAGAGGAGACTCAGCAGCCTGTGCAGGGCGGGTGGCTGGGGCAGGCCGGGTGCAGCAGGCACCGGGGCGACTGTCGGGCGCCCGGTTGCTCTTTTTAGTTCTGGCTCCACCACGAAGCCTGATGGCCGTGGGACCCAGACGTGAAGTTGCTATTCCAGGGCATCAGTAGCCAAGTGCTGCCAGCCTTCCTGGCGCCACCTCTCCCTGAGCCAGCCAAGGGACTCCAGGCTCCAGGCCCATATGAGCCCACATCCCGTGAACACTGGAGGGCACCCCACCATTGGAAGAAGGGGGGTGCCTTTAGGACCATCCAAGTGAGCCCCCCAGCAGCTAGAGGGAGGCCAAGGGGACAGTTTGACCTCCATCTCCAGTCAACTCCGGCCAATTCCCTGTGGCTGGGCCCTTGGAGCCTTGTTCCCCCAAGGGACAGGGTTAGGGAGCTGGTCAAGGGTTGGATGTGCCAAGCCCTCATGGGGGTGAGGCCCTGAGGGGTGGGGGAAGCCATTATCTCCAGCCTCTGCCCTCTGCTCCCCTTCCTGCCATCCAGCCAGCAAGCCTCTTCCCCTCTTCCCTGCTGGTGGGGTGTGATATGCCAGGCTTTCCCTCCCAGAGCTGCTGTGCGGCAGAGAGGCAGCTGGCACCCTTGTGATCCAGCCTTCCCTGCAGCGGGACTCCAGGCTTCTGGGAACAGGCACTGGGACTTTTTCCCCCCACAGCCTTCTTAGCGTCTAATCCGTCACTGACTTGCTGCCCCGATCTCGGCACTTAAGAGAAGTTTAAACGAAAAAAAATTTTTTTTGAGACGGGGGTCTCACTCTGTCGCCGAGGCTGGAGGGCAGTGGCATGATCTTGACTCACTGCAACCTCCACCTCCCGGGTTCAAGTGATTCTCCTGCCTCAGCCTCCTGAGTAGCTGGGATCACAGGCACCTGCCACCACGCCCGGCTAATTTTTGTATTTTTAGTAGAGACGGGGTTTCTCCATGTTGGCCAGGCTGCTCTCGAACTCCTGACCTCATGTGATGCACCCACCTCGGCCTCCCAAAGTGCTGGGATTACAGGCGTGAGCCACCGCACCTGGCCTATATTGTCTTCTTTCTGGAGAATTTGAATGCCTCCTTGACCACTTCCGCTCCTTCATGGCAGCACTGCCCACTCCAGGGAGTGCCACTCCCATGAGAGGCTGTGCCCATGTTTTCTGCGGAGTTGTCTTTGAGGCCCTGACCCTGCCCAGCATTGAGCATGGCTCCTAGGACTTGATAGAGCCCGAAGGTTTGCTGAGAGCTCCCAGGATGGAAGGGCCCTGGCAACGACGCGGTTATTCATCTATCTGGCCAAGACATCCACTAGGTGCCTTCTGCAAACTGAGCACCTTGCTAGGCACTGTGGGATCACCAAATGGGGAGGGCAGCTTCCGCCTTCCAGAGTGGACGGCATCAGGCCCTGCTGGGAGGGATGGGGCTGGAACCCACTTCTCTGTGGCATGTGCCAGCAGCGGGCCCCACCTACGGTTTGGCCCATGGAGATGACCGTGGCCCTTGCCTGGAGGCTAGTCTGAAGTCAGGCTTCTGCCAGCCTTCTGCATCTGGTCACCACCCTGTGACTGTGACACCTCTGAAATGACTCAGGCGACTCTGGTATATCTCCTGGAGTGCCACACAATTGTCCATGGGAGGTCACAGTCACTGCTCCTGACATCCAAGACAAACCGAGGGCTGCAGCGTGGCTTTCAGTTGACCCTAACCCTGCCCCCCTCTTCCTTCTCCCACCCCAAACTGACAACTCTTTCCCCAGCCCAATAAGAATGAACACAGGGAGGCCACGATTCAACCAAGTACAAAGGCAGCTTGCTTTATTCTTGAGATGCAGGGGGGGAAGGGGTGGTGCAGTCTGTCTGCCTCCAATCTGGGGCTCTCCAAGCCTAAGGGGCACCCCACAGGCAGCCTAGTTCACACGTGCAAATCCTGAGGAGGTTGGGGGCCTCTCCTTCCCAGTCAGCCCACCGCCTCTCACTGGGGTCCAGGTTGCGGATCGCCACCAAGTCCTCCCCAGGCCGCATGGCCCGAGGTCTTCCACTGCTGCTCATGGGGCTTGGTTTCTAGAGCCCTCACCATCTAAGCACCTTCCTCAGTTCACTCAGAAGAGAAGCCCCTGCTCCAGATGGTGTGGGGCGCAGAACGGGCTCTGTGACTTCTTGGTGGACACCCTGCAGGACCCCTCCGTTCCTGCAGTCTTGCTCTCTCTGAGTCACTGGGGAAACAGGTGCCCCCCAGAGGCTCCCCGTTCCCACACCTCAGAGTGGAAGCCACCAGAACAGCTGCTTCCCATTCCTCCCACCTTTCCCTCCCCTTCCCTCCCATCCATCCCCAGCCCTCCCTCCCACTCTTCCTCCCCAACTCCCTTCCCAGCCATCAGTGGAGAGGGGAGTTCCACTTCTGCCAGGCTGCCTGAAGGAGCTGCCAGCCCCCAGGGCAGGTCCACAAAACAAAACAACTATTGGCAAGCACAGAAAGGGAGAAAAACCACAAAAATCAGGGGTGCCTTTGTCTACAAATAACTGCAGTGCGCAGCGGCGGGGAGAGGCCGCGCTCAGCAGCGAAGCCGGACACTCTCTTGTGCTCCTTTCAGCTCAGCTTCCCTGTCTGCAAGTACACGGGTCGGGTGGAGAGAGCACTGGGTGTGTGTGTGCGTGCACGTGCAAGCACACGCAAGAGCATGGGGGATGGGGAATGCACACGCACAGCTGAAGGGGTGCCCATCACAGGTGTGCCCCCAGTGCTGGCCACTGGCATGGTCACTTTACTTGGGCAGAAGGAAGAAAAGCGTCCCTTCTCCTCAGGGGCTTCTCTCTGCTAACAAAGCCCTGTGCGCACACCCAGACGAGGAGATGTGTGCGTGCGCACAGCGAGCACGCGCGCGCGCACACACACACACACACAATCTCTATAGGAGAGTGAGGGCCGGGGCCCCAGGGGGTTCCCTGGGCCTGGGCCGTGTACCCGCCCGGGCAGCTCACACGGTGGTGACTGAGAGAAGAGGGTTGTAGACCCGCTTGCCATCGGCGGAGCGCGCGCCGTGGGCCAGCATCTCCTGGATGGTGATCCAGTTGTCCAGGATCTTCTTGTTCCGCTTCTTCATGGTTTTGCGGTGGCTCAGGGCAATGATGTTGAGCTCGGGCTTGCTGTCGCCATTCTGCTGCTCCCGCAGGCACTCCAGCCGGCTCTGCATCATGAACTCGCGCCGCTTCCGCTGCTCACGGGCCCGGATCAGGTGCTGCTTCCGCTCCTCCTTGCTCCAGTAGCGGCCCATCTTCATCTCGCTCACCGCGTCGTCGTCGGTCGTCATACCGCTGCGCTCCTCCCGGATCTTCAGGGCACGGGCTTTCAGCAGCCGATCTCGCACGGGCCGCTTGGCCACGTAGCGGGTTCCGTCGCTGCGCACCTTCACTTTCCACTCCATGCGCGGTGCTTCAGTGGCCGCGGCCGCCACCCCGCCCACCCGAGGGCCACCGGCCAAGCTCAGGGGGCCGTGGCCCAGCTCCTCCAGGCCTCGCGTCGGGGCCAGCTGCACGCAGCTGTGGTAGTGCTCGCCCTCCTGGCCCTGGCCGCGGTGGCGCCGCGAGAGGTAAGGGCTGCTTTCAGGGCCCACACGCTCCAGGGTCAACCCCGTCTTGGGGTTGCGGCGGCCGCGCTCCTCCGCGTGCTGCCTCCGGCCGGCCTCAGGATCCCGGGAGAGGGACCGGAACTTGGCGGGGCTCCCCGGTGGAGGAGCTGCCTTGGCGGGGGTGGCAACAGCGGGGCCGGGAGGGGTCCGGTTCAAGTTGGAGTTGCCGGCCATGGCCCGCCGCAGGGGGCTCTCGGGCAGGGGCTCCACAAGCAGCGGGGTGCTGCGGCAGCTCTCCCCAGTGTTGTAGGCGCTGGTGCTGTCCTTGTCCGACTTCTCGGGCAGCTCGGAGATGTCGGACAGCTCGTGCTTCTTGGGCTCGCTGGCCGCCAGGTCGTAGAGGCTCTCCTCCTCCAGCAGCCAGGCCTTCATGCAGCGCTCACGCAGCTGCTGCATCTTCTGCGCCCGCAGTATGTTGCGGCACTTGAATTCCAGGTGCCTTAGCTCCTCCTCCAGCATGGCCATCTCGTGGCCCAGGCTCTCGTTGCGGTTGACGTCCAGGGCGCTGTTGCCTCCGGAGGCCCGGGGAAAGAGGAGGCCCAGCTGGTTGCCGTTCTCCAGGTGGCACTTGATCTCCAGGAGCTCACGGTAGCGCTCATACTCCTCATCCGTGAGGCCCGGGACGTCGCCCCCTCCCAGCCCCGCCCCCTCGGCCAGCAGAGAGTCCATGCTGAAATGGAAGTCCCGGCTCTGCAGGGCGTCCCCTTGCAGGCCAAACTTGCGCAGGCTTCCCGGGGTGTTGGTGGAGCTCGGGGGTTCGTCCCCCAGCAGGTCGTGCTCAGAGCTCTCTTCGTTCCGGGTGCTCTCGTCAGTCCGGCCCACCCCGCTGTCCAGCTCCTGGCTGTTGCTCAGGCCTGGGCCGGCATCGGGAGCCCCCTTCTCCTCTTCGTTTCCGGGCTAGAGCAGAAAGGTAAGTACCGCTCAGTTAGGTCCCACGGACAGGGATGTCACGGGATGTCACAGGAGGATCGGAAGGGGCTTCAGGCCTGGTTCATTTCCCTGCCAAGCATTGGGAGACCCTGCACAGCCTCAGCGCCTTCCACCCAGTTCTCTCCTCCTCGCCCTCCCCACCAGCGCCCTTTTCCTTCCTCACCTGCTGGGCAGGGGGTGATTTCAGTTTACGAGCACGCAGCTCCCCCTCATTCTCAGAGCCAAAGTCATCCAGGAAGTCATCCCGGTCGCTGTCCTTCCACCTTTTCGCCAGCTGTGGAGACAGGCCCTGGTGTCCCCACAGCTTCAAGGACCTCCCCATATACCCTTCTTGTCTGCTCTGGACCCCGCACTTGGCTTGTTTCGGTGAAGCTCAGCAACCTGGGGGCAGCGTCCCAGCCCCCTCAGCCTTCAGAGGCCAGGAGGGGAAACGGGCCCTGAGAGACCCCTGCCCACCCGCCCTCCATCAACTCCAGGTCGTTGGCACATCTGTGCCCTAGTCACGGCCAGCAGCTTCCAAGACAGAAAGCCTGATGTCGTGGCCCCGGGTCGCCCTGCCAGGCATACACACCTGACTCTCAGGTCGGGCCACCAGCAGGGAGATGTTGGTGTTCTCTTCCTGGCTCAGGATGGCCACCGCCTCTTCCCGGTTCTGGACGTCTACACCGTTAATCTGAGGCAGGCAGGATACAATCAACAAGCATGCTAGGGCTGGCCCTGGGGCGGACCCTGGGCGGGTGCAGGGAGCCCAAGCACTCTGGGCTCGGCTGGGCTAGGCTGGGGCTTGAGCTCTGGGAGGATGTAACTAAGTGGAAGGTACCAGGGAGAGGGCGGCCTGACTCTTGCAAGAGCAAATGTGTGCTCAGGAGAGCATGGAGTGGGGCAGAGGGAGAGGGGCCAGGAGGTTTCAGAGCAGCAGGGGCCCTGGATGCCAGCAGATCCCATAGGCACACGGGAGCCACTGGGGTGAGTGGGCAGGAGAGAGATGAGACTCAGCCCGGGTTTAGGACACGGCAGGCTGCTGGGCCTCAGGGTTAGCTCTTAGTGGGAGAGAGCTAGGGACTGGCTAAAGAGAGGTGGCTGGGCCGACGGGCACAGCGGGGCCTTGGGCCAGGCCTGCAGCCTGCAAGTGCTCACCTGGATGATGCGGTCTCCCTCACGGATCCGGCCGTCTTTGGCTGCAATGCTGTTGGGATTTACCTGCAGGACACACGCATCTTGGGGACTTGGTGCCTAACATGCCCTTTCGGTAGAAGGGGGCAGGCTCACCTCAGGGGCCCCCAAAGCAAGCTGAAGGCTCTCTGGCTCCCCTTCCAGCTCTGAGCCCCAGGAAGCAGAGGCAGAGGCTGTGGAGTAGTCACCTCTCCCCGCCCCTGCCCTGCACTCCTAGGCTCTTCTGCACGGAAGCCTGTGCTTTTGGTCAGCCCCGGGCATTGGTGGGAAGTAGGACATTGTCCATCTGGAAGGGTGGCTTTAGTGGGATGCTACTAGTAGGGAGGGGAGCGAGGGGCCATCCCCCTCCTGGGGATACACAAGACATCTGCCCAAGATGGGTTCGGGAGAAGGCTAGACAGCAACCCTGTTGCTAGTTCTCAGGCCCATCTGCTGTCCCACCCAGGCACAGGCCTCTTTCTGCAGATGACTACCTCACTGGACAGTGGCTGAAGCCGTCGACCATCATCGCCTCACCACGCAGCACCCTAGCTGTGATGCCCTGTTTCTGGTAGCTGGGACCTTAAGGGCAGCCTCTGAGCCACAGGCAGGCCATGTGGATGGGCCTCGGGGCTGGGGCATACCCGTCTGCATACCTCTCCGACATAAATGCCCAGGTCCTCCTCGTCGTCCGTGCGGTAGCAAACCATCAGGCCCAGCTTGTCCCGGTGGCTGCTTTTATACAGCTCCACCTCCTGCCACGAGGGGTCCGGGAGGAAGCAGAGGTAGAAAGCCCCAGAAATGCGTGAGTGAGGGAGCAGGCAGCACAGCCCAGCCCCTCAGCCCGCAACCCCTCAGCCCGCAGCCCCTCAGCTTCCTCTGGAGCCCCCTGAGCTCAGTTTCCAGGCCCCGCTTTGAGGGTCTCTCTTACCATCCCACGTGGCGCACGTACTCAGTGGTCTCCCTCCCAGGAAATGCACGAGGCACACACAGGCACAGGACACAGAAGACAGACGTGCATGGGACGTGGACTCACCGACATGGACGGAACACGTAACCTCACCCGCACCCTCCCTGACTCAGCCAGATGCGTGCCAGGAGGGCCACGGGGTTGGGCCTGGGCAGGAAGGCACACAGGCGTCGGGGCGGCTCCCGCAGCTGGCTGCGGGCCCTGGCCTGGCCACCCGGCTCACCTCATACTCCAGCTCATCCAAGCGGTCTGCCTCCTGCGGGCCGCCCTCCATAAACTCCGCCGGGTCATAATACTCATGGCTGATTGGGGGGCTGCCCAGGAGAAGGTGGGGGTCAGACCAGCTGGCCATCCTCTCACACCTCAGCCCCAGCTCCCAGGCAGGCCGATCCCAGCGTGCCTGGCACGGAGGCCTGCTCTGCTTGTGCTCTCAAGGGTGGGTGGCCCAGTTGCCTCCTGCAGAGCCCCTTCCTGGGCAACATGCAGCCATGCAAAGACCGGGGGCACTTCTCGCACCTGAGTGTGCAGCGTCCACGCAGAGGACCTGCGCATGCCTCTAGCGTTCCCGTCCCCCAGACCAGAACTCCTCCAACCACGCCAGCTGGCAGGGACCAACTTCTCCAATCTCCGGGTGCCCACCCGCCCGCCCAGCACTGGCCCCACTCATGCAACGCCCCCAGGAGTTATCCAGGCCCTGGAGGACTTCTGCAGAGCAGAGGGGGGCCCACCCTACCTCCAGGGGCTGCCCTCCTGGCCCCAAAACTAAGGTTGGCTGCTCATGGCCCTGTGGCCTACCTCCCCGCAGCCCGGGCTAAGATTAGCAGAATGAGGCAGCGCTCACGCGGTCATGAGCCACCAGGCCTGGATGAAAGGCCCTTCTTCCGGTCGGGCCAAAGAAAGAAGCTGAAGAGATGGAGGAAATTCAGAGCAGGTAGAGGAATGAGACAGACAAGGGATGCAAGAAGATTCAAGGAGTGATGCTTGTGAGGCGGCAGAGGAGAGAGGATGGAGGAGGAGGAGCTGAGGCCCTCAACCCTGGCACTTCCGGCAGCGACGTCCCGGACAGGAGGGTCCTCCCTCGGCCCTGGGGGTAGATACAACGGGGCGCCTGCTGGAGCCCGGCCCAAGGCTAGAGGCCTGGAGGTTTTGGAGCCCTTGGGTACCACGGTCAGTTCTGGAGGCCGAGGGGCCTGCTTCCTGCCCGAGAGGGTGGCGTGCGGATGGCCGCTCCAGGTGGCCTGTCCTCTCTGGAGGCAGGGCCCGGGGCCCTCCTGAGGGCGACTCACAGCTCAGAGAGGACGTACGGCTCCAGGATGACCATGGGCGGGGTGGGCGGACGCAGCTTGCCCAGCGCCATGATATGCTCGAAGGTGATGTCGGTCTGAGTGCCACTGTCCACCAGCTGCAGGTCGTGACAGGAGCTGTCCCCCCGGAGGCGGGGGCTGCGTCTCAGCACCTGGATCACCAGGGGCTCCTTGGAGGAGCGCAGGGCCTGCAGAGTTTGCTCCTGAGACAGCTTGGAGAGCTCCTTCCCGTTCACCTGCGGCAGAGACACGCCTCCGTAAGAACCCTCAAAGGCTTGCTCCTCCCCTCTGAGGTCAAGGCAGAGGCCCTAGCTGGCAGGACCTGGGCTGACAACCAGCACCCCAAGCCACTCAAGCAAGGAATCTGCTGTCTGCAGCCCTGGCTACCTTTGGTGCCCCTGTTCCCAGGCAAGCCCCACTGCTCAGCCTTCATCCCACTGAAGGCCAGCTGGGGATCACCAAGTCACACCAAGGACTGGGGGACCCAGCCTCTGTGCACTGGGTCTGGAGGCTGTGATACCGCCCTACAACGTCCTCCAGACACTGCTTGAGCTCTCCTGGCCTCTCCCCATCCGGACCCACTTCTTTCTAGGGCGGCACTGAGGCCAGAGCTAGCATGAAGATCCCATTGAGTTCCTTGGCAATGACTGGACCATAACAGCCAACACTCAGTGAGCATCTGTGTTGTGCTCATTCAGCATCAAGCAAGAGGATGACCTTGACTCTTCAGATGAGCCGAGTCTCTCAACAAATGTCTACTCACTAGGGAGGGCCAGGGTCAGGTTGGGGGACAAGTAGGAAGATGCCTAAAGATACAGTGTTGTGTCCTCACAGTGACAACTGACTTGCCCAAGAGAAAAGGCCTTGATGTACAAGAAGCCCCCTGGAACTGCAAAGTAGCCTAAAAGAGGTGCCAAGAAAGTGGTCCTTATAAAGCCACCACTAGGCCGGGTGCGGTGGCTCACGCCTGTAATCCCAGCACTTTGGGAGGCCTAGGCGGGCAGATCACGAGGTCAGGAGATCGAGACCATCCTGGCTAAACACAGTGAAACCCCATCTCTACTAAAAATACAAAAAATTAGCCGGGCGTGGTGGTGGGCGCCTGTAGTCCCAGCTCCTCGGGAGGCTGAGGCAGGAAAATGGCATGAACCCAGGAGGCGGAGCTTGCAGTGAGCCGAGATCGCACCACTGTACTCCAGCTTGGGCGACAGAGCGAGACTCCGTCTCAAAGAAAAAAAAATGCCACTACTGTTTTTTGGGCACGTGCCATGTGCTACATTCTGGGAAAGACCCCTGATGTGGGTCTCCACAAAATCCTAACCCCCAACAACCTTGAGGGAGATGCCATTATTGCAGATGAGGAAACCATGTCAGCAAGCTCAGCAAGGTTGTGGCACTGAGTCAAGGTCATGAGCCAGGACAGGCTGCCCGGTGGCCAGAAGGAGGGGTCAGGGAGGAGGAGGCCATCGCGGGCCAGGGCCCAAGGCGGAAGTAGGACCTAAGCAGCTCTGCGGGATGCTGTAGGGGTGAAGGAAGGACAATGAAGGGTAGCAGAAGGAAGCCCATTACGCACAGCGCAGGTGGTGGGGCAAGCAGTGCCCACAAGGTCGAAGGCTGCTTCCGCAGCACCCTGGGACAGTATGCTGCGACCTTCAAGTCCTCCTTGGGGAAGGGAGGCAAGTAGAGAAGGGACGAATGACTAAGGACCAAGAAGGACTGAACAGACTCCACCAGAATTCAGGGCACGTGCCATGGGGCCAGCAAGGGTCAGCAGGAAGCACTTCTAGGAGGAGGCAGCTCGAGGCAGGCGTGCAGGGTCTCCTCATGGGCTCAGCGGCTTATGGAAGGGCTGTTCTGGGCCTGGGGAGGCTACACACTAGCATTATGCCCAAATGGCTATGCCCCGCAGGTGAGCGTGGGGACAGACCTTACCCACAGCTAAGGGAGCACACGGCTGGCCATGCACGCCTCGGTGGGAGGCGGGGAAGGCTTCTGGAGCAGGGGACACCTGGCCTCCATCAGGCAAAGGGAACAGGGCCAAGAAAAGACCCAGGGAGGCTGGTTTGCAGTTGGAAGCAAAGCCCCCAGTCAGCACAGAGAGGGCAGGGCGAGGAGACCCAGAGTCCGCCTAGGGATGGAGCAGGCTGGGAGCTTGTGCCAGATGAGAGGGCAGAAGGGCCCTGGGCATGGGCGCAGGTGGCTGCGCCTGCACGGAGCCCTCTGCTTTTCCGAGTTGTGCGAATATTAGCAAGTTTAGAAGAACTCTCTGTCCTGCATTCTCACGGCGGCACCTCCCACCCCGGGTTTCTCACAGAGATGTCAATTCTGACGGCAAAATCTTGTCTTAGTGCCCGCGATACAGTAGAACCACCGCTGTACGAGTCTTTTCGGGAAGACAGCTATCTGAGGAGAGCCCAGCTTGTCCTCGGAACCCCTGTGGCCTCAGCAGCGGCTCCTGCATTACTTTTTTTCTATTTGACTATGTCCTTGTAGATAATCATTGAAGTTTTCTATGTCTCCCTTCTCCCCAAAATTTTCATATTCTGAAAAGAGCTTTTTGTCAAAATCAGTTTTGTCCGATTATAAAAGAAACACAGTTCATTTTTTTGTTTTTTGGGGGCTTTTTTTTGTTGAGATGGAGTCTTGCTCTGTTGCCCAGGCTGGGGTGCAGTGGCACGATCTTGGCTCACTGCAACCTCCACCTCCTGGGCTCAAGCAATTCTCCTGCCTCAGCCTCCCAAGTAGCTGGGACTACAGGTGTGTGCCACCACACCCAGCTGTTGTTTTTTTTTTTTTAGACAGAGTCTTGCTCTGTCATCCAGGCTGAAGTGCAGTGGCATAATCTTGGCTCACTGCAACCTCTGCCTCCTGGGTTCAAGTGATTCTCCTGCCTCAGCCTCCCCAATAGCTAGGATTACAGGCACCCACCACCACGCCTGGATAATTTTTGTATTTTTAGTAGAGATGGGGTTTCACTATGTTGGCCAGGATGGTCTCAAACTCCTGACCTCAAGTAATCCTCCTGCCTCAGCCTCCCAAAGTGCTGGGATTATAGGCATGAGCCACCGCACCTGGCCATGCGGCCTGTTTCCTTCCAGTCTGTTTTCTATGTGTGCCATTTTGCAGCTGCAGGCCCCTTAAGGTCCATCCACACCAACACACCAGTGGACCATCATGTTCATCATCACATCAGTAAGGGTGGCTTTGATTTTTTATTATAAAGAATGTGGCAAAGACACATTCTGGGGTCCATTTTATACATTTTTCATACTTAAATCTTTGTGTAACCAGTGGTTGTCAAGGTGGAGAAAATTTCTTGAGGTGGAATTTCTGGATCAAATACTATAAAGGAAACAGCTTTCAGCCAAGAAGGTATTTGTTGGAAGACCGTAAGAATGTCAGTCAGGACAGGGCATGCTGTGCTTGGTGGAGAGGCTACAGTTAGAAAGGCAGGATGGAAGAGGGTGGGCGGCAGCAGAGTGTGGGTTCAGGAAGGCTGTAGACAAAGGGACATGATGGAATGGCCTCGACACTCTCAGCAGCAGTGGCTAGAGCCAACTGAAGCTGGGAAATTTGGAAGCCAGTTGTCAAACACAGCGATTATTGGTATTTTAACCGTAGAAATGTACAGGTAACTGAATGATATTAACAACAAAGGCAATAAATCCTCGGAACACATCACTGTCTAATTATCTTACTACACTTTTCTGTCATCTGTGCTTTTGGGGTTATTCACATCTGGTATGGGAGATGGAAATACTATGTGTGCATTCCCCCAACTCCAAGTTCAGTGACATCGCAGTGGTGGCTTGAAATCGGCTATAGTGGCAGCATTTACACCAGGGAAATCGGCAAATGCTCCAAATCAGGGCTTTTTGTCTGGGAACATTTACCACCTTACCACTGCCCTTGAGGAGAAGCCAACACACAAGCAGAAGGGCTCGGAGCTGTCCTCAGGGTTTCTTCCTGAACTCCCGGGGCAGGACAGCAAGCAGGCAGTGGGATGCTCAGGTGACAGAGATGACAGAGAACGCACGAATGCCTTTCTACCCGGAATCATTACCGAGCAGCAGTGTTGCTATGGAAACTGAGGAGCGCTTGCTGGGCGGGCTGGCGGAGGCTGGGATGTCAAGAGGGGGATGGGCGTGGGCACAGCCTCAGCACCTCGGATCAGCAGCAACCAGAGTGATCGCCTGTGACAGCCAGGCAGGTATTTGGGTGGAAGCCACGGGCTCCTGAAGCCTTCTCGCTCTCTCTCTCTCTCCTCCTCATCGGTCATGCTGGACCCCCAAGGAAGAAATGAGCTCCCCTCTGGGGAAGGGCTAAGGGCTACCAACAAGGTGGGAAAATATGGGGCCATGAGCAAAGAGGTATAGGGCCAGGCACATGGTAAGGAGCCACACTGTGGCCCTTCTGATGACAGCAGCTCTTCCAGTCCTGCTCAGAGCCTTGCCTCCCCGCCCCACCCCCAACCATCCTGAGGTAGCACACTGGTAAAGCCACCCCTGTAATGCCCCAACCCTCGGATTGCCTACTCGACCACTCCAGTCTCTAAAAGGCACAAACACTCAACATGGCCAACCCCAGGCTTGCTTCCCACCAGACTCTCCCTCCTGCCCCACCTGCAAACGTTTCCACACCCTGGGAGCTCGCCCCACCAAGACAGAAGACCTAGTCCAAGCCCTGGCCAAGCAATTCCAATTGGATCAAAGACCTACAGGGACAAAGCAAAACAAGAGAACAATATCTTTATGGTGTGGGATAGAGACGAAATTCTCAATATTTCAAATGGGGAAGCAATAATGGAAGAGATGTAAAACTTCTAGACGACAAAAGACACCCTAAACACAGTAAAAAGGCGGGCTCAGAGGAGAGCCTTACAATGCATGGACCTCATAATGGGTTTTCCAGAATATGCAAAGAATTCCTACAAAACAACAAGAAAACACAGACACAAACAACTCAAGAAGAACATGGGCAAAGGATATCAACAGGTGCTCAGGGCAAAGGGGACCCACTAGCAAGCACTTGGAGCCATGAGATGAGAGGAGATGCCCTTCAGAACCACCACCAGGAGGACCAGGAGGATGTGGGCATGAAGGCCACAGTGGCCAAACACCAGGGACAGCCCAAAGGTCTGCCAGCAGTCGAACAAACAATTCCTGGTATTCCGCATGTGCAGTTAATGGAGGCGCACATAATGGAGGCTCATTCGTAGTATGTACTTGGTGGAAAACACGGCAGAGAGGCGAGCAGATGAAGTGCGTAGGGGATGGGTGGGCACAGGCGGCTTCAATCTGCTTTTAATACCTTCTTCAAGGAAAAACGCTCAGGCCAACAGGACCCACATCAAGGCTGGGTGGCAGTGCTGGTGCTAAGTGATGCGAGATGATGCCCCATACTTCTCCAGATGCTACAGCAAGTCCAGGAGGCCTCAAGATACCCAGGCTGGAGCTCAGCCTTTTATGTGTGATTGTCTAATTACCTCCCTTTCATTAGACAACAAACCCCAAGAGGGCTTCACCCTGAGTTCTACTTCCATCCCAACTCCTAACAGTTTGCTGAAGATAAAACTTTAATATGTTTCTTGGCTGAATTAAAATTTTATATATTTCTGTAATTTGTTGAATATATATTAAGGACCTGTAATTTATCTGATCTACCTTTTAAAAAATAATAATAATAAGAGATGGGGTTTCACCATGTTGCCCAGGCTAGTCTCGAACTCCTGGGCTCAAGCCATCTGCTTAGTCCCCCCAAAAGTGTTGAGATTACAGGCATGACCCAGCCCCTGAGTCTGATGTACCCGGACTCTACTAAAAATACAAAAATTGCCCAGCACGGAGGCTCACGCCTGTAATCCCAGCACTTTGGGAGGCCAAGGCAGGCAGATCACCTGAGGTCAGGAGTTCGAGACCAGCCTGGCCAACACAGTGAAACCCCGTCTCAACTAAAAATACAAAACTTAGCCGGGCATGGTGGTGCACGCCTGTAATCTCAGCTACTTGAGAGGCTGAGGCAGGAGAATCACTTGAACCTGGGAGGTGGAGGCTGCAGTGAGCTGAGATTGCACCACTGCACTCCAGCCTGGGCAACAGAGTCAGACTCCATCCACCCCCCACCCCCCCCCCAAAAAAAAGTCTCCTTCATCAAGTGCAAACTTCTCTCCTTTGGAACAATCCAGAAGAAATCCACTTTGCTTCTCTAGTATGGGGAGAGTGGGGATTGTTGACTGAGCTCATTATCGGAAAACTCTCACTATTGAATGTTTCCTTCATTGAGAGCAACCTCCCTCCTTTGGAACAATCCAGAAGAAACCCACTTTATCTTGCAACACTTCACGTACCTGAAGCCCACTCAAATGCCCCTTGTCCCCCCTCGCCCAGGTTCCCAGCGACTCTCATCTTCTCCAGTGCTCCCGTGCCATCCTGACCACGTGCTGGGCATCATGCTTCACCTTAGCGAGGTCACCCCGTGGCAGTCAACCCTGTTGACTGGGTAGTGAGCTGTGAGCCAAGCAAACCCTCAAAGCCTGTTCACAAAGACCCCTCCTCCATCACGTGCTAGCACAATAGATTTTGTACAAATTTTCGCATTTCCTTTCAAATAATCGAAGTGCTCAGAGCGCCACACTGAGGAGGCGGAGGAGCACAAAGATGAAAATACAAGTCCCTGGCACTCCGCTGCCCCGGGGAGTGCAGCAGCCTGTGAGCACACCACGGCTCAGCCAGGGGCTTGACGTGCCCCATGGCGACTCTTCAGCACACAGATCTACTTCCTTCCTGATTTGCTGCCAAGATGGGCCCAAGAGGGCTGACTCTAGGACTGCAGCTCCAATCTCAACCACAGTTGACATGAACGTCCTTAATTTCCACCATGGTCCCTGCTCTGAACAGGGGACTCAAGCCTTAGCAGGGCCCCTCTGCCTGAATGTGGCCCAAGTGGCCCTCACATCCTGCTTGGGACAGCCCAGTTCCCCTTTGCACACTGAGAGCACTCACTGCCCCAGGTCCCCTGCAAGCCCAGTTCCTCCTCCCAGCCGACCCCATCACCCTTTCTAGACACACTTAGTCTGAATCTTACCCCAGAGTGTAAAGTGGTCAAATTTCTGGAGAAGAATTTGTCAATAACTATAAAAACCCTTGAAAACGTTCATGGTAGCCTTTGATCCAGTCAATGTGCTCTAAGTAATTTAGTCTAAAACAGTAATAATAATAATGGATATTACATGAATTTAATTACAAGGACGTTTACAATTTAATTACAAGGCTGTGGGCTCCAGGTCGGGGAGGGGACCTGGCGGCCTGGAAGGGGACCTGGGGAAGGAGGAATGAAGCACAGGCCCCACCCCTCCAGAGGAGGTGGCCCCAGGCCTTCCCCAGGGAACCCTGGGAAGCTGGTTCTTTCTGGAAGGCTGCAGAAGGGCCTGGCCATGGGTCCTGGAGGCCACTTAGGCTAGGCGGGCCTCAGGCCAGGAGGACTGAGCCATGCGCCCTCCCCACAGCGCAGCCCCTCTGCACACACCCCGCAGCTGGTCCCTCTAAGACTTGCGGAAAGGGCTCTGAGTGGCCGAGCTGTGGCCCCTGATCTCCCAACCCAGCATCTGAGCAGAAGAGGACAGGAGCTGGGGCACTGATCGCCCCAGGCCCGGTCGGCAGGGTGGGGGCCAGGGCCGGCAGGATCCCGGGTTGCGCTGCCTTCCGAGGGAGCCGGTGCCCACCCAGCGGCCTGCAGCCCAAGGCAGGGTGCCCTGAGAAAGCCACCGCCACCCCCAGCCCCTCGGTGTGAGCAAGACCCCCAGCTGGTGGGTCCCCACCCACCAGTGGGGCTCCCAGGCCTGTCGGGGGCTCGGTGGTGGGCCTGGATGCTAGGGGGGCAACGTGCGGCAGGGACCAAGCTCTCCCGCCCACAGATGAGTGGGAGGGGGTCGTGGTGGGCATGGGAAGACCTTTCCAACAATCAGGTGTGTTGGGGGGTGAGCAAGGCAGGGGAGGGGCCCTGGCAGGTGGGGTGCCAGGGACCCCAGGGCTGGGGCTAGGCCTGTGGGTGGGGCGTGTGCTGGGGATTCTGTGGGCCGAGGACATGTGACTCCCGGGCAGGCTGGAGATGCTGGGGGGTGGGCCCGGGAAGCACGGGAGATGAGGGAAGAGGGGGGAATCCTGCCCCACCTGCCCTGGACAGGGTGCCCCATAGGAAAGGAGTGCCAAGGAGCTGAAGGGAGAGACGGTGGATCCAGAACACACCCCCCATCCCGTTCCGCTCCCCAAGGGGCTTGGTTGGAAGGTGGGAGGGGACAGAGACAAAGCTGCCTGGGTGGGTAGAGTGGTCAGGACAGCCTCTCTGGGTCGGTGACACTTGAGCTGAGACCTAAATGATGACAAGAAACCAGCCATGCTTCCTTCCTTGTAGCGAAGGGAGCTCCCAGGAGAACAGACTGTAAGGGCCAGACCAGCAGGCAACGGCAGTGGTCCAGACCACAGATGATGGTGGCATGACCCCAGGGGTGGCAGTAGAGGTGGTGGGATGTGGTCAGAGTCAGCTTGGGTTTTAGAGGTAGGCTGCCAGGACCTGCTGTTGGGCTGGGGGCAAGGGACAGTGAGGGCTTGAAGAAGACATCGAATAAGCGCAGGAAAAGACGCGTCAGCACCGGCCAGTACGCACAGAGGAAACACACACCCAAACCACAGTGAGATACCGCCGCACACCACGAGGAGGCTGGAATCAGTGAAAGGAAGCACGAGTATTGGAGAGGACGCGGGGACCCTGGAGCCTCACGCCTTGCTGCTGGGCATGTAAAATAGTGCAGCCAGGGAAGCAGTCTGGTGGCTCCTCACAAGGTTAGGTGTAGCTTATGTACATGACCCAGCAATCCCCAAAGAACTGAGAACAGGCGTGCAAAGAAAACTTACACTCAAATGCTCACAGCAGAGTATCCATAGTTGAGAACAGGCATGCAAAGAAAACTTATACTCAAATGCTCACAGCAGAGTATCCATAGTAACCAAGACTCGGAGGCAACCCGTGTCCACCAGTGGATGAATGGATGAGCGAGCACAACATGGTACACCCATCCCGACATAAAAAGAATGAACGACCGGCACACACGACTGCATGAGCACAGTCTAGCCAAGGCAAAGAGGCAGACAGAAAGCAGACGAATGGTTGCCAGGACCTGGAGGAAGGGGGGCCTGGGGAGTCACTGCTGAGGGATATGAGGTCCCTTTTGGGGCGATGAACCTGTTCTGGAACTAGACAGTGGCCACGGCTGCACAACATTGAGAATAGACTAAAAGTCACTAGTGGTAAATGTTATGTTATGCGTATCTTACCACAAGAAAACATAAAATTGCCACACAGGACCACAAGGACCAGGGGTATCCTCACAGCAGTGAGGAAGACCGAGGAAGGAAGGACTCAGGGATTAGGCCCAGGGCAGGAAATGGAAGGTTTTTATCTCTAGCTTGAACTTCCCGAGGCATGTGGACATCTCCAGTGCCCCACTCCAAATGTCTGGCCCAAGCCCAAGTCAGCTAACTGGGTGGCATGTGACCATTGCTGTTCAATTAAACTAGGAATTTTTCTTTATTTAAAATCATAAGATGACGGCCAGGCACGGTGGCTCAAGCCTGTAGTCCCAGCACTTTGGGAGGCCGAGACAGACGGATCACTTGAGGTCAGGAGTTCGAGACCAGCTTGGCCAACATGGCGAAACCCTATCTCTACGAAAAATACAAAAATTAGCAGGGCGTGGTGGCAGGCACCTGTAATCCCAACTACTTGGGAGGCTGAGGCAGGAGAACCACTGGAACCCAGGAGGTGGAGGTTGCAGTGAGCCCAGATCACACCACTGTACTCCAGCCTGGGCAACAGAGCAAGACTCCGTCTCAAACAAAAAAAGAATCATGAGATGAAGCTGGGCGTGGTGTCTCGCTCCTGTAGCCCCAAGTGGTGGAGGAGGTAGGGGGCAGGCGGTAGGGCTGAGGCAAGAGGATCACCTGAGCATTGGGAGGTCAAGGCTGCAGTGAGCCGTGATTGTGCCACTCCACTCCAGCCTGAGCAACGGACTGAGACCCTGTCTCAAAAATAATAAAAATTTAAAAATAAATAAATAAAAATTTAAAAAGCAAAAGCATGAGATGGAGGAGCTCACCTAGGGAGTGAATGTAGTCAAGAACAGGAGAGGCCCAAGGAGAGTCCTGGGGCACCCTGACACTGAGCCGGTTGGGGAGAGAGACTAGAAAGTCCCGGGAGGGAAGCCGAGGAGCTGCTCAATGCACTGGGTCGGAGCCCGGGAGGGGAGGGCGAAGGTGGGGCCTCTGGATTTGCTAAAAGGTGGGAGGGGGCCGGGTGGGGAAGCTCGACCTGCATCGACACAGCCTTCCGGAGCTTTTTGCAGAGAAGGAGCAGGTTGGGTTTTCAGGAACATCAGAGGGGCGGCTGAATACCGATGGAAGAGCAATTCGCAAGGCCAGGGAAAGTGCTGGCACCGCTTTCCCCGCATGAGGGGGACATGCGGGCAAGGGAGGGGGGACACAGGGACAGGGGAGGGGGCAACACCGGGCAGGCGAGGCAGGCATGACGCGAAGTCGGCCCCACGGGCAGTCGCTGTGGGGCGGCGATCTCCCGCTGGGCAAGGGACTGGCGGGCCTTAGGGGACGCGGGAAGCGGGGCGCCCTAGGCGGAGAGGGCGGAGCCCCAGGCGCGCTCGCCCCGCCCCCTGAGCCCGGAGCCGCAGACAAAGAGCGCGCCGCGACGGCGGCGGGGTGGCTGCGGCTGCGGGAGCAGGGCGGACCACACTCGTCCCGGCGCCGCCACGCTGGTGGCTGTATTGGCAGGACTCCTGCCCGCCCGCCCCGCCAACCCCGTCGGAGGCTGAGCTCTGTTTCCAGGCTCTGCCCCAGGCACCCTCCTGCACCCAGCGGTGGCAGGCGCACAGCCGGGTGGGGCGCGACGCCCTCTTGCTGATCAGGAATCTCTGGGAAGCCGAGAAGAGAGGCCGGAGAGGCTAAGAAAACAGTTGTGGCCTGGGAGACTCGCAATCCCAAGTGCTTGTCACACGGCGCCTGCGACCCCTTTCACTCTCACTGGCAACGCGCGGGATGGGAGGTGAAGCCACATCACTTCCAGGGGCCCCCGTGGCTGCCACGGAGGTGGGGGGGCTGCCACCTTCGGACTCCCCTTACCCCACTGCTGTAGAGTAGGAAACAAGCTGGGGAAGGACAGAGACAGGAAGTTATCCTCTGCCCGGGGCCGAGCTCTGACCTGCCTGCTGGCTCTCAGCTCTGCCGTCTGGAGTATCCAGGACACCTTGGAAGCAGTTGTGACTGTAGCTTCCAGGCCAAGTCAGGCATCGGGGGATCTCCCAACGAGTAGAGCATCAGAGGAGAAAGGAGAAGCCGCAGGCTCACTACATTCACCCACTCAGTGACCCAGCAAAGTCCCCATTCATGTTTCCCCAGCTCGGGATTTTGAAAATTGTCCGCCCACAAGCATGTGGGAACATCTGCAGATTCCCCACACCTGCTCTCGGGGTTTCTACACACACATGTGCAGAAGCATTTGAAAGCAAGATGCCATCAGTCCCATTCTCCGTGGAACCACAACACCCTTAGCACGGAATTCCGCACTCATACAATGGGCCAGCCTCACATCTCCCCAGCTGTCCCGCTAACACCCTTATAGCTTTTTTTAAAAATCTAGGATTTGAGGCTGGGCACAATGGCTCATGCCTGTAATCCCAGCACTTTGGGAGGCTGAGGCGGGCAGATCACAAGGTCAGGAGTTCGAGACCAGCATGGCCAATATGGTGAAACCCCGTCTCTACTAAAAATACAAAAATTAGCCGGGCGTGGTGGCTTGCACCTGTAGTTCCAGCTACTAGGGAGGCTGAGGCAGGAGAATCACTTGAACCCGGGTGGCGGAGGAGGTTGCAGTGAGCCGAGATCGTGCCACTGCACTCCAGCCTGGGCGACAGAGCAAGACTCCATCTCAAAAAAAAAAAAAAAAAAAAAAAAAGCGAGGCGTGGTGGTGCAGCCTATGGTCCCAGCTACTTGGGAGGCTGAGGCAGGAGAATTGATTGAACCCAGGAAGCAGAGGTTGAAGTGAGCTGAGATCACACCATCACACTCCAGCCTGGGTGACACAGAGAGACTCCATCTCAAAAACAAAACAAACAAACAAAAAATCTAGGATTCAATCAAGAAGCACACATATTACATTCGGTTGTTAGGTCTCTAGTTATTATGTCTCCTCTCTAATCTAGAAAAAAATATATATATTTTTTACTTTAATGGGAATGACTTCTTGGAAGAGACCAGTCCTTATAGAATGCGCCAGAGTCTGAATTTGCCTGATTCATTCCCGCGGTGAGATTCAGGCTGAGCGTTTTGACAAGAGCACCTTGCAGGAGATGCTGTATGTCTCCTCCCCAGCCCTGCATCTGGCGGCTGGCAGGGTCAGGCTGCCCCACTGTTGGGGAGGCTGTTTGATCACATGGTCCAGGTGGCAGCTGCCAGATCTCTCCTCTGTAAAGACGCAGTTTCCCTTCCTGATTCACAGGTAATTTGGGGTAATATTTGGAGACTTTGTGAATATTCTGTCCCCAACGACCTTACATCTAATGGTTTTGGCATCCAGTGATGATTTTTGCCTGAATTAATTACTGCATTGGTGGCTGCAAAATGTCTCCACCAACATGTTAGAATTCTAGCAGGGACAAAGAGGTGACAGGCCCGGCAAGTAGCATGGCTGCCCACGCCCCCAACTGTGGCCTCCTGGGCAAGCCACACCACCCGCTTCCATAACTCTGTGCCCACCCTTTCTGCCTGGGGGCAGGAGAGACAGAAACATGGGAGGGCTTCATCTCAAAGGCCTTTGAGCAGTTAGTCGGGGGAGGGGTGTCTGGGCGTCCATGAGAGACATGTATACCGGTAGGGGTGCCGGTGACAGGGAAGGGGGTCAGTTAGCTGCACATGGCAGGGAAGAACAAGTTATGTCCTGTAAAGCCCTCACGTAGGCAACGACTCCTGGATGTTCTGATTTACCCTCTATGTGTGTTTTTTTACCCTCTATTTGTAAACAATTTTTACCCTCTATTTGTAAAAAAAAAAAACAAAACAAACAAACAAAAAAAACAACACCTCACTTCACCACCCATGTTAATGTGGTTTGGGGCTACCATAGATCTACTCCCGGTCCCTACCCAAGGCCCTGGCTACTCACAGCCAGTGGGATCCACATCACCTGGGAGCTTGTGAGAAGTGCAGAATCCCAGGCCCCATGCTAGTGGCTCAGTCAGAAAGTGCACCTTAACAAGGACTTCGGGTGGAGGGTGGCGCTGTACTGACTCAGAGCGCGCCCTGGAGGAACCAGGGCAGACCTCAACGAAGGCCTTCTGCATGAGGGCATCTTTCTTTCCCCTCACTTCTCCTTCCCTCCCCGAAGCCCAGGGTCTGCTGAAGTCTCATCAATCCACCTGGCCCCCACCTTTCCGGGAGAGCGGCGGCCTCTCAGACACCTCCATAGTCCTGGCTCAGAAGCAGAAAGGAGGCCGGGCGCGGTGGCTCACGCCTGTAATCCCAGCATTTTGGGAGGCCGAGGCAGGCGGATCACTAGAGGTCAGGAGTTTGAGACCAGACTGGCCAACATGATGAAACCCTGTCTTTACTAAAAATACAAAAATTAGCCAGGCGTGGTGGCAGGTGCCTGTAATCCCAGCTACTCGGGAGGCTGAGGCAGAATTGCTTGAACCCAGGAGGCGGAGGCTGCAATGAGCCGAGATCACAACACTGCACTCTAGCCTGGGTGACAGAGCAAGACTCTGTCTCAAAAAAAAAAAAAAAAAAAACACACAGGAAAAGAGGGGTGTCCCACACCTTGCACAGGAAAAGCCAACCACTTCCTGAAGCCATTCTCAAGATCAACCTTCGGGTACATATTCACAGCTTTCCAGGCACGTGGCCCAGCAACTAAACCCATCCTCCCACCCACCTCAGGCTAACCTGACTGGCTAAGGGCACAGTTCACATCTAGCAACAATCAAAGCAATATTCCCTCTGCAGCGTTTTACAATCAAAGCAATATTCCCTCTGCAGCGTTTTTCATTCTCAATGCTCCAAGCAGCCATGAGGACAGGCAGAATGCACTGAAAGGGAGGA
Organism: Homo sapiens; assembly: GCF_000001405.40. Classification (NCBI taxonomy): domain Eukaryota; kingdom Metazoa; phylum Chordata; class Mammalia; order Primates; family Hominidae; genus Homo; species Homo sapiens. Next base: position 153,822,517 of record NC_000023.11, read on the forward strand.
CATCTTGTCCAGCCCCAGGCTGCTCAGCCTCGCCTCCTCCGGCCCAACTCCTGTGCAAAATGACCACATATGCCTCCGCTTTGTTCCCTGTCCATCTGTTTTTTCTTTCTCTCTCTCTCTCTCTCTCCCTCCCTCCCTCTCTCTCTCTCTCTTTCTCTCTGTCTTTCTTTCTTTTTTTTCCAGACACAGTCTGGCTCCATTGCCCAGGCTAGAGTGCAGTGGTACAATCACGGCTCACAGAAGCCTCCAACTCCTGGGTTCAAGCAATCCTCCCACTCAGCCTCCCCAGAAGCTGGGACTAGAGGCGCATGCCACTACGCCTGAGCAATTTTTTATTTTTGTAGAGACAAGGTCTCAATATGTTGCCCAGGCTGTCCTAACTAATATTGTACTACATCACACTTCTTCAAAACTTGGAGGTCCCTTTCCTGAGAGAAATTCTCAGAATAATATTGGACATTCTTCTGTCACTGGGCATTAACTGTGACATACCCAGATGTAAGGCCTTCTCCATATAATTTCCTTTTTCATTATTTTTTATTTAATTAATTTATTTATTTGAGACAGGGTCTCGTTCTGTCACCTAGGCTGGAGTGCAGTGGCTTGATCTTGGCTCATGCAACCTCCACCTGCTGAGTTCAAGCAGTTCTCCTGCCTCAGCCTCCCGAGTAGCTGGGACTACAGGTGCATGATGCCCAGCTAATATATATATATATATTTTTTTTTGAGATGGAGTTTCGAGCCCAAGCTGGAGTGCAATGGCGTGATCTCAGCTCACCACAACCTCCACCTCCCGGGTTCAAGCAATTCTCCTGCCTCAGCCTCCCGCGTACCTGGGATTACAGGCATGTGTCACCATGCCCGGCTAATTTTGTATTTTTAGTAGAGATGGGGTTTCTCTATGTTGGTCAGGCTGGTCTCGAACTCCTGACCTGAGGTGATCCGCCCACCTCAGCCTCCCAAAGTGCTGGGATTACAGGCGTGAGCCACCACGCCTGGTCAATTTTTTGTATTTTTAGTATAGATGGGGTTTCACCATGCTGGCCAGGCTGGTCTCGAACTCCTGACCTCATGATCCACCCGCCTCGGCCTCCCAAAGTGCTGGGATTACAGGCGTGAGCCACCGCACCCAGCCAATTTCCACTTCTTAATGACCAACTGAATGGCCCGAGGGCAGCAACTCCCTCCTCCACCCAGTGAGATCCCGGGGGACACACCATCTGTTTTCCTTGTCACAATGGCCCTCGGACGCAAGCACTCTTCACTGCCATTTCACAGTTGAGGAAACTGAGTCACTGAGCCAGTGGGCCATGCAGCGACTTGCCCCTGGCCACACAGCTGTCAGTTGGTGGCTGCCTCCATTCCTATCTCCACACTGCACTGCCTTCTCTGGCAGGGCCCCTGAAGTAGAAGGAAGGAAAGGACACCTTTCTCCCCAGGATGCGTGCATGTGGCCATGGAGTTCCTGTTCTAAAGCTTTGGTGAGGTCTGTTGCTGGGTGGTAACCTGCACATCTTCAGTGTGCAAAGGGCAGGTGTTCATATGTCATACATGAACCTGGGGAACCATCACCACCGTCAGGACAGTGGCCATTTCTATCTTCCCCAAAAGTGTCCTCATGCCCCTCTGCCCATCCCTGCAACCACGAATCTGCTCTCTGGCACTATCGAATTTCATTTCAGCAGACTGGACAGTCCTCAGGAACCCCGAGATGAGAGGGGAAAGGGCATTCTACAATCTTGGGACAATGACACAAAACAGGATGACCTGGTCCAGAAGATGGCAGTCAGAATTCAGTGTCCAGCCCTCTGTTCTTCCACTCCACAAGGACTTTCTCAGAGCCTGCTTCTTCCCCAGTCAGCTTCTGCGGCAGAACCACTGAGTTGACTGAGAGTCCAGCTTTCCCCTGGAAGGGTGGAGGCCAGCGTGGATGTGCTGGCAGCATCTGGTGCTGGTGAGGCGGGGAGGCAGAGTGCCCATGCCAGACCCAAATCCCTGCTCACAGGAAGCCCCCATGCAAGCAGGAGGGAGCCAGAGAAGCCACCTGGCTTGGTGGGTGGGAGAGCAGTTTGGAGGAAGACGTCGCTGAAGAGGGGACACTGGCTGCCAGCCACGCTCCCGCACTCAAGCAGTACTTTCTCTCCCCCGCAGTTGCCTACATGTTGGCGATGGTCTCCCCCTTACAAAAAGGGGAGCCTGGGGCCAGGCGTGGTGGCTCACTCCTGTAATCCCAGCACTTTGGGAGGCCGGTGTGGGTGGATCACCTGAGGTCGGGAGTTCAAGACCAGCCTGACCAACATGGAGAAACCCCATCTCTACTAAAAATACAAAATTAGCCAGGCATGGTGGCGCATGCCTGTAATCCCAGCTACTCGGGAGGCTGAGGCAGGAGAATCGCTTGAACCCTGGAGGCGGAGGTTTTGGTGAGCCCAGATCGTACCATTGCACTCCAGCCTGGGCAACAAGAGCGAAACTCTGTCTCAAACAACAACAACAACAACAACAAAAGGGGAGTCTGGGGGAGGGGCAAGGCCCTGTCTGCAGTGTCTCCCTGCTGAATGCCACGCACCCAGGATGGCTGCCAGCACCATGGGGGCTCACATGCAGGTGCTTTAGGCAAGAATGCCTGGGAGATCACCAGAAGGGCTGGCCAGCTGTCCTTTGGCCTCCCTCGATGTGGACAGAGGGGAGATGACAGGCGGTCCTGACCCACTCCCCCTGTAAAGCCTGAGTAGGATGGGCGGGAGACCAGTCCTAAGTACCAGGGGTTTATCCCCTGACCATCTCCGGCGTGCTCGGATGCTAGCAAGCACATCATGGTGTCAGAGAGGGGGTGCCAAGGCCAAGACAAGTTCAGCAGAGTGTGGACCACGATGAGATATATGACAAGGGGGCCTGGTGGCAGTGGAGGGACATGGGCTGCAGAAAAGGCTCCGGAGCTGGGGACATGCTGTTTCCTGCCTTCCATTCTGGGCAACCAGCCTGCTTCCTTTTCCTAACTCAACACGCAGTAATCCTCCATTTTCAGGGGAGGTCCCAGATTTTCCAAACTAGGAGGACATGATTGGAATATAGGAATGGGGCTGAGGTTCCGACATGACACACGAAAGTGCCTGTGACAACCCACATCCGTGGAATAAAGGAACCATGTGGTCATCTCACTAGCCACAGAAGCAGCACTGCACAATCCAATGCCTCTCATGATAAAAACACACTAGGAATAGAATGGGAACTTCCTTACCCTGATAAAGGACAGCTATGAAAAAGCCACAGCTAACTTTATACCCCCTAGTGAAAGACTGGAAGCTTCTTTACCTTTAAGATGAGGAACAAGGGAAAGACATTCACAGGCACTTCTATTCAACATTGTACTAGAGACTCCAGCCAGAGCAAATTAACAAGAAAAAGAAATCGAAGGGCCAGGAACGGTGGTTTACACCGGTAATCCCAGCACTTTGGGAGGCCGAGGCGGGCAGGATTGCTTGAGGCCAGGAGTTCAAGACTAGCCTGGCCAACATGGCAAAAGCTCGTCTCTGCTAAAAATACAAAAATTAGCTGGGTGTGGTAGTGTGTGCCTGTAATCCTAGCTACATGGGAAGCTGAGGCAGGAGAATCACTTGAACCCGGGAGGCGGAGGCTGCAGTGAGCCGAGATTGCACCACTGCACTCCAGTCTGGGTGACAAAGTGAGACTGTGTCTCAAAAAAAAAAAAAAAAAGAAAGAAAGAAAAGAAAAGAAATCAAAGCCATCCAGATTGGAAAGGAAGAAGAAAAACGATTTCTATTTGCCAATGACATGATCCTAATATGTAGATAATCCTGAGGAATCTACTAAACAAATTATACTTAATAAACAATTTTAGTAAGGTCGCAAGATATAGGATCAATGTATAAAAATCAATTTTTTTTTTGAGACAGAGTCCTGCCCTGTCACCCAGGCTGGAGTGCAGCGGTGCAATCTCAGCTCACTGCAACCTCTGCCTCTGGGGTTCATGCGATTCTCTTGCCTCAGTCTCCTGAGTAGCTGGGATTACAGGCACACATCACCATGCCCCGTTAATTTTTTTTGTATTTTTAGTAGAGACGGGGTTCCACTATGTTGGCCAGGCTGGTCTTGAACTCCTAAGCACAGGTGAGCCACCCGCCTTGGCCTCCCAAAGTGCTGGGATTACAGGTGTGAGCCAACACGCTCAGCCAATCAATTGTATTTCTATACAGTAGCAATGAGAAGGCTGAAAGTAAAATTAAGAAAACGATTCCATTTATGATAGCATCATAAAGAAAATACTCATGAATAAACTTAAACAAAAGTGCAAAACATCATGTAAAGAAATTAAAGACCTAAATAAATGGAAAACGCACCCCATGCTCATGAACAATACTACCCAAATTGATCCACAAATTTGATGCAATCTCTATCAAAATGCCAACTGGCTTCTTTCCAGAAATTAACAACCTGATCCTGAAATTAATATGGAAACTTGAGGGACTTAGAATAGACAAAACAGTCTTGAAAAAGACGTACAAAGTTGGAGGACTCTCATTTCCTTACTTCAAAACTTACTACAAAGCTGCAGTAATGAAAGCAGTGTGGCGCTGGCTTAAGAACAGACATTTTTCTAAAGAAGATCCACAAATGGCCAACAAGCACAAGAAAAGGTGCTCATCATTTAGCTAACAGGAAGTGCAAATCAAAATCACAATGAGATACCACTTCACACCCAGCAGGACGGCCATAACAAAAACCCAGAAAATAACAACTGTTGGCAAAGATATAGAGAAATTGGAACCCTTATATGTTGCTGGTGGGAATGTAAACTGGTTCCAGCCACTGTGGAAAACAGTTCAATGGCTACAGGCACACACTCCAAAGAATTAAAAGCAAGGACTCAAACAGATACAAGTAGACCAGTGTTCACAGCAGCGCTATTCACAACAGCCCAAGGGTGGAAGCACCCCAAATGCTCATCAACTGACGAATGGATAAATATGTTGTATATCACAAAATGAAATATTATTTGGCAATAAAAAGAAATTGACTATTGATACATGGATGAACCTTGAAAACATTATGATTAATGAAAGCCAGACACAAAAGGTCAGTTTCTATGAAATGTTTAGAATAAACAAATCCATAGAGACAGGAAGTAGATTGGTGGGTGCCAGGGGCTAGGAAGTTTGAGGGAGAAATGGGGATGTGATTGCTAAGGAGTGCAGGGTTTCTTTTGGGGTGATGAAAACGTTCTGGAATTACTGGTGTGGGCTGCACAACCTTGTGAGTATACTAAAAACCACTGACTTGTACACTTTGAAAGGGTAAGTTGTGCAGTAGGAGAATGATAGCTCAATACAGCTGTAATTTTGGAAGTGTTGTGAGTCATTGGCAGAAAATGGCTTGGAACACAAGGCTAGGCTAGAGACTTGGGGGTTCCTGGCCTGGGGATCCCAGGCCTCTGTGGATTGTAGATGGAAGGCGCTGCAGATGCACATGTGCTTCTTTCTGAAAATCAGGCCCATGAAGTGCCTCACCCTGACAAGGTGCGGACGAGGTTACTCAGGGGGGACAGGGAGAAGTGCCCCCTAAAGATGGGGGAGCACCCGTGTTTAAGGAGGCCGGGAGGCAGGCACGGGGTCCCAGAAGCTGACCTGTCTTTTGGAACAAAAGCTCCTTCTCCTCTGAAGAGGCTGGGACCTGGTGATGCGTCCACCCCCAGAAGCGCAGTCCCCTGGGACAGCTCATGGCTTGCACTGCTTTCCGTATCTACTTTTTTCAGTCCTCTTGTTTTCCCTTAGTTGTGAAGGATGGTTCTCCTCGTAAAATCCCGGCTTTGATTGGGCCAAGGAGGAATGTAGAAAGTGAAAGTTTGCAGCCAAACTCCCACGGTTTCAAAGGGAGCCCAGCAGGAAAGCGCACAGAGGGCGCATGCGGCAGTGGCCCTCCTCCTGGCGGGTCTCCTTGGGGTGGGCAAGTCCCTTCCATGAAGGAGAGCTTAGGGCGCAGAGCAGGGAGGGCCCACCCAAGTTCACCTCCCTGAAGGCAGGCCCAGCCCGACCTGCCGAGGCCTTCCCGGAGGGCTGTGGGGAGCCCCAAGGGCTACCGGTGTCGTCCCATGGCTCATTTCAGGCCTGGGGTGCAGCTCGGGTCGCTCTCCCCTATCCACACGTCCCCACGAGGTTGGCCTTAAATGAAGTGCGACACCAATCCTTCTCCAGGAAAGTCAAAACGGCCCCGGAGGAATCGCTTGGAGAAATCGCTTGCCGTTTGATGGAATGACTCCCGAAAAGGAAGCAGGAGGATGGGATCCAGAGTCCCCGTCAACCAACCATCCCAGCCCTGGAATCCAACACGGATTCCACAGGACGCCCTCTCGGTCGCATTCCTATCCCGCTAGGGGGCTGGCAATGGCCACACAAGGTTTCCAAACAGCGGGAACAAGAGACGAGGAGTGGCAGCCGGGAACTGAGAGGGAAGAAGGCGGAGGACAGCGAACGGGAGAAGCCGAGGGCCCCGCGCACCCCCGGAGAAGGGCCGGGGAGAGAGGACCAGGAGCTCCGCCAGGGTGGGGCAAGATTTGCGTCCCCGCCCTGCCCCTCGGCTCCCGCACCAGGTGGCCAGAGGAGCTCGGCTCACAGCGTGAAGTCAGTCCCCGGATTCCTGGGAATTCTCCCCCGTGCCCAGCCCCTCCTTCCCCCGCCCCCGCCCCCGCCCCGGAGTTCTCGCCGATCCCTGCACGGGTTCCCCCACGTTCTCCCAAGCCAACACCCCTCCTGCAAAGCACTTGATTCCTTCCCAGTCCAGACCAATAAACCCGGGAGTTGAATCCAGGCCACTAAACGCATACCTGTCTGAGCCCTGTCTGCTCCTGGGTGCCTTGACCTTGACCTCCCTCCACTTAGCCCTAGGAGGTCTCAGCCCACAGCATCCGGGACATTTCTCTAGACAGTCTGCAGGGTGCACACAGAAAGTACACAAATGCGGGGCCGGGGGAGCCTCCGCGCACACAGAGACGGGGCACAGGAACGCACTCACGTAGTCACGCCACGCACAGGCAAGAAGCCCCGTTCCGGGCCGCGGGGCTGGGCTCCAGGTCCGAGCTCCGGGCCCCGCGTCTCCTTCCCTCCCCGCGGGGCCCTGCTGGTCCACGCCCCGCAAAGCCCGGCCAGGCACTGCCACCCGCAGAGAGCCCAACCCGCTGATCCCGGCGGCGCCCACTCACCCGAGACGCCTAAGGCCCGGGAGCCCATCGTTCGGGCAGGGCCAGGCGGGAGTGGGTGTCGGGGTGGGCACCCAGCCCCCGGACGGACTTGGACCGCGCCCGGGGACGCCCACGCACTCCCACGCTCCAGGCCCGCCGGGATCTAGATTCGGCGCCCCCCGCACGGCGGGAGCCTGGCTCCCTCCCCCGCCCTGGGTCCTGCGGGGAGAGCGTGTGCGGGGAACTGCGCTCGTTGCTATGCAACCTCCATCCCGCGCCCGCCGCACCGCGCCTCCCGGGACGGAAGCGCGCCCCACCCGGGCCAACCCCAACTTCCCACCCCACCCGTGGCTGGTTCCCACGGAGCGCCAACACCCAACAGCCCCAGGATGGGAGGGTGCGGACGGCTCCCTACCTTGTCCTCCTCGAGCCCTCCCGCTCTCCCACGCCCGCCGCTCCGGGCCTCCCCACTGGCCCGCTCCTCCCCGCGGAGGGCCGCGCCCCCGCCGCAGCGCCGGCGGCCCTACCTGCAGCATCACTTTGTACTGCTCCTCCGGTTTCTGGACCACGCACATATTACATCCCATGTTGCTGGCCGGCGAGAGGAGGCGGAGGGCGGGAACGGGAAGACGCCTTTCACTGACCCGGGCGCGGGACCTCGGGTCCCGGGCCGGGGCCAGGGGCCATACCCTGGCGCGGGGGGCGGGCCGCCTAGCGGGGGAGGGGGGCACGCCCCCGAGGTGGGGGCAGCGGCTCGCCCCTCAGGTTAACTCTTCGCTGGCCGAGGCCAGGCGCGGGCATGCTCCCTCGCACCCGGCCAGGAGAAAAAGGGCAGCGGGGGATGGGCGGGCGCGCCGGGCGTTGCCAGGCTACGGCCCCCCAGGGAGCGCGGGGGCGCGCCGGGCCGCCAGGGGCCGTCAGGGGCCGTGGGCCGCGCGCCTCCCCGCCCGCGGGGCCCGCCGCTGCCGCTGCCGCCTCCGGCTCCTGCCCATGGCCGCCAGCCCCGGGAGCCCGGCCCTCGCGCTCGGCGCCGCGGCCCGGCCCGCGACAGGGGGGCAGCGGCGCGGCGGCGGCCCCCGCCCGCGGCCAGGCCAGCGCCCGCGCTCCCGCCTCGCCCGGCCGCGCTCTCGGAGCTCCCGGCGCCCGCTCTTCGTCCAGCAGCCGCTGGCCGTCTCCAGCTCCCGCCCGGGACGACGGGCACGCGAGCGCGCCCACGGCGGCGGGGGAGGGGCGCGGGCACGGGGCGCACGCGCGCCGGGAGGGGCGGGGAGGGGAGCGGGGCCGGCTGCGGGAGGGAGCGGCGGGGGCGCTGGAGCCGGCGCGGGAAGCCGGGGGCGGGCGCTCGACGGAAGCGGGCGGGGGTCCTAGGCACCCCACGACACCCGGCGTCCGGTCCTGAGGGGCGGGCACCAGGCGCGTTGTCTGCGCGATGCCGCTCTGGGAGAGAGGGGTCCTGCCAGGAGGAGCAGTCTCCTGGGTCCCCCAGAGAGAGTCCGCGATTTCAGCCCCTCTCCCCGGTCTTGGACGCAGCAGCCCTCACGCCTCTGCTCCTTCCTCGGGCTTCGCCTTAAATGACTGCATCCCTCCTTCAACTCAGCCATTCCCTGCTGTCTTTGAAACGGACACCTTTGTTTAAAACAAGAAAGAAAGAGAGAAAGGGAGGAAAGAAAAGAAAGAGAGAAAGAAAAAAGGATGAGCGAAGCGTGGGGAGGGGGTGGGTCGTGGGGAGAGTGGCCTCGGAGGCCTTGGGACCCGGGCCTGCACACAGCACTGGCCAGCCTGGGCCCGCCGCCTACCTGTTCCTCAGCCCCAGCCCTCACCCGGTCCCCGCTTTCACAGCCCTTCCATCTCTTCCTCTTCTCTCCCACCACCTCCCCGTCTTCTTGGACAAGCCTGGAGGGAGAAGGCCTTTGCCTGGAAAGCAGCAGCGGGTGGAAGTCTGCGTTCCCAGAGGCTGCCCCGGCTGCAGGAGATCACTTGGAGAAATTGCTACATGCTTCATTTCCAGGTTTGGGCAAGTGAGGGAACCCCCAGCCACACGGGGCTGTTGAATCGGAGCCCTTCCTTTCCTCCCTGGCTCCTCGTTAGAAGAGAAATCAAGAATGGCGGGCCTGCCCAGAATGTGGAGAAGAGAGGCGAGTTTCTTATCCAGGGCTTCTCCCAGAAAGCAGAACTTGAGACAAGGGCTGGTGTGCAGGTTGCAACCTGCCACCCAATGGCTGGCTAGTCTTGAGGAATGGCGTCATATTGAGGGCTCAGCATCGGTCTCTGCAGCTGGTGGATGGAAGAACATTCACTAGCGGCAGTGTCTAGATGAGCCGTGGTAAGAGGAAGCCCTTGCCGTTGGGCTTATACAGAGCCTCCAGCCCTCCCACCATGGCCACTGGCATCGTGGGTCCATCGCATCCTGGGGAGAAGCTGGCTGACCTCCACCAGATGGTCCCCTCTGTTCGCTAGCTTCTGGCGCGCCCCCTCCACACTGCATGCTCCCCAGCGGCATGGGCGCGAAGACGAGCACGGGGCCCCACACTCTCCCTGAGCACTCCCGTAGGTACCTCTTCGCCAAACCTGTCTCTTCTTCCAATCTTCCTCCACCCGGGTCCCTGACCAGTCAGCCCAGCCATTTTCCACTGCCCGGGGGTCATGGACACCTTCATCTCAGGCCATTTCTCCCTCTACAAAGTAGACAACCTAGTGTCTTGCTCCCCTAGAGGATGTCCCCTCACTGCTGTCTCTCAGGGCCACCCTGCAAAGGGCCTCAGTGTGACAGCAGGTGTTTTTCCTAGTGGTGACATGAGATGACCAGTCGAGGACCTGGGTCTGAGTCAGTCATGGGGACACCCCATCACCACCTCCCATGAGGCCATAGGTGTGAGCTGAAGGGGCATACCAGTGTGAAAGAGCCGGGTGACCGGGGGTCTGGACTGCCTGGGCCTCAATGTGCCATCTCCACCTCAATATTCAGTTCACAATGGGTGGCTTGGGTCACACAGGCCCTGGATGCCCCATGATCAGGCTGTAAGTCTCTCCTAGGTCCCAGTAGCATGGCCACAGCTATGCTTTTTTCAGTGGTGAGTGAGTAGCTCTGCCACCGAAGGTGTGGCCCTGCCACAGCCTCTATGGTCCCTGCTGGGATCCTTCCATTGAGGCTTCCTGAGGGTTCCGCACAGCATCCTGGCCTACCATGGACAGATCCCTCCAGCACCGTTAGGTTGGCGGGCTCTCGCTGCTGGTGGCAGAGCAGCTTGCCCCGCAGCCCAGTCCTCCTGCAGGGTCCTTTCTTGCTCTGGATCCCACTCAAAACAGGTCTCAGTTAGCCGGGCGTGGTGGCACGCACCTGTAGTCCCAGCTACTCAGGAGGCTGAGGCGGGAGGATGGCTGGCCCCAGGAATTCAATGTTACAAGGAGCTGTGGTTGCACCACTGCACTCCAGCCGGGGCCACAGAGTGAGACTCAGTCTCTAAAACAACAAAACAAAAAAAGAACCGGTCTCGCCTGTGTGTCCGAAACCCCGCTCCATTAGACATTCCACCAGTTTGGTGATCTACCCAGCATCATGCCAGATAAATCCATTTTCTTGCTAAAGTTAGAGTCAGCTTCTCCCTGTAATCAGAAAACCCTAACAAATATACAGCCCTGGGAGAGCGTCCGGGAGGAAGGACATGAGAGACAGCTGATCATGGGGCAGTTACTGCGCTTGACAGTGCAGCTTGAGGACAGTGCAGTGACATCCCAGCACAGCAGTCAGGCTGGAGCGGGCGATTGCGCTCAAGATAGAGACAGGGTGAGGGCGGCACCACCATGCTCCCCGGGGCACTCCAGCATTCTTTAACCTGAAGATGGGTACCCAGGTGAGTCTGGCCCAGATTCCTATCTGGATGGGTCCTATCTTACTCTGTGCTGATGAGGTAGGTCCCTGCTCTCCCTCCACGTCCCAGAGCTTGGACCCACTGAGGATGCCATGACACCCCACAGAAGGGCTCCACTCTGACCCACCATAGAGAGCTGCAAAAAGGCCATGGTGCTCTTAGAAGCAGGACACACAGAAGATCCCACCCTTCTGACTACAGTTGTCCTTCGGTGTCCACGGGGCATGGGTTCCAGGCTTCCCCCTACTGGGGATACCAAAATCCATGGACACCCAAATCCCTGATCTAAAATGACATACTATTTGCATAGGACCTTTGCTCATCCTCTCTAATGCTTTAAATCTTCTCTAGATTACTTGTATTACCGGATGCAATGTCAGTGTTACATAAACAGTTATAGTGTAATGATTTTTTTTTTTTTTTTTTTTTTTTTTTGAGATGGAGTCTCACTCTGTCGCCCAGGCTGGAGTGCAGTGGCGCGATCTCGGCTCACTGCAAGCTCCGCCTCCCGGGTTCACACCATTCTCCCACCTCAGCCTCCCTAGTAGCTGGGACTACAGGTGCCTGTCACCATGCCCGGCTAATTTTTTGTATTTTTAGTAGAGACAGGGTTTCACCGTGTTAGCCAGGATGGTCTCGATCTCCTGACCTCGTGATCCGCCCAACTCGGCCTCCCAAAGTGCTGGGATTACAGGCATGAGCCCCTGTGCCCGGCCTGATTTGTTTTTTAATTTGTATTATCTTTATTGTTGTATTGCTATTTTTTATTTTTCAAGTGTTTTCCATCCATGGCCAGTTGAATCCTCAGATGTGAAACCCACGGATATGAAGGCCAACTGTATTTTTTCCACTGGATGCGTGCAATCCCCAGTCCCCAGCCCAGCCGTGTCAGATGTGTGAGTGGGGACCCATGTTTCCCAGGAGTCTCTAACGACCTTGCCCACTGGCTTTTCCAGAAGGGACTGTCAGGGAGGCTGAAGCCAGACCACGACCCAGAAACTCTGTCCAGCTCCCTTCTCCTGGGAGCCTTGGCCTGGAGTAACCGGGTTGCCCTTTCCTTACTTGGCCATGAGCTGAGTTTGCTGCTTTGTTTTCTCTCTCTCCATGGGTCGTGCTGTTGGCCTTGTATCTAAAGAAGTCATCACCAAACCCAGTGTCACCTGATGTTCCCATGTTATCCTCTAGGATTCGATAGTTTTGTGTTTTACATTTGAGTCCATGATCTGTTTTGAGATAATGTTTGTGAAGGATGGAAGGTCTGTCTCAGATCATTTTTCTCACAGTTCTGGAGGCTGGGAAGCCCAAGATCACAGTGCCAACTGGTTCCATGCCTGGTGAAGGTCTGTTCCATCAATGATATCTTCTCATGATGTCCTTACGTGTTGGAAAAGGGGAGTAAAGCAAGACCACTGCATGAAGCCTCTTTTATCAGGGCACTAATCCTGTTCATGAGAGTAGAGCCCTCATGACCGAATCACCTCTCAAAGGCCCCACCCTGCGATACCATCATCTTGATAATTAGGTTTCAGCATATGAATTTTGGAAGGCCACATACCTTCAAGCCACAGCAGTCTGTGCCTAGGTTCATTTTTCCATGTGGATGTCCAGTTGTTCCAGCACCATTTGCTGGGAAGGCTACCGTTTCTCCATTGAATTGCCTTTGCTCTTTGGTCTATTTCTGCTACACTTTTTTTTTCTTTCTTTCTTTCTTTTGAGACAGAGTCTCGCTGTGTCACCCAGGCTGGAGTGCAGTGGCACAATCTTGGCTCATTGCAACCTCCGCCTCCCGGGTTCAAGAGATTCTCCTGCCTCAGCCTCCCTAGCTGCTGGGATTACAGGCACCTGCCACCACACCCAGCTAATTTTTGTATTTTTAGTAGAGACGGCGTTTCACCATGTTGGCCAGACTGGTCTTGAACTCCTGACCTCAGGTGATCCACCTACCTCAACCTCTCAAAGTGCTGGGATTACAGGTGTGAGCCACCTGCACGTGGCCTACTACGCCATTTTTTCAGATGGGCAGGGCCCCGGAGGGCTTCTCATGTTCTCATATGAACGTGGTATTTTCCTTCTGTCTTTCGTTGTTGTTGCTTCAAGTTGACAGAGCCAGATTATCATTATCCATCAACACTTGTCCACCCAAGGCCCTCTTTCGTTTTATTTTCTGTTTAGAAAATAAGCTAAGGCCGTGCGCGGTGGCCAACACTTTGGGAGGCCGAGGTGGGCGGATCACCTAAGGTCAGAAGTTCGAGACCAGCCTGGTCAACATGGTGAAAGCCAGTCTCTAACAAAAATACAAAAAAAAAATAGCCAGATGTGGTGGTGCATGCCTGTGATCCCAGCTACTCAGAAGGCTGAGGCAGGACAATCACTTGAACCTGGGAGGTGGAGGTTGCAGTGAGCCGAGATTGTGCCACTGCACTCCAGCCTGTGTGGCAGAGACTCCATCTCAAAAAAGTAAATCAATAAGGCTGGGCGAGGTGGCTCAAGTCTGTAATCCCAGCACTTTGGGAGGCCGAGGCGGGCAGATCACAAGGTCAGGAGTTCAAGACCAGCCTGGCCAACATGGTGAAACCCCGTCTCCATTAAAAATTCAAAAAAATTAGCCGGGCGCAGTGGCAGGCGCCTGTAATCCCAGCTACTCAGGAGGCTGAGGCAGGAGAATTGCTTGAACCCGGGAGGCAGAAGTTGCAGTGAGCTGAGATCGCGCCACTGCACTGCAGCCTGGGGGACAGAGCAAGAATCCATCTCAGAAAATAAATAAAATAAAATAAATACAAAATAAGCTAATGAATGTCTGTAAGTCCACTGGCCAGCCCAGGAATGGGCCCCGTACCAATGCCCTACTGAAATACACCCAGGTGCTCTGCTGTCTCCCCAACACCACCTCCCCACTCCAAGATAACCAGTATCCTGCATTTTGCATTTATTATTCTCCTGCTTTTGAAAATTTTGATAGCAGCCAGGGCAACATAGTGACACCACGTCTTTACAAGAAATTAGAAAATCAGCCAGGCATGGTGGTGCGTTACTGTGGTCCCAGCTACTCAGGAGGCTGAGATGGGAGGACCACTTAAGCCCAGAAGGTCAAGGCTGCAGTGAGCTATGATCACACCACTGTACTCCAGCCCGGGTGACAAAGCGAGACCCTGTCTGGAAAAAATATATCAAAAAAATAAAAAATAATAAAATAAAATTGTGATAGAACACATATATAACACAACACTTGCCATTGTAACCATTTTTCAGTATGACTCAGTGGTACAACTGACTTGTGTTGTATAAGTAGAGCATTCACAATGTTCGGCCATCACCACTGTTTCCCAAACACTGCCATCGCCCCAAACAGAAACTCTGCACCCGTTGAGCAATAGCTCCCCAGTTCCTGCTCCCCCAGCCCCTGGTAACCTGTAGCCACTTTCTGTCTCTGTGAATTTGCCCATTCTAGATATTTTATGTAAGTGGAATCACCATATTTGTCCTTTTGTGACTGGCTTATGTGACTTAGCATGTTGTTTTCAGGTTGATGTATCTTGTAACATACATCAGAACTACGTTCCTTTTTATGGCGCAATAGTAATCTGTTGTGCGGGTGCACCACATTTTCTTTATCCATTCATTTGTCGATGGGTGCTTGGGTTGCTTCCCACTTAGGTTTTTTTTCAGCAGGGAGTAGAGTCTGGCTCTGTTGCTCAGAATGGAGTATAGTGGTGCCATCTCAGCTCACTGCACCTTCCGCCTTCTGGGCTCAAGTGATCCTCCCTCTGATCCTCCCACCTCAGCCTCCCAAGTGGCTGGGACTACAGGCACATGCCACCACACTCAGCTAATAATTTACAATTTTTTTTGTAGAGACAGGGTCTCACTATATTGCCCAGACTGGTCTCAAACTCCTGGGCTCAAACGATCCCTCCCCCTCAGCCTCTCAAAGTGCTGGGCTTACCAGTGTGAGCCACCACCCCCGGCCTAGTTTTTTTTTTTTTTTTTAATATAGCTGTATCATATATGCTTAAAATTATATGTTCTTTAGTTGAGTTTGGGAGGCTGAGGCGGGCAGATCATCTGAGGTCAGGAGTTTGAGACCAGCCTGGCCAACATGGTGAAATCCCATCTCTACTAAAAATACAAAATTAGACGGGTGTAGTGGCATGCGCCTGTAATCCCAGCTACTCGGGAGACTGAGACAGGAGAATCGCTTGAACCGAGGAGGCAGAGGTTGCAGTGAGCTGAGATTGTGCCATTGCACGCCAGCCTGGGCAACAAGAGCGAAACTCCATCTCAAAAAATAAAAATAAATAAACAGCATTGCTGTAAACATTTGTGTACCTGTCTCCTAGTGCAAGGGGGAGAAGTTGCTCTTGTATGTATGCCTGGGAGTTACTGTAAGATCAGCCAGCATGCAACTTTACATAAGCCCTAATTGTTTTCCAAAGTGCTCCTATCAATTTACACTTCCACTAACAATGTGTACAAGATCCTTTTTGATCTACATCTTTCTCATCTATTTTTTTTTAGACAGTCTTGCTCTGTAGCCCAGGCTGGAGTGCAGTGGCGTGATCTCGGCTCGCTGCAAGCTCCGCCTCCCGGGTTCAAGCGTACATCTCCTTCAACTCTTGCTATTTGGGGGATTCCTTCGTTTTTGCCAGACTGATGTGTGCGAAACAGTACCCCACCATAATCTTGCATTTCCCTGATTACCAGCAAGGCTGCTCTTTTCTTCCATGGTTTCTGGGCCACATGTGTTTTCTCTTCTGTTTTGCCTGGAGTTGTCTTTTGCCCGTTTTTATATTTTCTTCTTCCTTTTGCTTATTGATTTGTAGGAATTTTTTACATATTCTAGACACTAATCCTTTGCCAGCTATGTGTATTCTTTCATTTGAAGCTTGCCTTTTTACTTTCTTTAAGGAGTCTTTCATAAAAAGAAGTTTCTAATTCTAGTGTAATTAAATCCATCTTATCTCTTCTTTTCTTTTCTTTTTTTTTTTTTTTTGACAGGGTTTCATTGCCCAGGCTGGAGTGCAGTGGCACAAACATGGCTCGAACTCCTGGGCTAAAGCGATCATCCCACCTCAGCTGCCCATGTAGCTGAGACTACAGGCACCCACCACACCCAGATAATTTTTTAATTTTTTGTACAGATGAGGTCACATCATGTTGTCCAGACTGGTCTCAAACTCCTGGGCTCAAGCGATCTTCCCACCTCCACTTCCCAAAGTGCTGGGATAACAGGCATGAGCCACTGTGCCCGGCTACCTTATTTTTTTCTTAAGGATTAATGCTTTTTATATCTGGTTTAAGAAATCCTTTTCTAATCCAAGGTCAGAAAGATACTTTTTACATTTTCTTTTAAGAATCTTAAAGTTTCCTTTTTGACATTTAAATCCTTAATCCATCTGGAAATTATTTTTGTGTAAGATGTGGAGGGCCTAATTTCATTTTTCCCCATTATAAATCACCTCTATTTCCTTCTCCTTTTGTTAAATAATCCCTCTTTCCTCGCTAATCTGCCTTGCCACCTTGTCATATTATATACGTATTTTTCTCTCTTTTTTTTTTTTTGAGACAGGTTCTCACTCTGTCATCCAGGTTAGAGTACAGTGGCACGATCACAGCTCACTGCAACCTCAATCTCCCAGGCTCAAGTGATTATCCCACCTCAGCCTCCCGAGTAGCTGGGACCACAGATGCATGCCACATCTGGCTTACTTATTTATTTATTTATTTTTTGCAGAGACATGTTGCCCAGGCTGTTGTCATATATTAAAGGTCCATCTTTCTGGGGTCTCTTTAGGGCTCTCTATTTTGTCCCACTGGCTACTTTGTCTACCCTCGAACTAAGGTCAGGCTTTGTTAATTATGATAGTTTTATAATAAGCCTTGTTATTTGCCAGGCAAGCCCTCCTCGTGCATCTTCAGGGTGGTCTGAGCTAGTCTTGACCTTTGCTCTACCATATACATTTTAGAATGAACTTTAGTTTCTCAAAACATCCTGTGGGGATTTTGATTAGAGTGGCATTGAATCTGTTCACTCAATTTGGGGAGATTTGACACTATCTTAACAATCACCATTGAATATCTCTCCATTTATTTAGGTCTTTTAAAGTGTGTTTAGAATTTTCTGTACATCTTTCTTTTTTCTTTTTATGATTATTATTATTTTAGAGATAGGGTCTCCCTCTGTTGTCCAGGCTGGAGTGCAGTGGCATGATCCTAGCTCACTGCAGCCTCAAACTCCTGGGCTCAAGTGATCCTCCTGCATCAGCCTCCCAAAATACTGGGATTACAGCCATGAGCCACCATGCCCCGCCCACATCTTTTATTTTACTTACTTCTGAGTTTTTTAAATTTTTTGTTGCTATTATAAATGACGTCTTTTTACAGAGCGCATTTTCTAAATACTATGGGTGGTGCATAGACATACACTTGGCTTGTGTATATTCATCATTATGTCCAGTCAGTTTGCTAAAGTCTCTTTTCTTTCTAATAATTTGTCTTTATACCCTCTTCGGAATTTTTTTTTTTGTTTTTTTCAGAAGATCACTTCATGTGAAATATTGACAGATGTATTTCCACCGTTCTAATCTTTATGCCTTGCATTTCTTTTCTTGCTATACTACCCCGGCTAGAGCCTCCGGAACAAAGCCCAGAAGAGGTGGCACAAGTGGACAGGCATGCTTTGTTACTGATTGTTAAGAAAATGCTTCTAGGCCAGGCGCGGTGGCTCTCACCTGTAATCCCAGCACTTTGGGAGGCCGAGGTGGGCGGATCACCTGAGGTCAGGAGTTTGAGACCAGCCTAGCCAACGTGGTAAAACCCCGTCTCTACTAAAAATACAAAAATTAGCCGGGCATGGTGGCAGGTGGCTGTAATCCCAGCTACTTGGGAGGCTGAGGCAGGAGAATTGCTTGAACCTGGGAGGCAGAGGTTGCAGTGAGCCGAGATCGCGCCACTGCACTCCAGCCTGGGCGACAGAGACTGCATCTCAAAATAAAAAATATATATAAAAAAAAGAAAGAAAATATTTCTAACATTTCTCTATTAATACAATTATGTGTGTATTTTATCAAGTCTAGGAAGTTCCCTTTTATTCCCAGCTTATTAAGAGTTTTTGTTATGAATAAGTGTTGAATTTTAGCAAATGCTTTTTCTGCACTTGACGAGATGACCAGCGTCTTTCTCCTTTATCCTGCTCCTGGGTTAAAAGACACTTATGAGCCGGGCGCGGTGGCTCACGCCTGTCATCCCAGCACTTTGGGAGGCCAAGGCGGGCGGATCACGAGGTCAGGAGATCGAGACTATCCTGGCTAACACGGTGAAACCCCATCTCTACTAAAAATACAAAAATTAGCCAGGCGTGATGGCGGGTGCCTGTGGTCCCAGCTACTCGGGAGGCTGAGGCAGGAGGCAGAGCTTGCAGTGAGCTGAGATCGCGCCACTGCACTCCAGCCTGGGTGACAGAGCAAGACTCTGTTAAAAAAAAAAAAAGACATTTATGGACATTCTAATATTAAATCACCTTGCTTTACTGACATTCGCTGAACTTGGTCATTATTGGCTATTTTCCTTTATACACATTTGGATTTGGTTTAGAAAAATTTTTGTGAGAGTGGGGACGTCCAGCTTCGGAGCGGGAATCTTCGCTGCGCCAGCGACTAAAAGGAGAATTAAATATGGGTGATGTTGAGAAAGGCAAGAAGATTTTTATTATGAAGTGTTCCCAGTGCCACACCGTTGAAAAGGGAGGCAAGCACAAGACTGGGCCAAATCTCCAAGGCCTCTTCGGGCGGAAGACAGGTCAGGCCGCTGGATACTCTTACACGGTTGCCAGTAAGAACAAAGGCATCACCTGGGGAGAGGATACACTGATGGAGTATTTGGAGAATCCCAAGAAGCACATACCTGAAACAAAAATGATCTTTGTCGGCATTAAGAAGAAGGAAGAAAGGGCAGACTCGATAGCTTTTCTCAAAAAAGCTACTAATGAGTAATAATTGGCCACTGCCTTGTTTATTACAAAACAGAAATGTCTCATGACTTTTGTATGCATACCATCCTTTAATAGATCTCATACACCAGAATTCAGATCATGAATGACTGACAGAATATTTTGTTGAGCAGTCCTGATTTAAAACTAAGACTGGTTTGTGGTTAAATGAATACGTTCAGTTCTTGAATTTTAATAGTAACTCCAATTCAGTAAATGCTATCACTGTTTACCCCTTCTAAAGATATGATTAGACTTCGTTAGTAATGTTCAACTTTTCACAAAGATGGTGAGTGCCGTCTTAAAACTTACTGGAGATTGGTTTTATATTTAGATTTATATGACTGGTTATGTGAATATATGTAAATACTGGGGAAATTCCTTCACTGTCTTAGAACCAAGCAAGATTCACCTGTGTTTTGTGTTCATTTGCCTCTTAAAGGCAACGGTTGAAGGTAAATAAGGGAGCAATGTCTATAGTTTTGGCCTTAACTATGCCAATCTAATTAGAATTCCCTGCATTAAAAAAAAAAAAGAAAAATTTTTGTTTAGGACTTTTGTCTCTGTATTCCAGACCAAAATGGACCTACAATCTTCCTATCTTGTTCTGTTTTTGCCTAGTTAATATTAAGGTTTTGTTGGGTAATGGTCCTTCCTTTTCAATTCTCTGGCAGAGTCTGTAGAGTTGCTAGAACTTGTCTGTAAAACCATGCGGGCCGGCTGTTTTATTTGTGGGAAGATTTTTAAACCGCTGCTTCAATCTGTTTTATACTTTTAGGGTTACTAGGGCTCGCTTGCTTGCTTTTTTTTTTTTTTTTTTTTTGAGACGGAGTCTCACTCTGTCACCTAGGCTAGAGTGCAGTGGCGTGGCATGATCTCGGCTCACTGCAACCTCCACCTCCCAGGTTCAAGTGATTCTCCTGTCTCAGCCTCCCGAGTAGGTGGGATTACAGGCACCCACCACCACGCCCGGCTAATTTTTGTATTTTTAGTAGAGACGGGGTTTCACCATGTTGGCCAGGCTGGTCTCAAACTCCTGACCTCAAGTGATCCACCCGCCTCGGCCTCCCAAAGTGCTGGGATTACAGGTGTGAGCCACCATGCCCGGCCTTTTTTTGTCTGTTTTAGTAAATTTAGTATATTTCTACTTTGTTTCAGGTTTATTGTCATCAGTAGTTGGTGGTTTATTTTTAGTCCTTAAACTGTCTGTATACATTTTCTGTATTTTCATATAATTCACAATTTTAAAGGCAAAATTAAAAAAAACAATAGGCCGGGCATGGTGGCTCACGCCTGTAATCCCAGCACTTTGGGAGGCCGAGGCGGGCGGATCACCTGAGGTCAGGAGTTCGAGACCAGCCTGGCCAACATAGTGAAACCCCGTCTCTACTAAAAATACAAAAATTAGCTGGGCGTGGTGGTGCGCATCTGTGGTCCCAGCTACTCAGGAGGCTGAGGCAGGAGAATCCCTTGAACCGGGAGGCGGAGGCTGCAGTGAGCCGAGATTACACCACTGCACTCCAGCCTTGGTGACAGAGACTCTGTCTCAAAAAAAAAAAAAAAAAAAAAAAAAAAGGTAATCACATTACCCACTTTAAAGCATACATACAATTCGGTGGTTGTTAGTATACTCACAATGTTGTGCCACCATCACTAATAATTCCAGAACATTTTCATCACCCCAAAAAGAAACCCCTTACTTGTTAGCAATCAATCTCCGTTCCCCCCTCCTCTAGCCCCTGGCAACCATTCATCTCCTTGCTGTCTCTATGGATTTGCCTATTCTGATCTTTTATATGAATGGAATCATACGCTATGTGGCCTTTTGTGTGTAGCTTCTTTCACTCAGCACAATGCTTCCAAGGCTCATCTGTGTTGTGGCATGGATCAGTATTTTATTTCTTTTTATGCCTGAATAGTATATCAAATGATGAGACCAAATCATTGTACTGTTCTTGCAACTTTTCTGTAGGTTTTTACATTTTCAAAGTAAGAAGTTGAAAAGAAAAAACTTATCTTAAGCAATCATTGGATTAAAGAGGAGAGCATACAGAAGCGACAAGCTTCGAGAGCATCGTGAAAAGAAGAACACGTCTTACCCCAACCTCTACACACAACTCAAGCTTTCCACGAGGGGCAGTTAGAATAGTCAAGATATGCATGATTAAGGAGGATAGATCAAAAGTCAACGACAACCAGAAAAAGAATGAGAGAAGCCAAAGGGGAAACAAAGGAAGGGGGAAAAAGAGAATAAAGATTAAAAACATAAAATAGTAAAAATTGTAAATAAATACAAAAGCTGATTCTTTAACAACAGAAAAAAATTGATAATTTCCTAACAAAATATAACTTTCTGAAAACCCAACAAGAACTAGAAAATTTGAGTCTACAAATTACCATTTTAAAGTAGAGAAGGAAGCCAAACTCAGTAGCTCACGCCTGTAATCCCAACAGTTTGGGAGGCCAAGGTGGGAGGATCACTTGAGTCTAGGAGTTTGAGGCCAGCCTGAGCAATATAGTGAGACTCCCATCTCTACAAAAACAAAAATTAAAAAATTAGCTGGACGTGGTGGCACACACCTGTAGTCCTAGCTGCTCAGGAGGGTGAGGTGAGAGGATCGCTTGAGCCCAGGAATTTGAGGCTGCACTGAGCTACAGTCATGCCACTGTACTCCAGCCCTGGCAATGGAGGGAGACCCTGTGTCAAATAAAATAAAATAGAGAGGGGATTCTCCATAAAAACAGTACCAACCCTAAGTAGTTTCAAAGCCAAGTCCTATATAATCTTTCAAGACAAAATAATTCTGATATCATTTAAACTATTCCAGTCCACACAAAAACATTTCATAAAGCCAACAATACCTAAACCTAGGTTGATGCCCAAACCTCCTAAACAGAGTACAAAAAGAAACCTGTGAACAACTGTCACTTCTGATTACAAATGCAAAAATTATAAATAAAAGATAAGCACATGGATTCCAGCGATATAGCAAAAGAATAAGACATTATGTCTGAGCAAGACATAATATTCTATTATTATGAATAGAATAGAATTTCGGGTCTACTCCAGAAATACAGAGGTGATTGAACATCAGGAAATCTTTCCACAGAATTCATTACTCAGCAAATTAAAGGAGGAAACTCACAGGATCACTAGTTGCTGACTAGGCATTTGATGCATTTCGACAGGCGTTCCTTGAAAAAGAAAGAACATCTCTTCTAAAAGGATACTGGGTAGAAACACGTAAAGGTGGTAGTGAGAGACAGCATTTCCACTCTTCTGCATAGCAACACAAAAGCAACGGGGTGCATGGAAACCCCCTGCCAACTCCATTGTTGGCCAAAGGAGGAGTCAGACAGCCTCCTAGCAAGCAAAGCAGAAATCTTTCCCAAGCCCCAGGTCCTGAAGATATTCTCCTGTTGTCTTCTACAAGCTTTATTGTTTTGCCTTTTGTTCTTAGATCTACAACATACCTGGAATTGATTTTTTTGTGTATAATGTCAGGCAGTGGTCAAAATTTGTTTTTTCTTTAAAAAAAAAAAACAAAAAGACTTCCAGGCTGAAGATCCTCAAGAAGGATTCTGTAGGGTCTTATTACAAGGTCCATTTTGGGTCTTGTTTTTAAGCAATGCCAGGAAGCTGACCAAAGTACTCTCTTCCTTTAAAAGCAACAGTGCATTGAGATGCATCTCCCTTTGAGGGCAGAGGCATTTGCTTACACATATCGGAACTTGGGCACTTTTACATTGCAAGGGAGCCATTGGCAATTCTCTGGTCCCATCACAATTGCCTGCTGGAGAAAATGCACAGTGTGAACCCCTGGGGAGGGGATATTGCCAATTCTATGACTTGCACAACTCGCAAATCAAGTCCTTCCTCTCCTTTCATGCCTTCATGGTCTCAGTGCCCGCCCTCTGCATCCTTGGGACGAGGCCATGACCCAAAGGGGCTGCTAGGGCGCTAGTCTTCTTCCTTTCTGTCTTTGCAATGCCTCCAGTGGGTTACCTGTGATGCACACCGCATTCTGGTTTAATGCGTATTCAATTATAAATTGTTTTCTTTCTCTTCTACTTTTGTGGAGAGGTTTTCTGGGTTGGGAGAAGATTTTGTTTTTAATTAAATTTCCCCAACATACTCCATAGCAATGGGGAAAGGAGTTGTCCCCTTTCCCCATTGCTATGGAGTATGTTGGGGAAATGTAACTCATCTGACCAGGCACTTTCTCAGGCATCAGTCCCAATCAAGTTATGTTATTATAACAGGTGTTGTCCTTTCCCCATTGCTATGGAGTATGTTGGGGAAATTTAATTAAAAACAAAAGACAGAAAGGGCCTCACTCTTCTATACAGCTAAGTGGGTCTGTATCCACTACAGTAGGCAGGTTTCACAATTCGGAGCCAGGTGGCAGCTGAAACTGAGAGATGAAGAGAGTTATCTTCCTGGATGATTAATTACATTTCGAAAAGCTGGCTCCCGGATCCCAGAGGAGAGGAAACATTCCTGAGTTGTGAAACTGGCCAGAGCTTCTTTAGCCATTAAAAACATCTACATACATTTGAAAAGGACAGAGAAAGAAATTCCAAAAGATAAAGGAAAAAGGTGCAGGGAGTCTCTTACCTTATTTTCAACAGAGAGAATTAAGCCTCTTGTTTTTAATCTGTATTTGCCCTTACAATCTTCTTCCTGTGTTACTATGAAATAATAACATTGCGATATTTAATTAACACCATTGTTGCTTTTACCTTCTTCTGGGCAAGTTGCAGATGCCTAAATATCCAGCTAGCCCGTAGTAAAATGCAAAACAATGACCACAATTGCAATAGCATCAGTTTTTGAATTCAGTACAATACTTGCCTTGGAGGACAACCTTCAAATATATCACATCAATGGTTCAGGGTTCAATCAGATTCTTTGTAGGCAAATGTGTAAACATTTCCCTCCATCACACATTAATTGTACTAGCTGTCATGACATCTTCATTGCCTGAGCTTTCAAATGGCTAACCATTTGAATATTATTTCATGGCTCCTTACAAAATCTTATCCAATCCAAGCTTAAGGAGTAGTTTAACTCTGGAGTCTTATAAATTTTTAATGAAGAGTTTTCCTTGTAAGACCCCCAGAATTTCTTGAGTTTTCATCATATATGTGTGTATGTGTATATATATAGATAGATATATACATATATATACACACATATATAGATATATACATATATAGATATATACATATATACACATATATATAGATATATACATATATACACATATATATACATATATATATGTATACACATATATATGTATATATATGTAACTTTTTTTTTTTTTGAGGAGTCTTGCTCTGTTGCCCAGGCTGGAGTACAGTGGCACGATCTCAGCTCACTGCAACCTCTACCTCCTGGGTTCAAACGATTGTCCTACCTCAGCCTCCTGAGTAGCTGGAATGACAGGTGCCTACCACCAGGCCAGGCTGGTTTCAAACTCCTGGCCTCAAGTGATCCACCCACTTTGGCCTCCTGAAGTGCTGGGATTACGAGCGTGAGCCACCATGCCTGGCCCTGTAACATCATATTGACAATAATAATGTAGGCACTTTGGTAATTGTTTTGTCTTCCTGAGTGGTATTTCTCAATGTGAACTACAAAGATACCTATGGCCATATCTAGGATCGAAGTCTTTTTTTTTTTTTTTTTTGAGACGGAGTCTCGCTCTGTCACCCAAGCTGGAGTGCAGTGGTGTGGTCTCGGCTCACTGCAAGCTCCGCCTCCCGGGTTCACGCCATTCTCCTGCCTCAGCCTCCCGAGTAGCTGGGACTACAGGCGCCTGCCACCACGCCTGGCTAATTTTTTGTATTTTTAGTAGAGACGGGGTTTCACCATGTTGGCCAGGATGGTCTCGATCTCCTGACCTCATGATCCGTCAGCCTTGGCCTCCCAACGTGCTGGGATTACAGGCGTGAGCCACTGCGCCCGGCAGATCAAAGTCTTACTATGAACTTCCAGGGTGTAATGTACACAGCCCTATCTGTTTTTTGTTTGTTTGTTTGTTTTGAGATGGAGCTTTGCTCTTGTTGCCCAGGCTGGAGTGCAATGGTGTGATCTCGGCTCACAGCAACCTCCGCCTCCCGGGTTCAAGTGATTCTCCTGCCTCAGCCTCCCGAGTAGCTGGGATTATAGGCTTGCACCACCACGCCCGGCTAATTTTTGTATTTTTAGTAGAGACGGGGTTTCTCCACGTTGGTCAGGCTGGTTTCGAACTCTCGACCTCAGGTGATATGCCCACCTCGGCCTCCCAAAGTGCTGGGATTACAGGCATGAACCACCGAGCCCAAACTGCCCTATCTGTTTTAAGTTGAGGAAAACTCATCCTATCGGCACTTTCTCAGGCATCAGTCCCAATCAAGTTATGTTATTATAACAGCCTATTAAGTCTCCCTGGATAACAGACAACCCTTTGTTTATCTATCCATACTGGGACTGGAGAGAACTTACATTGTACAATTAATGAAGTGACACTATACCTGTCTTCGCAGCCTCTGTCTATATATGCCAGCTTTCTATTTGTCTATTGATTAGATGCTGTTCTTTTCATCTGTTCTATAGTCATACTCCCAATATCTAATTGTTTCCTTAAATATGAATAGACCTGCTAATGATGATATTGTAGAACTGTTTTGTAGCTAATCGCTGCTGGGCTATGAGTGAGGGCCTCCTACAGCTTGATGAGATTATGTCTTCCCAGCATTAAATTATTCCAAACAGATCAATTTCAAAGTTAACAAATAACATGTTTGTTAGTAAAAATGTGAGTCTTACAGTAATTCAAATAACTACTACTGTGGATAGAGCAGCCAATATCAGTTACAGGAAAAGTCCTTTGTGGCAACCACAATGCAATCCTCCCAAGAGTCCAGCTGCGTTTTTCTTTCTCTCCGATGGCCCTGTAGGTGATCAGTAGCATTTGAAAACATTCCTCTCAGCACAGTGGCAGCCCAGGCCTTTCCCCTGGAAAAGCTTTGATGCAGAGGAAACCTCCCAGTCAACTGGGATGGTGGACTTCTTTGGAGGGTTACCTCCAGATCCTTCTGACTTTTTAAGTCTCATGGTTTCTAAAGAAGAGAAAAGCCCTATTAAGTATTGAGTATGATTACGGGAGGATTCAGTTAAATCAGGCACAGGAAGGACAGGCACAGTGGCTCATGCCTGTAATCCCAGCACTTTGGGAGGCTGAGGCAGGTGGATCACCTGAGGCCAGGAGTTCAAGACCAGCCTAGCCAACATGGCAAAATCCCATCTCTACAAAAAATACAAAAAAATAAAACTAGCCAGGTGTGGTGGCACATGCCTGTAATCGCAGCTACTTGGGAGGCTGAGGCAGAAGAATCACTTGAATCTGGGAGGCAGAAGTTGCAGTGAGTTAAGATCATGCCACCGCACTCCAGCCTGGGCAACAGAGCAAGATTCTTTCTCAAAAAATAAAAATAAATAAAAACATTAAAAAAAATCAGCCACAGGACTTGGTCTTGGACCCAAGTTAGAGCTAGGCCATGCTTGCTTAAAGGAGTGGCTGTAATTTTAAACAAGGCTAGTGGGAAAGTTCCAGGCCATCTTAACATTGTAGGTTGCAGAATCTTAGCCAATGAGTCTTTCAGAGCTGGATTCATTAATCTGTTAATTAATTCATTAATTTTTTTATGCTACTGGATGACAGTAGGAATAAAATGACTTTTTCTGTCTGATTCAAATGCTCTGGTATTCCAAAAGGGAGATTCATATTTATTAAGAGAGTCTTTCCCGTTGTTTATACTTCCTGCCTAAGGATCAGCTTCTTTTTCTCTTTCTTCACAGCTGACAACAGATGCCCTAATTGTTTCACCTCAGGTTAGCACTATTGCAATTTGTCTAGCAAGACCTTATGTCCCCGCCAGATGAGAAATTGCAGTAAAGCCAAAGCATCAGTTTTGCATTGCTCTTCAGTTTCTGAGGCTACTAGTAGCAAGTCGTCTACATAGCAAATAATCATAGATCCCTCTGGTGGGAGAAATTCCTCTAAGTGTTTCTGTAAATGACTAGAGAAAATAATGGGAGCATTCAAAACCCTTGAGGAATTCTTTGCCATAAATATCAGACTTTCTCATAAGCAAAAGCAAACAAGAATTTAGATTCATCTGCTAGAGGAATGGAAAGACAGAAAATGCAGAAAATTGATCAATTACAGAGAAAAACTTTGCAGACAATGGTACCAAAGTCAGAAGAGTTGCTGGAGTAAACAGAACAGCACACATATTTACTTCTTTAAGTTTTTTTTTTTTTTTTTTTTTGAGACGGAGTCTCTCTCTGCCGCCCAGGCTGAGGTCAGTGGTGTGATCTCGGCTCACTGCAACCTCTGCCCCCCGGGTTCAAGTGATTCTCCTGCCTCAGCATCTCAAGTAGCTGGGATTACAGGCACGTGCCACCACACCCAGCTAATTTTTTGTATGTTTCTTAGAGACAGGGTTTCACCATGTTGGCCAGGCTGGTCTCGAACTTCTGACCTCAGGTGATCTGCCTGCCTTGGCCTCCCAAAGTGCTGGGATTGCAGGTGTGAGACACCATGCCCGGCCTTCTTTAAGATCTTATACAAATAAATTTAGCAGTTGACCATCTTCATCACTTTTACCTCTCTTCTCTTTCAGAAGTGTGAGACTATTTCAAAGTGGTGGCTTTTTCAAATTATCCCTTGTTTCTCTATTTTTTTTTTTTTTTTTTGAGACAAGATCTTGCTCTGTCGCCCAGGCTGGAGTGCAGTGGCACCATCTCAACTCACAGCAGCCTCAACCTCCCGGGCTCAAGAGATCCTCCCACCTCTGCCTCCTGAGTAGCTAGGGCTAGAGGCATGCACCACCTCGCCTCGCTAATTTTTCTTTCTTTCTTTCTTTCTTTCTTTCTTTCTTTCTTTCTTTCTTTCTTTTTTTTTTTTTTTTTTTTTGCTTTTTGTAGAGACAGGGTCTTGCTATGTTGCCCAGGCTGGTCTCAAACTCCTGGGCTCAAGAGATCCTCCTGCCTCGACCTCCCAAAGTGCTGGGATTACAGGTGAGCCCCCACATCTGGCCTCTAATTCTTTTATAACCTATTTCATTCCTTCTAATTGAGCTCCCAACAAAGGAGATTGTTTTACACACAGCTATGGCTTATCCCTTTGGTAAATTGATTTTATGGGTTCTATAGCTCAAATTAAATCAGCATCTCGATTCTCTAGGGCTCAAAAGATGCCTTGATTTGTGTCAGCTCAGGAAGGGGGCTTTTCCGGCACTGAATATGGTAGGCTTGGAGGTGCATGGCAGGTCTCTCGCCAATAGGTTTACAGAAGAGTCAGGAGGAAAGGGGAGCACTTGCTCCTTAGGCAAAGGCAGAGGGCCCATCTGATGGGAATTGGAGGGAAGGGAATATGTAGAAGGCTGAGTCAAGATACAAACAACCTGTACTGATGGAAAGCAAGAGCAAGAGCTTTCCAAGGCAAATGCAGAATAAGTAGCACCAGTCTGTATGAGAAAAGGCAAGGACAGGTCAGCCTGGCAAACAGTGACCGACATACACACACTTAACCCTAATCTCTTCCCGCCACTGCCATCTCCTCAATCTATCCATTTTGAGCCATTTGCAAAGTATCTCCTAGCTGAGAGTTTTATCCTCCTAGGCCCCCACCCCTGATTCTCTTGTTCCTGCCATCCTGCATGCCCCAGTCTCTTTGGACAATCCCTCTTCCAATGTCCTTGCTTCTTGCAATGATGACACGTGTCTTGCTTCCTTTCCTTTCTGGGTTGCCCAGAACAGGAGTTACTCCCTTTCAGTAAACAGACCTGAGCAGCTAACACAGAGTTTTTCAGTTTCTTCTTTTCTTCTTTGACTTTCTCTAGAGTCCCAAATACTGAATAGCTGCTCCTAAGCTTACATTATAGTCAGTCCTGCCATCCTACCACCTTTTCCCTTATTTGAGTTGTTGTTGTTGTTGTTGTTTGTTTTGTTTCTTGTTTTGAGACAGAGTTTTGCTCTTGTTGCCCAGGGTGGAGTGCAATGGCACCATCTCTGCTCACTGCAACTGCCACCTCCCAGCTTCAAGCAGTTCTCCTGCCTCAGCCTCCCGAGTAGCTGGGATTACAGGCCTGTGCCACTATGCCCGGCTAATTTTGTATTTTTAGTAGAGATAGGGTTTCACCATGTTGGTCAAGCTGGTCTCAAACTCCTGACCTTAGGTGATCCACCCACCTCAGCCTCCCAAAGTGCTGGGATTACAGCCTCCCAAAGTGCTGGGATTACAGGCGTGAGCCACTGCGCCCAGCCATATTGGCACTTTTTAAGCCTTGTGTTTTTTAATGTCCCGTTGACCAAAGCAAATCACATGGCCAAGCCCAGATCTGAGAGTGTGGAAAAATGGACTCTATCTCTTGCAGGGAGGAGCTGAAAGTTCCATCACAAAAGGGTATGCATCCAGGGATGGCAAGAATTTGAGGCCATTTTTGTGATCCAAGGACAGAGATTGTCCTCGGACATAAAATTCAAGGCTGGCAGTTTTTTTGTTGTTGTTGGCACATCAGATATACCATTGTCTTGTTTTCTGGCTTCTGTAGTTTGTGTTGAGAAGTTGGCTGTCAGTCAAACTGCATAACTATAAAAGTAATCAACCCACCCACCAGCTGCTTTGAATGTTTTCTCTTTGTCTTTGCTTTCCCTCAGTTTTACTATGATGTGCCTAGGTGTGGTTTTTTGTTTGTTTTATCCCGCTCTTGGTTCACGTGACTTCTAGAAACTGACTTGATATATTTCACCAGTTTGGAAATATTTCATCCATTAACTCTTCAAATATTATCTGTGCCCCATTCTTTCTCACCTTGTTTTTCTGAACTCCAATTAAGCATATATTAGGTCAAGCATGGTCGCTCATGCCTGTAATCCCAGCACTTTGGGAGGCTGAGGCAGGAGGATCCCTTGATCCTAGGAGCTCAAGACCAACCTGGGCAACATAGTAAGACCTCATCTCTACAAAAAAAAAATGAACAAAATTAGCTGGGCATGATTGCATGTGCCTGTAGTGCTAGCTACTCAGGAGGCTGAGGCAGGAGGATTGCTTGAGCTCAGGAGGTCGAGGCTGCAGTGAGTGGAGATTGTGCCACTGCCCTCCAGCCTGGGTAACACAGCAAGACCTTGTCTTAAAAAAAAAAAAAATACACGCACACACACATATATGAGACCTTCTTTCTGTATCCCCTATGTTTCTTACCTCCTTTTGCATTGTCTTTTACCACCTTTTTACCTCTCCAAGCTTTAGTCTGGCTATTTTCTTCTGATTTATCTTTCTGTTTACTATTTCTCTCTTCAGCTCTTGTATATCCCACCCATTGAGCTCCTAACTTTAATTTGTATATTTTATATTTCTAAATTTTTCACTAGATTCTTTTTGTAGTTTCAAATTATCTGCTAAATTTCTCAATTCTGTCTTTTGTTTCCTTGAATTATTAAATATAATTATTTTAAAGTCTGTATCTGATAATGCCATTATTTGGAGTCCTTGTGGCTCTATTTTTATTATATTACTTTTCTAATTTCATTTTTATTAAATTTTCTTTTCTCCTTATGACATGTTTTGTTTGTTTTTAAGACAGGGTCTCACACTGTCACCTAGGCTGGAGTGCAATCATAGCTCACTGTAACATTGAACTACTGGGCTCAAGCAATCCCCCTGCCTCAGCCTCCCAAGTGCTGGGATTACAGGCATGAGCCACCATGCTGGGCCTTGTCCTCGTTATTTTTTATTGAGTGCTGGACATTGTGAATGGAAACTATAAATCATTTGAGGCCAAGGACAATGTTATCTTCCTCCAGAGAAAATTTACATTTGTTTCTGGCAGGCAGCTGGGGCACTAGAAATCCTGATCACCTTAATCCAATTTTCAGGGATTGAAAGAGCTCAAATCTTGACTACAGTCCCTTAGGGGACAGGGATGCAGTCCTTTAGAGGGCTATTCTATTTCCAGTTTACACTTATTCCTAGACCTTTGGGTTTCCAACCCAAAGCACGAGGAGCTTACTAGGGCCTTCTTCCTTGGTGAGCCCTGCACTCTGACTTTTGACCCCTCACCTCTTAAGTCTGCTAACTGTTCTGCTCAGCTTCTTGGGCCCTCAGCTGTCTCTGCTGGAATTAGCGGATGGCCATAGGGGATAAGCAGCCTTAAATGCTGAGCTCATCTCTCAGCTCATTTCCTTTCTCCCATATCTTGGTCCCATATGCTTCACTGCCTATTATCACTTGGATATTTTCAAGCAAATATTTTCCCTGTTTTACTGAGTCTGTTTAGTTGTTCTCAGTGGAGGTTGTGGTTCAAATTACTTATTTTGTCATTGCCAGACACAGAAGTCATTCAGCACTAGGTTTTAGGCTCTATTTATATTGTTGAGTCTACATATAATCTTGCTTCCAAGTACTGCATAACACTCCCTAATGTTTTATCTGCTTCCTTAGTCACTACAAATAATGCTACCATGACCTTTGTCATGCAGGCCATTGCTCTGTCACCCAGGTTGGAGTGCAGTATCATGAACATGGCTCACTGCAGCCTCAACCTCCTGGACTCAATGGATGCTCCTGCCTAAGCCTCTCACGCAGCTGGGACCACAGGCATAAGCTACCACACACGGCGAATTTTTGTATTTTTTGCAGAGATGAAGTCTCACCATGTTGCTGAGGCTGGTCTCAAACTCCTGGGTTCAAGTAATTCTCCCACCTCAGCCTCCCAAAGTGCCACGATTACAGGCGTGAGCCACCACGCCCAGCCAAGAATTTTTGTGATGTATCCCCAAGAGCAGAATTACAGAGAATTACCAAAATTACCCAACCTAGTGTATACTTAATTGATGAGATACTGACATATTGTTCTCCAGAATGGTTGTGTTGGTCTGTATCTCCACCAGCAGTACATGAGCGCTCTCTAGCCACACATCCCTGCCAGCATTTGCTATTGCCTGCATTTCTAGGTGTGTGTGTATTTGTCAATCTAATGGGTATGAAGTGATACTGTTGTTTTGATTTGCGTTCCTCTGATAATCAATGGGCTTGCACATCTTGGGTGTGGCATGTCTGCTGCTGGTGCTGCCAACACTTGGTGGGGCATGTAGAACTGGGCCTCTGACCTCCGAGGAAGGGGTGTCATCTGGCGGGTTCCGAGAAGGCCGAAATGAGCTGGAGCCTGAAACCACTGCTGCTGCTAAGGGCCAACTGAGACTGGCGCTACAGCAACAGGAATGGAAAACAAACAGGAAGGAGCAAGACCCTTCTCTCCTTCCCAGCCTTCCAGTCTCCCTCTAGTGTCCCAGTTGGTGGAAACTGACAACCAGCCAGAAGACAAAGAAGGAATGTAGGTTCAGAGTCCCAGCGCCAGCCTCACAAAGCAGAGTATGGCACCTTCCCCGCCCCTGCCCCTTTGGCTTCGCAACATCAGTTCGAAGCCTTCTTGCATAATTTGAACTTCCCTCAGCAGTAATGACAACTTTATGTTTCTGCCTAACAAGATCCTTCATACAAATATGCTCCTACCCTCTTCTCAAGAGGGGAGACATAAAGTCCCAACAGTCTTTGTAATCATCTCCAAATTACAGTCACGGTATTGGTGATATTAATTTCTCCTTTAAATAAGTCATAGTACCACTTAACTATTCTGTGACCTAGAGGCTAAGTTGTAAAGTTTACCATCAAAACAACTGCTATTGGCCAGGTGCAATGGCTCACGCCTGTAATCTGAGCACTTTGGGAGGCTGAGGCAGGAGGATAGCTTGAGCCCAGGAGTTTGAGACCAACCTGAGCAACACAGCAAGACCCTATCTCTACAAAATATTACAGATAAAAAAATTATCCAGTGTGGTGGCGCATGCTTGTAGTCCCAGCTACTCAGGAGGCTGAGGCAGGAGAACCGCTTGAGCCCAGGAAGCGGAGGTTGCAGTGAGCCAAGATCACGCCACTGCACTCCAGTCTGGGCAACAGAGGGAGATTGTCTCAAATTAAGAGAGAGAGAGAGAAAGAATCAAAGTCTGTAAGTACCGTTTCGTGTCAGAGAGGAGGAGAGATGGCAGAGCCTTTAGGGAAGACTGTGAAGATGTACTGTTGGCCCTGCCAGGTTAAAAGAAATGTGGTCTTTGAAGTGCAAATACATAAGCTTTTCAAACCTGAGCAATAAAAGAAAGTGCTCTGGTGGTCTTTTCTCTGGTGTTACTATTTGACAGGGCAGTAGCAAGCTAGACGCAGGGGCTATGACGCTTTGCTTCAGTAAAGTGACTGCGTCTGAAACAGCAGCTGCAATCAATTCACCTGCGGTCATTCTTGAAGAGCCATCCACCTTCTGCCAAGCACCAAATAGACAAATAGCATACAAGAGACATCACGACTGCAACCTTCAAGTTCAAGGCACTAATCTCTGCTATTTCCCTCAGAATCGTGACATTGGGTTCCTTTCTCTCCATTAGGCAAGGGTTGTTCTGGCATCTCACTATCATTGAATTTACGCCACAGTTGAGTTCCAGTTTAAATCAACCAACCACATAGGCTGTTAGAGTCACTTTCAGCTGCATGGACCAACATTAAATATAGGCCCTCTGGTAAATGCCCCCAGCTCAAGAAATTGTGCCCAATCCAATGTTATATCCATCCCTTTTGGTAGAACATCCTTAGAATTCACTTCCACACATATTCGCCCAGGTTTTTGCCAATATTTCTTAACGAAAATCATGTTATTGTTCTGGTGTATAGGTTTTCCTCTTGTGTTTTAGTGTGTACCTGTCCACCTGTGGTGGATTGCACCCTCATTATGGGACAGGGGGTGGTTGTGGTGGGTTCTGAGAGGAGAATGGGTATCCTCTTGCAAGGCACCAGAGGGCTACCAGGTCAGCCCTAAAAATTCTCTTACTCCTTGTACCTGCAGGGCTAACAGTGCTAAATCAAACACAAACTTTAATTGCTTGGGTTACAGAATCGCAACGTCAGTTGATTCCCAGCCTCGCCACGTGTCTCACATGAAATGTCAGGCAGTGGTCGGGAGGAGTGAGACCCTGAAACTTACCATTGCTTTCAAGCTCAAGGACGCAAACAAACCAATCTCCAAACCCCATCTTTCAGGATATGATTCTTGACACCACTCCAGCTGCCAATTTTGCTATCAGCCAGGATCTGATCAGGAAGTAGAAAGGATGACAGCTCCTCCCTTGGTGCATGCAGTTGAGATTTCAAGTGATCTTCCTGCCTTGGCCTCCTGAGTAGCTGGGACTACAGGCATGTGCCACCACACCAGGCTACGTTTTGTATTTTTTGTAGACGAATGTCTCGAACTCCTGGGCTCAAGTGATCCTCCCAGCTCAGCCTCCCAAAGTGCAGGCACTGCAGGTGTGAGTCACAGCACCCAGCCTCCTCTGTTTGAAGAGTCCTAACTCCCTTCGTTCCCCAGCCTGAGGGGCTGTGTTAATTTCCTGGAGCTGCCATAGCAAAGTGCCACAAACCAAGTGGCTTCGACAGCAGAAATGGATTCTCTCACAGTTCTGCAGGGAAGAAGCCCGAGATCAAGGCTGTGAGAGAGCAGGAGGATCACTTGAGCCTGGGAGTTTGAGGTTGCAGTGAACCATGACTGTCCCACTGCACTCCAGTCTGGGCAACAGAGGAGATTCTGTCGAAAGAAAGAGAGAGAGAGAGAGAGAGAAAAAGGAAGGTAGGAAAGAAGGAAGGAAGGAAGGGAGGGAGGGAGGGAGGGAGGGAGGGGAAAGAAATAAGAAAAGAAGAGAGAGAGAAAGAGAAAGGAAGGAAGGAGAGAGAGAAAGAAAGGAAGGAAGAAAAGATAAGAAAGAAAAAGGAAAGGAAAGAAAGAAGGAAGGAAGAAAAGAAAGAAAGAGAGAAAGAGAAAAGGAAGGAGAGAGAGAAAGGAAGAAGAAAAGAGAAAGAAAGAAGAAAAAAGAAAGAAGAAAGAAAACAGAAAGAAAGAAAAAGAAAGAAAGAGAAAGAAAGAAGAAAAGGAAGGAAGGGAAGAAAGGAAGGAAGGAAGGAACAAAGGAAGGGGAAGAAAGGGAGGGAAGGAAGGAAGGAAGGAAGTTGGTTAGAGAGAGGCCCACAGAGCTGAAGCTGGGTCTCTGAGGTCTGAGGTGGGGGCGTGGCCTAGCTAGTTGTGGAGGAGTGAGCTCAGTAGAGGGACTTGTGGGGCTGGGATCCAGACCTCTAAGGAGCAGGGGTCTGGCTGATGCTGGGGTCTCTGAGCTCAGGGGATGGCCTAGTACTCAGATTTTGGAGCATAGGGCACTGGGTGTCCGGTGGTGGTGTCTCAGAGGTGGGATGCAATGAAGCTGGTCTTGCAAGTGTTGAGAGATCTGAAAATTGGCTTCAGGCAGTGCCACGGAAATGAAGCACTTGCTGCAAGGGTGAAGAAGCCTTGTTAGATGGTGCGCCCAGGAAGGAGCAGGTCCCTTCTTCCTCCTCCAGTCTTGTGGGCTCCCTTAAACGCCCCCAGCTAGCAGAGCCTAGGAGGGAGGCGCTGGTAAAGCAGGAGCATCACCAAGCAGAGGACAGCAAAGGGGGTGGCACGCCCACTCCACAAGCCAGCACTGCTCCTTCTAGGGCACGGATCTCAGAGAAAGGACTGCATATGCCCACTTTATCCATGATGGCTACCATTGGAAACAACCCACACGTCCATCAACGGGGGAATGGGTAAGTGAGTCGCGGTGCATGCGTGCATACAATGGCTACTAGTCAGCATCACAGAGGGAAGAAGGGACACAGACGTCAACCTGGATGAGTCTCATGGAAGTGATTCCAGAAAGAAGCCGGCACAAAGGGCTCCAGAGCGTGTGCTTCCATTTCCATACCCGTCAGGAGCAGGCGAGACCATCTACAGCCATAGACGGCAGGACAGGGCTTAGATCTGCAGCCAGGGATTGGCTGCCTGGAGGCACAAAAGCATTCTCTGTGGTGATGCAAATGTTCTTTAGTTGGTCCAAGTTGTGGCTGCATGTGTGGATAGGCAGGTGAAAAAACCAGGCGTGCACTTGATTTTCTGCACAGTAATCCTCAATAAGGACTTGTTTCACGGATTTTTAGGGCAGTGGAGTTACTCTGTATGATACTGTAAGGGTGGATCCATGTCATTATACCTTTGTCCAAACCCATAAATGGACAACACCAGAGTGAACCCCGATGTCAGCTATGGGCTTTAGTTCATGCGAGCTTCTCACTGTGGCTCACCAATTGTAACAAACGTACTACACTGACTCGAAATGTTCATCATGGGGAGGCGTAAGGGGAGTGACGGGGTCTGTGGGAACTCCTTACTTTCCGCTCAATTTTTCTGCAAACCTAAAATTGCTCTAAAAAGCAAAATGCCTTAATTTTTTAAAAACCCAGGAAAGCAGCCCAGGGCCGATGTGGCAGCTCCAGGTGCTCAGGCCCTCGGGCTGCCTTTGTTGCTGTTCCGCCATCCTCAACGTGCGACTTCCCTTTGGTGCGACAAGGTAGCTCTCCCCATGATCACAGATCACATTTGCCTTTCAGCTGTAAGGAGACAGAAAGTGGCTGGCACAAGGCCATGCGTGGTGGCTCACGCCTGTAATCCCAGCAGTCTCGGATGCCAAGGCGGGCAGATCACCTGAGATCAGTAGTTCGAGACCAGCCTGGCCAACGTGGCAAAACCCTGTCTCTACTAAAAATACAAAAATAAGCTGGGTGTGGTGGCGGGCGCCTGTGGTCCCAGCTACTCTGGAGGCTGAGGCAGGAGAATCACTTGAACCTGGGAGGCAGAGGGTGCCGTGAGCCAAGATCATGCCACTGCACTCTAGCCTGGGTGATCGAGCGAGACTCCATCTCAAAAAAGAAAAAAAGAAAGAAAGAAAGAAAGGAAGGAAGGAAGGAAGGAAGGAAGGAAGGAAGGAAGGGAAGGAAGGAAGGAAGGGAAGGAAGGAAGGAAGAAAGGCGCCAGCACAGGTTTGCCCTGCAGGTATGGGTGCACTCATGCCCCACCACCCTACTGGGTGCATAGAGGCTGGGAAATGGGTCTTCAGCTGAGCTGCCATGTCCCCAAGCCACAAATCTAGTGTTATGGAAGAACAGAAAAACAGATATTGGAGGGCAATAAGTGGACGCTGTTACAGGTGGGGATCAAGGGGGACAATGAGTGTAGAGGAGTCTTGAGGGGTTTTGCTGTAAACAGGAGCAGTGAAACGGGGCAAGAGCCAGGGGGCATGCGGAGGCAGGAGCGGGAGCTTCCGGTGATAGAAGCTCCAAGGGCATGTTGGTATGCTGCTGGGCCTGACCCCACAGGGAGAGAGAAAAATTACAGGTGCAGAAAACAGGAGGAGAGAGGGGGTCTCAGGGGTGGCAGAGACCACTGCACATGGTGGGAAGTGTTCACCTGAGGGGGCTAGGGCTGGGGAGGGGACAGATTTGATGATGGGAACTCAAGGAAAGAAATTCTCGTCAGATGCTCTCAACTTGCTCAGTGAAACATGAAACAAAGTTCTCACCTTGAAAGTGCAGGGCCTGGGGGCTGAGGGGAAGGTGTGAGGCCTTGGAGAACCAGGGAGGAAACTCTAGAATTCCCAAGGAAGGCTGGCTCTGCCTGGGTCCACTTGAGGCTTGTGGTCATAAATCTAAGGTGCTTAGTCCTGGGCTGGGTGTGGTGGCTCACGCCTGTAATGCCAGCACTATCGGGAGGCCGAGGTGGGAGAATTGCTTGAGCCCAGGAGTTCGAAACCAGCCTGAGCAACATAGGGAGACTCCATCTCTACAACAATAATTTAAAGATTAGCCAGGCGTGGTGGCGTGCTCCAGTGGTCCTAGCTACTTGAGAGGCTGAAGCCAGAGGATTTCTTGAGCCCGGGAAGTGGAGGGCTCACCTGTGCTGGGTTTTCTTTCTTTCTTTCTTTCTTTCTTTCTTTCTTTCTTTCTTTCTTTCTTTCTTTCTTTCTTTTTTCTTTCTTTCTTTCTCTTTCTTTCCTTTTCTTTCTCTCCCTCCCTCCCTTCCTTTCTTTCTTTCTTGCTTGCTTTCTTGCTTTGTCTTTCTCTTTCTTTCTTCTTTCTTTCTTTCTCTTTCCCTCCCTCCCTCCCTCTCTCTCTCTGTCTCTCTCTCTCTTTCTTTCTTTCTCTCTTTCCCTCCCTCCCTCCCTCCCTCTCTCTCTCTCTCTCTCTCTCTCTCTCTCTCTTTCTTTCTTTCTTTCTTTTTCTTTCTTTGTCTCGCTCTGTCGCCCAGGCTGGAGTGCACTGGTACAATCTCAGGTCGCTGCAACCTGATTTTTTTACCTGCCTATCCACACATGCAACCACGACTCGGACCAAACTAAAGAACATTTGCATCACCACAGAGAATGCCTTTGTGCTTCCAGGCAACCAATCCCCAGCTACAGAGGTAAGCCCTGTCCTGCCATCTATGGCTGTAGATGGTCTCACCTGCTCCTGATCACGCCACTGCACTTCAGCCTGGGAGACAGAGTGAGACCCTGTCTCAAAAAATAAATAAATAAGGTGCTTTGTACTGGTTTAGAGGGCTGGGTACCCCAGAGAGAACGATGCCACCGGGGCACATCATGAGTCTTCCACTGAGCCATGGAGCTGTGTCCCTTGAGACAGGGGAAGAGGCTCCTGCCGCTGGCCACACTCTACTCTCATGTTTGAGCAGTGAAGGGCCCGGCCATGGTGACAGCTAAGCTTGGTCTCAGGAGGCCAGCAGAGGCGAGGATCCTGAGCCCCAGCAACAATGTGACAGCAACACCCAAGGCAGCCAACAGCCAGGCCTGGCAGGGTGGGTGGAAGGCCCGGGCTCTGGGAAGGGGCAGGGAAGCATCAGGACTGTGTGGCTGGGCCACACCCGGGCCCGCCTGGCAGGTCGCTCCTAGCACCTCCCACAGTGTGACGTGGACAGGGGAAGTAAGTGTTCCGCGAAATAACAAAAGGTGCTCTTGATTTTCAGGTTTTATTTGCCTGTTATAATTCTGATATTATGTACATATATATATATACTTTTGTTTTTTTGTAGAGGGCTTATCAGTAGACCAAGCACAGGCATACAGGGAGGCTGTGGCTGCTGAGCAGTGCTGGGAGAACCAATCTTTCCTTTTTTTTTGTCTGTTTTTATTTTTCCTGGGATGGGTTCATCAAAGCTAATTGCTATCAATCCTAGAAACCACCTAGGGACTCAGACATCTGCCTACACACTAGTGGCGTAAAGGGAAGGACAGGGGTACAAACTTTCAAAGTCACGGTGTATTTACATTCCCAAGGTGGGGGCGGGAGGAGGCTGAGGAAGACAACTGTTCAGACGATAGGGAGGGCAGGGCTGCTAAGGGGTCCTGGGGGGTGGGGGCGGCTGGAAGAGGCCGGCCAGTGGGCAGTGGGAGGAGGTGTGCCCGCCCCGCAGCCAGGTAGTGACGGAGGCCACTTGGATGTTGTGTGGTGGGTACCGAAGGCAGCGTGTGTATGGAGCTCCTGAAAGCCGGCCATGGGGTGGGCTGGGCGGCGGGAAGAGGCGGTGCTGCCAGAGTGCGATGCTGGGAGTGGGGGGACTCTGGGCTCTCCAGATGGCCTCCCCTGCCCCCGCGGCCAGTTTGCCCGGCTCCCATCCCGGTTGGAGCAGAGATGGCAAAGAAAAGACAGCAGATGGTGGGGACACCGAGTTCTGTTCCCAGTCCCAGCCAGGCTGGCTGGGGAGTGGCTGGGGGAGGGGGAAGGTGCCAACCCTGGTCCTGAGGAGACCCCACCATGTCTGCCCCCAGTCAGGGAGCAAGAAAGACAGCATTTCGGAGACCCTTTCGGGCCACCCCTACTTCTTCTCCCCCAAACCACAGCCTCTCTGCCCAAATGGGCTGGCAAAACAGCACCCAAAGGCCCCTGGCATGTGGGAGATCTGCCCAAGCTGGGGCAGAGCAGCGTGTGCCCAGGAAGGGGTGCAGCTGGGTTTTGGCAATAAAGTGGGGACCGGGTGGTAGGAAGGGGATCCGAGGCAGCAAGTTCTCCTCTGCCCCAACTCCAGCCTCCCATGGGCCTGCTGGAGAGGGAGGGGCCTGGATCCCAAGGCCAGGGGCACAGCATCTCCTGTCCTGGACTCCACTATTCTAGGGCCACGGCAGGGTTGATGGGGGAAGTGGCCCCTGAGCTGTCATTGCCCCCTGCCGCCTCCTTCTCCTTCTTGCCACTGTACTGGCCAATGAACGAACCATCCTCGTTGAACTGAACATCCACGCTGCCCCCATAATCGGCCAGGCTGTCGTCACTGCCCAGGGGCTTGATGTCCCCGTTGAGCGATGGCTGGCTGCTGCCAAAGGCCTTCTCCTCGTTGTCACTGCAGAGGCACAGGGCAGGTGCGAGTGAGAGCACTGCCGAGCCCCTGCAGGAGCCTGGCTGGGGGTGAGGCAGACGCCCGCCTGCCTTCCATTTGTTTAGAATGCGCTCAGAAAGAGCAGCTCTGGCCACCCTGGCAGGCAGGTCTGGAGCTGTCATCTTTGGGCATTCCCCAGATCCTGGGGACTGTGAGGGAGAAAATGTGCGCTCGGCCAGGGGATTATGGGGCCTGGTTCCTGTCTGGGAAGCTGTCTGGGGCCTCCCTTGGGGAGAGGGGAGCAGTGAAGGTATCTGTGTGGAGAGGAGGGGCTGGGGCGTGTTGGCCTCTCCCTGAAATGAGGAGCTGCCGGGCCTGGGGGCTGGGAAGTGAGAGTCCTGTCAGAGCCCCGGCAGCCAGGGGACAATGGCACACCAGGCGCACATTGTCTATAGGGAGACCTTGCTGTTGGCCCCTCCCCACCGCCCCTGCCTTACCTCTCCAGGGACCTGAAGTCACCCGGCAGCACAGAGAAGAGAGAGAGGGGGTGAGATGTGAAGGCCAGGGTGGAGCTGAGTGCCAGCACCCACTCCTGCCCCGGCTCACCTGTACTCGCCGAAGGTCTCATCTTTCATCGGTCGGGCCTCAGAGTCCACCTGGGTGTCCTCCTTATCCTTCACTGGAGACACAGAGAGGGACAGCTTCTTCTCCCGCCCCAGCCTGACCCGGGGCTCCAGGCCCCTCTACGCCCCGCACCCCCAGCACTCTGTCTCAACAGCGCCCAGAGGCAAGAGGCCTTGAAAGAAACCGCTCACCCCCTGCGGTCCAGCCACCACTTGCCTGTTGCCCCAACCCCGGCCTGGGAGGATGATCCCCCTGCCTGCCCCCACCATGCGCCTGTCATCTTGTGGGGAGCTCGGGGAATCCAGGAGGCCTTGCAGAAGGGTGGAAGGGGCGAGGTGCTCCTCTCTGCCCTCGGCTCCACCCCCGTCACGTGGGGCTCAGAGGCTACCTGAGTATTTGCCGCCCTTGCTGCGCTTGATGAAGCAGAGGATGAGCAGGACGAGGAGCAGGAGGATGATGGCACTCACAAAGCCGATGAACCAGCCCTCAGTGGCGAAGCCAGCAGGAGGGAGCCTCACGCGGCCTGAGGGTGAGACACCAGCCCCCCGTGCTGCCGCCCAAGCCAGAACCCGACCTGAGGCCCTGAAGTATGCTCTTAAAGTTGGGGCCCTCTGGGGGGCTAAGGAGTGACAGGGACAGGGAAAAGGGCATCTGCGGAAAGGGTATGAAAGGGGGCTGATTCGGGGACACCCAGATTCTGGGAGGAGAAGCAGACAGGAGCCGTGGAGGGAGCCTGGGCAGTAGTGGCCATTCAGGGGACAGAAGGACATGAATTGTGCAGCCCCCATGCTTCCCTGGCAGGTGATGGCGGGCCCCCGGCGCCTCACCTGTGCCATTGGTCTTCACAGCCATTTGGTGCCGGAACATCCTCTCCTTAAACAAGTGGATCTCGTAGTCAGTGTCAGGCTGCAGGTCCCACTGCGTGTAGGAGCTCTGGTTGTAGCTGACATACTGTGGCGAAAGGGAAGCCCCACCCTTCTCTTCTGCCAGGGAGAGAGGGTGGCAGCAGGGGTGAGTCGGAGTGCCAGGCAACCCCTCTGGCCCAGAGCCCCCTTCCCCACCACGCCCCAAGGCCCCCTTTCACGCTTACCTCCCAAGGCTTTGAACAAGATATGGAACCTGAAGTTGCACTGGCCCTCCTTGGGGACCCAGGAGACGACACTGTAGTTTTCACCCGCTGTGGCTGAGATGTTGCCAAAATCTGAGATCCCTGGGGGGATGCAGGGGAACGAGGAGAGTGTGGCAGCTGCCAGGAAGTCTAAGGCCCTCCCTCCTGGACCCGGCTGGCCGGGGCCTCCCTGTTGGCAGGTCATTCCTCCAGCTTACCAGACAAGGCCATAGTGCCTCCTTCCCGTACGATGGCTTCACCAGGGCCCTCTTTGGTGGTGGCCTGAAGCTGGAAGCGGTACCGCAGGTGGGGGCTGAGATCGGTCAGGTTGTGTGTCCGAAGTTCGGGGTCCCGAAGGTTGAAGGACAGTTGCCCCTTGCCCCCCTCATCCACTGTGGGGACAGACAGGGGTTGGCTGTGGCTGCAGCTCTGCCCCCTCCCCGTGGCCCCTCCACCTCCCTTCCCTGCTGGGGCGGCGCACGCACGGGGGTGGTAGGAGAGCACGTAGCCGGTGAGCACGCCGTTGTGGCTGAGTGGGGGCTGCCAGCGCAGCAGCAGGCTGGTGTTCGACTGGCACTCCAGGTGCAACGCCTCGGGGTGGCCAGGCACTGCAGGGCACAGAACCGAGTGGCAGGTAGGTCCTCGCCCAGGTCTGGGGAGGAGGGCAGGGGATGAGGCGTGGGGTGCAGGACTCACCTCCCTCTGGGGTGCTGAAGGTGAACTCGCTGGCGGGCCCCGATCCTCGCCCGTTAAAGGCCTGCACCTCCAGGTGGTAGGAGCTATAGGGCCGCAAGCCACTGAGGATGACACTGGTGGTGTTGGCGGGCACCACCACATGGTCTTTGTGGATATGTCTCTTGCTGTGCTTCCTCTGACTGCCCTCCCTCCAGTACGTCACCTGCACAAGCGAACAGGAGACCTCGCAGGGGCAGAAGGCACCCAGCAGGGCCCCCAGCGCACACCCCCACCAC
The DNA here is from genome assembly GCF_000001405.40 of Homo sapiens. Lineage (NCBI taxonomy): Eukaryota > Metazoa > Chordata > Mammalia > Primates > Hominidae > Homo > Homo sapiens. The sequence goes on from NC_000023.11 coordinate 153,865,574, forward strand.
CCTTAATGGGGACCCTCCTCTCAACCCAAGTCTTCCAGGAGAGCGGCTGGCAGGTGGCAAAGCCCCCTCACCATCCTGTCGCTTTACCTCAGTGATCACCCTCCTGGGCCCCCATGCCTTCAACCCTTACATTGTATCCGCGGAGGTGGCCCTTGACCTGGGCCAGGTCCACCGGCCGCCACTTGACCAGCACGGCACTTGAGTTGAGGATTTCAATGCCTTCCAGCTCAGGGATTGCCTGGGGGTCTGGAAACCACCAGTGACTTGGATAGAGCCATAGGCTCTCACCCCAGCCCTGAGGCCAGGCCCAAGCCCCTACACACAGAGAAGACGAATTCGGATATTTTATGAGGTACAGTTTGAGGAGGAGAGGTGTGTTTGCATGGTCTCAAGATCTCTTCCTGGACTGCTTATTAGTTGCAAAGGTGAAAATAGTAGCTTATACAAAGGAGAAACCATGGCTGGGCGTGATGGTTCACACCCGTATTCCCAACACTTTGGGAGACAGAGGCGAGTGGAACATTTGAGGTCTGGAGTTCGAGACCAACCTGATCAACATGGTGCAACCGCATCTCTACTAAATACGAAAATTAGTTGGGTGTGGTGGCGCGTGCCTGTAATCCCAGCTAATCAGGAGGCTGAGGCAGGAGAATCGCTTGAACCCGGGAGGCAGAGGTTGCAGTGAGCCAAGACCGCTCCACTGCACTCCAGCCTGGATGACAGAGCAAGACTCCATCTCAAAAAAAAAAAAAAAGAAAGAAAAGAAAAGAAAAGAAAAAAGAAAAGAAAAAAAGGAGAAACCAGAAAAAAAACTTGACCGGGTACTTCAAGTTACCATCTGGTCATGTTCCAGATTCAAGGAAATGAAAGAAGCAGCATTGGCTGATATAACTGGAATACCGCTGCCAATTATAGAAATGTGAAGTGTGGGGAATTTCATAACGTCGCTCTGGTTATGTAAGAGAATATCCTCATCCTTAGGAAAGGCGCACACCAATGCTGAGAGGTGTGGACATGGGCTGGGGTGGAAGCAGGCGAGCTCAACCGTGGGCGAGGGGCCCTGCCGGATACTCACAGTCCTCTCCAGAGTAGCCGATAGTGACCTGGGGCTCTGGTCCCTTGCCCTGGCTGTTGACGGCCTGGACTTTGATCTCATAGGGCACGAAGGTGGACGTGTTGGACACCACCAGGAAGGGGTCGCTGACAATCTGCTCCTGCCAGGGCCCTCGTGTCCCCTGAGGGCGCCACTGCACGCGGTACTGAACCTGGGGGGCGTTCCAGTCCATCCACCGGAGCGGCTGGAGGAGGCCAGCAGAAGAGGAGTTGGTTGGCCAAGAACACCAGCATTCTTTGGCCCGCCCCCCAGCACAAACCAGCATCCCCAGACATCAGCCCCTTCCTTTGCATAGCCAAGGGGGAGCAACAGACACCCAGGTCATGGCCTCATGTCCCCCAGGCAGCTCAGCCCAGGGACTCTCACCTTCCACGTGATGACCATATTGGTGGTCTCATTTCCTTCCCCCTTCACATCCACAGGGTTCTTCTCTGGGGCTGGAAAGGAAAGTATTAACACATCAATGCTGCAGCCTCTTTTGGAGAGCCACGAGGACCGAGGGCCAAGGAACAAATGGCTCATTCTGGCACCAAGGGAGTCCAGCCCCCTCGCGCTCCCCCTGGAAATTTGGAAGCAGAGGAACTTGGGCATGGCACCTCTCTAAGCCCTCCCTTCACAGCCCGGAGCCCCTTCCAGGTGGCATGGGAGTGGGTGCCACCCTGACTCACCTGCCTCAGGTGTGACCACAGTCTCAGAGACCGGGCTGGGCTCCCCGGGGCCATATTTGTTTATGGCAGTAACCCTAAAGGTGTAGTGGACATAGGGCGACAGCTTGAGGGTGGTAGAGGTCTGGTTCCCTGGAACCTTGCCCAGACTGTACCATTTTTCAGGCGCCATTTCCTTGTCCTCAAATTCAATGTCATATTCTGCCAAGAAATGAACCGACAATGGAGTGATCAGCATGTGGCTTTGGGGGAAGGGCTGTGGAGGGGTTGGGTACAGTCTGGGTCCCTGATTACCCAGGCCAACTGGCATCTCCAGATTCCCATGAGGAACCGTGAGTCCCCCCAAACCGTGTCCCCCCAGGAAGGCTCCAGGAGGAGGGAGGACCCCAGGAGGGGCCAGGGCTGGCAGAAGTGACGGTGGGGTGGCACTGAGCTCAAGCCTCTTACTCTCAATGGGGGCATTGTGGTCTTCTGCAGGACTCCAGGACACGCGCACCTGGCTCTGCGTCAGCAGGTGCAGGTCGGACAGCACCAGCCGTGGCACCGGCCCAGGGCTCCCTGAGGGTGGGGAGGGTCGGTGCTTGAAAGGGCCCAGGGATGTGAGCCCCGGCCTTCTGGAGTGGAGGCTTCCACCCTAGGACTTACCCACCACCAAGAGCTGTGCCCTACTCTCCACCACATCCAGTTCGGTACTGGCCACGCAGCTGTAGTTGCCCTGGTCGCTGTAGTCCAGGCTGTGGATGACCAGGCGCCCATCCTCTATGAAGTACCTGCGGAGGAGCCGTGTCTGTCTTTCCTGCCATCTGGGCTCTTCTCCCCTCCCATCCCTCCCTCCTGTCTCCTTCCCCCGCTCCTGTCAGAGCCTTCCCCATCAAAGCAAGGACGAGGCCAAGAGGTCTGGACTTCCAGCTTTTCCCACTCTGCCCCCTTTCACCGTCACTGTCCTCACTTGTCACTGTCCCCAAGCTCCTGGAGGTCTCGACCGTCCCCACGCCAGGTGATGCTGGGCTGCAAGGAGGGGTCAAAGGAGGCCTGGCACGTGAAGGTCACCCTGGAACCTTTCTTCTCGATTGTGCTGCGGGGCCCCTGAGTGATCTGAGTTGCATCTGAGGGTAATGCGTGCGTGGGGAAGTCACTCTGTTGTCCTCCAGAGGCCCAGACCCTCCCTCCCAGAGGCACTGCCAGCCATGTGGCAAGGGTTGCCTGACCTTTAACCTTCAGGTTAGCCATGATGGTAACATTGTTTTGGTCATTGGCAGCCAGGCAGAAGTAGCGTCCGGTGTCATTGGCCTGGAGGTCTCGAATGCCCAGGGTCCCATTGGCATAGGGGAAGAAGCGTTCGTCCTGAAGCACTGTTGTCCCATCCTCGTCCAGCCTGGAGGGAGCAGGGCGGGCCTGGCTCTGACTGGCTGGCCTGGGCTCCCTGCCCTCCCTGGCTCCCTGGCCACTGGGACACGACACTCACCACTACCAGGACGAGACACTCACCACTGAACACTGGGCACAGGCGCTCCGAAGGCCTTGCACAGAAGGTAGGCAGTGCTGCCCTGGACAGCCATGTACGTCTGATTGTCCGCAGTCAGGATCTTGGCTGGCAGCTCTAGGGGAGGAACAGCCTCAGGAGACAGGGCAGGACTTGGGACCACAGCTGGGCCAGGAGCCAGGGACCCTCTGCACGGCTTCCTCGGGCCCCCAAGAGCCCTGCAAATCTTGCTTCCCTGCTCCCAGCTGAGGCCCCCGCCAGGCTGTGTCTCTCTCTGCCTTCAGACACTGCCCTCTGCCTCAGATGCGCCTCTGGTCACAGCCACCCAACTTTTACGTTATTCCAGGCCTAACTGACAGTCACCTCTCCCCAGAAGCCTTCCTGGCCTAGTCCCCAGCCTTCCCTGAAGTTCCAGGAGAGGTGCCACCTGGGCTGGCCTTGGTCACATCCTGTGGCACAGCGGTCCGCTCAGTCACAGTGACAAGACCTTTCCCCTCTTACATCTCCCTCGGCTATCGTGAGGCTGAGTGAGATGGGGCGAAGGGTGTCAGCAAGGAGAAAGGTCGGCGCCAGCCTGGTAGGCCGAGGACACATCAGCTGCCAGCTGAGCCACTCTGGTGGCCTGGCCCAGTGGGCTGCAGGGACAGACTGGGAGTTAGGAGGTAAGGAAGGGAGGGCACTCACGGACAACGTAGATGTAGGCATTGGCC